>NC_000016.10:73047348-73350378 GCF_000001405.40 Homo sapiens | reverse complement strand
AAAGTAGGGCCGTGCACACTGTCAGCAATTTACATTTCACATCCCAAACCCTGTCAGCCAATTAGACTGCAAGAAGGAGCGGCCGCATTTTCTAATGAGGCTATCATCAGGCTGCTCCCTCACCCAGAAAGAGGAGATATTCTTGTTCAGAATGGAGAAGGTAATCATCAGGGAAAAGGGGTTGAATAAATCAGATGTGATTTCAGTGCAGCTTGCTATAGGTCCATTATAATTGGAATCTAGGCTGATGAAGACTCAGCATCCTCCCTCAAACTGTTTTGCTTAAAAGAAGGCAGATTTCTCTGTGTGGAGAAAGGTGACTTTCCCTACACAAGGAAAAAGGCTTCTGCCTTGCCAGTTCTTTATTCCAGAATAAAGAACTGGAAAGGCAAAAGCCATGGGTATCAGGCCTGAGTTCTCAAGGATCCATGGAAAGGGGGGAAAAGGAGAGGAAAGGAAAAAGGAGGGGAAGGGAGGGAAGAAGAAGGGGAGTAAAGAAGAGAGGAGGGGGAAGAAAGGAAGAGAGGGAGGGAAGAAGGAAGGAAGGGAGAAAGGGAGGGAAGGAGGGAGGGAGGGAAGAGGGAACAAGGAAGGAAGAGAGGGAAAAAAGAGGGAGGAAGGAGGGAGGGAGGGAGGGAAGGAAGGGAGAGGGAGAGAGGGAAGGAGGGAGGGAGGGAGGGAAGGAAGGGAGAGGGAGAGAGGGAAGGAGGGAGAGAGGGAAGGAGGGAGAGAGGGAGGGAGGGAGGGAGGGAGGAAGGGAGGGAGGAAGTAAGGGAGAGAGAGAGGTAAAGCGATAGACAAGCTCTCTACCCAAGCTTCCTCACTTACAAAAACTGATAACATCTGTACTCCTTATCTCTTGAAATGATTGTGAAAATTAAACAAGATCACCCCAATGAAAGGTACAGTTACAATCACCTTTTATTCACACAACTGCTACTAACACCTCCTACGAGAGCACACTAAACACTGTATGGGATCTCACAAATCCTGCATGAGGCTGCTGACTGTGCACTTGGTTAGAGGTAATTCTTCTGATCAGGTGATCAATCTCCAACTAGGTGTCAGGGTTGCAGTGTGACTCCAGGGGAAGGGTGTGAGGATGGTGTGTGACAAGCAGCTGGGGGAATTCCCGGGGATTGTTGCCTTCCAAGCCTTTGCCCGGCCTCCTTTCCAGATTTTAAGATGTTTGATACCTTTGCTGTGGCAGAACAAAAGTCTAGAGGTAGCAGGAAGACACAAGAGATCCCTCGGGAGATCCCTGAGTGGGAAAGTGTGAAAAATACTCCTTGGGAATCTGTTCTGTTTTGATCTGTTATTAATTGATGCCCCCAAAAGAAGGCTGAGACACACAAGTTCCTGTGGACCCCCAGGATAATAAAACCATCCCCATTCTTGCTCCAAATTCTTTTAAAAGTATATTTTCCCACTGTGTTTTAATGAAGTCATTGATTTTCCACCGAACCAAGGTACTGAAATGCCACAAGACGGTATCTGATTCCCTACATAGGCACATAAGACTTGCCTCCAATGAATGAGAAGTCCCTGGGCTTCTGGCAGGCTGAATTTGCCTCTACACCTATCTTGGTGAGGGTTGGTCATCCACAAGGAACTTTCCCGTCTTTAACCGGGAATGTGGGTCCCACAAGAGCCTCCCAAATGAGCACCAAGGGTTCAGTGCAAAGAACGTGTGAGTGTGTTGCTTGTGCCAATTGGGCTTGTGTGGCTAATTGCACCGTGTGCAGAAAATAACACCTGCGAAGATCAGTCCATCCTCTGAACGCCAGAGTCTCAAAGTCAACGACAAAGCTCTCCGGGTGAAGCCCATCAGTAGAAACGCCCGTGGAAACATCAAACACGGCTTCAAGTGGAAGGTGACAGAGAGTGAAACTTTAAAGATGAATGAGAAGGCTATATTGAACGGAATTCTTTCAGGGTCTGAAGAGGATGGAGGCTGGGGTTGGGGGGCTGGGAGGAGGACAAATGACCCACCCCAAAGGTGAAGGACCCTTGCCAGAGAGGTGATTAACAACCCATCGCAGGGAGACTTAACGGAGCTGCTCCCAGTTGCATGGAAGATTCCAACAATGCTAGGCTTTTCCTTAGGACTTATTTTCTCACCAATGTTAAGTAAACTTGGAGAAGCCGAGTGCTTCGGATGTAATTACATGGAGTATGTCTTGGTGGCCAGCAGAAAAATAAACCGTGGCTTTGGCTGGTTGGAGGCAGTTTCCTTTTAAGCAGTCGGCCTGCCCAAGTTCAAGAAGATTAGTAAACAGAGATGGAGAGGCCTTGTTTATAGTGAGAATGAAGCAGGTCACACAGTTCCTTTAAAAGGTATTTGTGAAGCTGCTTTTTTCCCCTTTAACCAGTCAACTGCCTAAGGAACAAGCTTGATATTCTGCCAGCTTTTTAAGAAAATACTTAAATATCAAAAGTTTTCACTCTTTCTGTGTGTGCAAAATATCAGCTTCATGTCCAATGGGAATCAAAGTTCTTGCTTAGCATACAAAGGCTTATGAGTTTTATAGTGTTCAGGACTTTAATCTACAAAGTATAATTTAATCCTCTTTGAGCTATCTGCACCATGGAGCTCTGGTTGTAAATAAACCATATGGTTACAGTGGATGCAGCCACAGCTGCCTGCCTCCATCACTCACCCTTAGTAAATATTTCTGCAAAACAGATGAAATTAACTACTGTAACAGACAAATAGAGAGTGTAGTTCTCAGCGCAAATGTGTTACCATAGCAGTCATGCTTAAACACAGCTGATAGCTCCAAGTCAAGCCTCAGCCACCTGCCAATACCAATGACTTTCTCTCTCACTGAGCCTCCCTGCTCCTGGTTGCTGCTATCTACCTCTGAGAAGGGTGAGGACGGTGCAGAGACACCCACTGGGCAAGGAGGTTATGGGTGAGGAACAGGCTGAGTCCCTGATGCCCCAGATGGAACAGATGCTGATATCACAAAGTGTGTTTCCACGACTGGGTATCCCAACAAAGCTGGACACCATTGTGGGCTGCAGGAATACCTGTTACGGGGCATCCAGGCCTGGAGAGCAGACAGCAATGGAGCTAAGAAAAGGTAGCAATTCCCTCCGGGCTGAGGATACTCCCAGTAAAAGGAATGGTTGTGATTGTGGGCCCTGCTGTGTCAGGAAGTAGAATCAGATGGAAGAAGTTTGTTTGGGATGACATGAATTGGGGACTTAACTGTGTAAACATAGACTTTGCAGTCATTTGAAGGAGCAAATATTTATTTGTGTGTCTTCTATATGGCTCTGGCATCACAGAGACCTAGATTTGAATCTGGGTTCAGGCACCTAGCAGTTCCAGGATCCTTGCTGGTTATTTTATGGCTCTGAGCTTCAATTTCCTCCCCTTGTAACACAGGAATGACCATACCTCCTTATAGTGAACATGAAGATTAATTGGAATCATCATTATCATTCTTAAGTGAAATAATAAGGATAATTACAACAGTGGTAAATAGTTAACTTCATGGTTTAGGGAGGAGAGAAGTCTCCTCTTCCTTGGCCTCTTTAGGTCACAGGTCTCTTTGGCTAGGTCTGTGGTCCCCATTCTCAGTGTCCAAAGAGCATGACAGACTGGGCACAGTGGCTCACGCCTGTAATCCCAGCACTTTGGGAGGCCGAGGTGGGCAGATCAGTTGAGGTTAGGAGTTTGAGACCAGCTTGGCCAACATGATGAAACCCCATCTCTACAAAAAATACAAAAATTAGCCAGGCATAGTGGCATACACCTGTAGTCCCAGCTACTCCAGTGGCTGAGGCATAAGAATCGCTTGAACCGGGGAGGTGGAGGTTGCAGTGAGCCGAGATCGCACCTCTGCACTCCAGCCTGGATGACAAAGCAAAACTTTGTATAAGTAAATAAAGTGCATGACAACTTGGGGTGACCCATTCCATAGCTGTTTTGGCCAATCTGTGATTCTTCTTCACCTTGGGTATCACAGGGCTGGGCTGAGTGGGGAGATGCTGCCTGCCCAGACAAAGGGGGCCCTGTGCATCCATGGTGGCGAGAGGACAGACGGTGGGAGAGCCCAGAGTGTTCCAGGTGCGTGAGGCTTTCAAAGACAAGCTTTCAGTGGTCTGGGAGGGACAGATGTTTCCCAAATGCTGGAAAAGTTCCAAAAGGCAGGCAGAGGATGTATCCATTGGATCATCACACTTTGTCTGGGCATCTGAATGTGATATTGAGTTGGGGACGATTTGACTGGGGGTCTCTCAACACTCACAGCCAGGAGAGGGGCTGATCAAAAGGTGCAGGGTCGCTGAGCCTTGGGGGAAATAACCCAAGGATGAGAAGGGTCTCAGAGGGACAGCTCCCTCATTCTGGCCTGGGAGCCCTCCCCAAGGAATAATACATAGCCCAGAAGGTAGAGAATCCCAGCGTCTTTATGGCTTAGTTTCACAACCCAGAACCAACATGTTCTAAATTCTGGCCACAGCTGAGTCAGGGACCCATCTGTGCCCTAGGGAAGCAGGGCCCTGGGCTGGTGTCACCGAGCACCACCAAGCACCACAGGTGAGAAGAGGACTTCTCACTCACAGATCAACGTCATATTGAAAATAGCTGGGTCTCAGCCATCCCATTACTGGGTGTATATACCCAAAGGAATATAAGTCATTCTGTTACAGAGATACATGCAACTGTATGTTCATTGCAGCACTACTCACAATATCCAAGACATGGAATCAACCCAAATGCCCATCAGTGATAAAGCGGATAAAGAAAATGTGGTACATATACACCATGGAATATGATGCAGCCATAAAAAGGAACGAGATCATGTCCTCGCAGGGACATGGATGGAGCTGGAAGCCATTATCCTCAGCAAACTAACGCAGGAACAGAAAAAGAAACACTGCATGTTCTAACTTATAAGTAGGAGCTGAAGAGTGAGAACACATGTACGCAGGGAGGGGAACAACACATACTGGGGCCTGTCGGGGGGTGGGGTGGGGGGAGGGAGAGCATCAGGAAAAATAACTGATGCATGCTGGGCTTAATACCTAGGTGATGGGTTGGTAGGTGCCCCAAACCACCATGACACACGTTTACCTATGTAACAAACCTGCACATCCTGCACATGTTCCCTGGAACTTAAAAACTCAAATTAATTTTAAAAAGAAATAACAAAATAAGACTTTTTATTGTCTGAAAATAAAAGAAAATAGCTGTGTCTAATTGGATAATATTTCCGTATAAAAAGATTTAAATCCAGGGCTATGAAAAAAAATGCTTTTAACTAGGAAAAGATTTTGCTCCAAACCATTCACATTCAACCCCTTTAAGCTGAGTAAGGCTGAGAAGTTCCATGAACAGGACAAGGGATACAGGGCAAGTTGGTGCAGCTTGAAAAACAAAGGCCCAAGGGACCCAGGTTCTCTCTGCAGCTCCCCAGATTCACAAGCAGGTGTCAAAACTGAGATGTAGCAGTTGCCCACTCTCAAAGATCTGTGAGCAATGCTTTCTTGACTTTTCATTTTTATTGTCAAAGTTACAAAAAGCAGCTAGTAGAAAAATTACTGACATACTCTTCATCGAGCTTCCCCAGCAGTTTACATTTTGTCCCATTCCCTTACCATTCATGCCTTTTCTCCTCTTCCCCATGTCCCTGTCTCCCTGTCAGTCTGTCTGTCTCTCTCTCTCTCTCTGTCTCTCTCTGTAGATATATAATTTTTCTCAGTCATTTGAGAATAAATTGCTGGCTTTGTGCTTCCTTATCCCTAAACATGTTGGTGTATGTTTCCTAAGAACAAGAACATTGTTTTACCTAATCACAGTACAATTATCTAAATCAGAAAATTGAACATTTATACAATACCATCAATGAATCCACAGTCCAAATTCAAATTTTTTCCATCCTTCCAAGAATGTGCTTTATCCGGAAACACATATTGCCTTTCGTTGTCACATCTCTCTAGTTTCTTTCAAACCAGAACAATTCCTCATTCTTTATCTTCACCCATTCTTTTGCTTTCTTTAACCTTGACATTTTTGAAGAGTACAGACCATTTATTTTGTAGAAGGTTACTCAATTTGGGTTTGTCTGATGTTTCCTTATGATTAGATCTAGGTGATGAATTTTTGGCAGAAACACCCCAGAAGTGATGCTGTGTCTTCCTCAGTGAGGAAGTCAGAGGATATGATTTTGGGTCAGTGCCATTATTTGTGATGTTATCTTTAATGACTTGGCTGAGGTGCTATGTGCCAGGTTTCTCCATTATAAGGTTGCTATTTTTCCATTTGCAACTAATAAGAAATTGTGGAGAGATATTTTGAAGTGACATAAATATCCTGATCTTCATCAAACATTCACCTACTAGTTTTAGCATCCATGGGCACTTCTTATTTGAACCAGTTATTACTGTGATGTTTGCCCAGTGATTTTCTAATTCCATCATTTCACATTTATGAGTCAAATTCTACTGCAAGAAAGAACTTTCCCTTCTCTCCATTAATGATATATTTATGCATCCATTTATATTAGTAGGAATTCATGGATTCTGATGGATTATTCAAGGGATTGTAATCCATTACCATCATGATTTATTTTGATACCCAAATTGTCCCAGAGTTGGACAACAGGAGCCCTTTCTGTTCTTTTCACATGTCTTGTTGTTGTTGCTTTAGAGATGGGATCTCACTCTGTTGCCCAGGCTGGAGTGCAGTGGCATTATCATGGCTCACGTTAACTCCTGGGCTCAAGCATTCTTCCCACTTCAGCTTCCTGAGTAGCCAAGATTACAGATAGGCACCATCATGCCCAGCTAACTTCTTAAATGTTTTAGAGAGATGGGGTCTTGCCATGTTGCCCAGACTGGTCTCAAACTCCTGGGATCAAGCATTCCTCCCACCTCGGCCTCCCAAAGAGCTGAGATTACAGGTGTGAGCCACCGCATGTGGCCTCCTCTTCATGCTTTGAGCACTTTCTTGTTTTATGGAGCAAGATGTTCAGGATCAGCTATAACTTACCTGAGCTGGAATTCAGCCATCTCTCCAAAGAGTCCTGGATTCTTTTGGTGAAGAAGAGAATTTGAAAGATCTGAGCATCAGGGCTACTGGGATATCATTAATTCAAGACTCTTTTAATGGACAGAATGTATATATGCATACATACACACACACATATATATGAAACATACTGATACTTTCCATTTCAGTCCTACAACATTTTAGCTTTCCCCTTCCTGTATATTTAGGGGAAAAAAAAGAAAAAGAAAAAAACATGTCTTCACTAAAAGAAACTAGATACCTAGCTCTCATGTTTCTCAATATATTCATTCATTTGTTCAATCCTGAGATACATAGGAAGTTGTTTTGGAATTGTTCATGCATAGCACTGTGAAAAACATACCTGCTAACTAGACTTCAATATTTTGTTTAGTATTTAGACTGAGGGTACCTGGTCAGAACTCTCTGTTGGAAGGTCACTTGGGCCAGTTCCCCAGCCCCCACACAGTGTCACTGTGTTGCTCATTTGAAATACTTTTTGGTTCATTTGTTTCTATTAGGGGTGTTCTCCCCATCCCTGTGGATTTTTTGCATATATAAAACATTAGCATGATCATAAAAGTCAAAATTAAGTAAAAAGGCAAATTCAGAGAAGTGCCACTTTCCTTCCTAGCCCTCCCACCTGTACCTACCCACCTCTTGCAGGAAACCAATCTCTTCCATTTCTGATTTTCTTCCCAATGTTTCCTTTTGTTAAAATAGGTAGATACTTGTATAGTTTATTTCCTCTTCTTTCTTATAAAAAATAGAGAATACTAGAAATGATCTTTTGCACCCGTTTTCTTCCCTCAACACATCCTGGAAATCATTCCTCATCGACTCCTGGAGCTCTTCCTCATTCTTCTCCAGCCGAATAGTACCGCACTGTCTGATTGCACCATCGTTTATCCAACCAGTCTTCTATTCGTGGCCATTGAGATTGTTTCCAATATCTCCATTGTGAACCATGCTTCAGTATGTAGCCATGTGAATATGTATTATATTGTTGGACAGGTGTCTTCAGGATAAATTACCTAGGTGAATTCCTAAACGTGACATTCCTGGGTCACTAGGTGTACAAATACGTAGTTTTGTTAGCTTTTGCAAAGACCCCATCCTTAACTATTGTACCGATTTGCATTCCCTCTAACAAGTTATGAAAAGGCCTGTTTCCCCCTAGCCTCACCAGCAGAATGTATCAAGCTTTCTAATATTTATGAGTCTAATAGGTGAGAAATAATATTTCAAGGTAGTTTTTCAAAAACCACTTTATGTAGATATAATTCATGTACCATACAATTCACCCATTTTACAGTGCACAATTGAGTGAATTATAGTATATTCACATATATCTGCAACCATCACCACAGCCGATTTTAGAAACCTAGTACTATTTACCTCTCACTCTCCTAATGTCCCATAACCCCCAGCCCGAGGCAACCATAAATCCATTTTCTGTCTATAGATTTGGCTATTTAAGACACTTTGTATAAATGGACTTATACAATATGTAGCCTTTTGTGACTTGCTTCTTTACTTGAGCATTATATTTTTAAGCCTTATCTAGATTATGGTATATATCAGTACTCCATTCCTTTTTATGACCCAATAGTATTCCATTGTGTATATATACCATCTCTTGTTTATCCATTTATCTGTGGAATTTATCCATTTATCTGTTATCTATTTAAGTTGTTTCCACCATTAGTCTATTACGAATAATGCAATTCCAAGCATTCATATATGTTGTGTGTGGACAGATGTTTTCATTTCTCCTGGGTGTGTACATCTAGGAGTAGAATTTCTGGGTCATATGGCAACTCTGTGAGTAATCGTTTGAGGAACCATCAAACTGTTTTAATGTAGTTTCACTGGCATTTCACTTATTATGTATGAAGTTGAACATTTTTTTCTTATGTTTAAAGGCTACTTATGTATCTTTTTTGGAATCATCTGTTCACATCCTTCATCCATTTTTTATTGGCCTTTTCCTCTCTATTGTTATTATTATTATTTTGAGATGGAGTCTTGCTCTGTCACGCAGGCTGGAGTACAGTGTTGCGACCTCAGCTCACTGCAACCTCTGCCTCCCAGGCTCAAACAATTCTCCTGCCTCAGCCTCCTCAGTAGCTGGGATTACAGGTGCCTGCCATCACACCCGGCTAATTTTTGTATTTTTAGTAGAGACTGGGTTTTACCATGTTGGCCAGGCTAGTCTTGAACTCCTGACCTCATGATCCACCCACCTCGGCCTCCCAAAGTGCTGGGATTACAAGTGTGAGCCACCGCATCCGGCTCCCTCAATTTTTAAGAAGACTTTGTATATTTCAGAAATTAGCCTTTGGCCGGTGATACAAATTGCAAACAGTTTTCTCCTGTTTGTCACGCATCTTTTGATTTTGCTTATGATGTTTTTTTCATGCAATTTTTTAAATGTTATATAATCAAATTTATCAATCTTCTATTGACTGTGGATATTGACTCAAGTTAGAAGTCATTTCTTCACACCCAAGAATTCACCCATGTTTTTTTCCAGTACTTGTAGGGTTCATTTATTCATGTAGCTCTTTGATCCACTTTGGAAGACAGTCTTTTTTGTGGTTGGAGGGATAGAACTAACTTTACTAACTATATCAAAAAACTGTCTAGCCAGTCGTCCTAGCACCACCAAGTAAAAAGATCAGCCAGGCACGGTGGCTCACGCCTATAATCCCAGCACTTTAGGAGGCCGAAGTGAGAGTGTTACTTGTGCCCAGGAGTTCAAGGCCAGCCTAGGCAACATGGTGAGACTTCGTCTCTACAAAATCAAAAAACACACACACAAAAAAACCAAAGTAGCTGGACGTGATGGCATGCACCTATAATCCCAGCTACTCAGGAGGCTGAGGTGGGAGGATTGCTTGAGCCCAGCAAGGCTGCGGTGAGCCATGATCATCGTGCCACTGCACTCCAGCCTGGGTGACAGAGCAAGACCTGTTTCTGAATAAGTAAATAAATAAATAAGATCATCTGCACCCCAGTGACTGCCAGTGCCACCTTTATTATGTCCTAAATTTTCATATACACTTGGCTGTATTCCCAGACTGTCTGCTCTATTCCAGTGGTCTGTTTATTCAGGCACCAACACCATGCTGCTTTAACTCTTATGAGCAAGTTCAATAACCTCCTCTGAGCACCTCTTCCTCTGCTAAGACCCTAGTTCTCCGGAAGTTCTTCCTTGTTTCTGAGCATCAGTCTTCCCTACTGCAACGTAAGCCTGTTACCTCCGTGAGTCTCCCTGATCCCAGAGTTCTACTTGCTCACCTCCCTCTGAGCTGTCAGGTGCTAGGAGCTCTCTCTTTTTATGCAAATGTGGCTGCTGCTTTCTGGCCCAAAGGTGACTCTCTCATTGACAGCCCTGACTGCCAACTTTACAAGTAATTTGCTGGGTTTGTCGAGCACTGCTGAATCATATAAATGCCATTATCGTTTTTGTCATCATCGTCAGCAGCTGAAGCATCAGCTGCTACCTTTCTTTCACCTATTGTTTAGACCAAATGAAGGAGCCGCTGATGCCCCAAAGAAATGCTTTATTTGTGGAATATCCAAAGTCCTAAGCCCTTGTATGTCAGTTCATGTCTGGAAATGACCAGGAGAACATCCTGCCAGGATAAATATTACCATAGGCCTCCTACTCTTCATGGTTGATTAGTTGGCTTATCTCAATGGTTGAATAAGCAACCCGCTCCCAGCCCAGTGAATTTTCTCTCCTACTATTGGTGAGGTGGCAAAACGTCTAATAGAAAAATATATTAGTACTTTAAAATTGTTGTGGAACAAAAAGACGAAATAGACTTTATACACCTATTTCTCCCACTGTTAGATGATAGAATATAAGGTTACATGCTTGGAACAATTAACCACTATTTGAGTTCATTTAACAAATACCTGTTGAGCAGCTCCTCTGTGTAGAGCTTCGTAATAGAACCTGTGAGGGACTCAAAGATGAATAAGACAAGATGGTGTCTTCAAGGAGTTCACTCACAACTGGAGGAGATAATGAGAGAAGAGAGATAGGCACAAACAACTTCATTACAAGGCAGAGGAGAGCAGGTGAAGAAGAAAAAGTTGCACAGTGCTTTGGGAGGGCAGGAGAAAAGCTCTACATTCAGAGCCTCTTTGGAAGAGATGAGACTTAAAATCAGATTCTGAAGCCCAAGTTGGATGGCCTGAAGTGTATTGGTCCATTCTCACATTGCTATAAAGAAATACCTGAGACTGGGTAGTTTAAAAGAAAAGAAGTTTAATTGGCTCACAGTTCTGCAGGCTGTACATGAAGCATAGCACTGGGATCTGCTTCTGAGGAGGCTTCTGGAAGTTTACAATGATGGTGGAAGGCCAAGGGAAACAGACACATCACGTGGCGAAGGCAGGAGGAAGAGAGCAAGGGGGTAGGTGCCACACATTTTTTAAACGATCAGATCTTGCAAGAACTCATCCACTATGGCGAGGACAGCACCAAGCGGATGGTGCTAAACCATTCATGAGAAATCCGCCCCATGAGTCACTCATCTCCACCAGGCCCCTCCTATAACACTGGGGATTACATTTCAGCATGAGATTTGAGCAGGGACACACATCCAAACTATATCACCCAGAAAGATAATCTGGCATTTAAAATGGCTTAAGCAAAATCAGAGAGGCAGAAACATATATTGGCAGGGGTGGGGGTGCATGTGAAATTGCTGTTTTGTAGGTCAGAGCAGTCATATATTGGCAAGTTTGCATGATTCCATCGAATCGATCATATTTCGGGATACTGTAGTCTGTTTGTAGACCTGATAGAACTGATAGACTAATTTGAAGGGGTTAAGAGGCCCCATATAGGAGATGTGGCTGAACCAAGCTGCAGAGGATTTTGACTGTTAAAATGAAAAAAAAAGTTGACCTTTATTTAGTGTGATTCATTTAATTACTTACATATCAAATATTTGCCAAGGCCCTACGATGTGCCCAGCCTCCCGGTTGGGGAAGCTCTGAGAACACAGTCATGTTTCAAAGGGATAAAACTGTCAGTAGTGTGTGTGGTGGGCTGGAGACAGGGGAGACAGTGGGTGACAAGACTCCTTAGGGGCTGCCTAGCATGGTGTGGTGGGGATTGCTAGGCAGGGCTGAGGGTCCACGTGACACTTGTGGTCATACATTTAAAGTGAGGTCAGGCAGCCTGGCTGTGCGGTTTTCTTCAGCACGTTCTGATGCTCATCTGCAGATTAGGAAACAAATTAGTTTATCAGACGTAGGGTTTTGATGAGCAAGATCAGTTAGGGTTTTGATTGAGCAACTTAGGGTTTTGATGATCAAGGAGGCTGAGAGTATGCACGAGTTTTAGTTTTAGTTATGAACCCTGGAATCTAAACTGTGTAAGAACGGAAGCAAAACATGAGGCAGAGGATGGGCATAAAAAGGGGATGAGGACCCCCCCCCCCGCCAAGGGAAGATGAAGACTTATTGAAATTGGAAAACTAGAAAGAGTAAGCTGGGAAGATAGAAAGTTTAAAAAGAGAGGGATGCTTCTAAAAGAGCATTTTAGAAGTGATGACGTTGCTGGTGATGACAAGGTCCAGGGTGTGACCAGTACAGTGGGGACCTAGAAAGGGTAGGAAAAAGGGTCATGAGAAGTGAGCAAGTCAAGCAGCAGAGAGGCCAGCACATTTGATGGATTGTCTATGGATACTGAAGTCATCAAGAGTAATGGCAAGCAGGGATGGAGACAAAGACGGTGAGTCAGGCATTAAAAGATTCCATGAGTCAGCAGATGTGCTATGCAAGGTGATCAATGGCTGCGATGAGGAGGAGGATTCAGTGCACAGTGTGATGGGATGTGCCTCAAAGGAGGCTTTGGAGAACAGTAGCCTGGAAGCAGTAACGGGAGGTGATGAAGACATCCACCCACTTCCTGGCACTATGGTATTTGGGATGTGGAAGTAACAAAGCTCACCACTGAAGGGGCCTCAGAGAAAGCAGTGGCCTCCAGAGAATACTGGGGCAAAACAGTCGCCAGAACGTGTAGAGGGGAGGTTCAGGGAGAGGGAGTTTTGGTGATGACAGAACAGGAGTCCCACAGGACGTAGGATAAGGATTTGGGAGGTTAGGAATGGATGGAAGGTTGGGTCAGATTAGGAGCACACAGCCATGAAGGATAAGCATCTGGGAACATATGGATGATTGAAAGCCTGGGACTAACAGGTAAATGGAAATAAATGGGGATTTTGAAATATGATGATATTGAGTCTAATGGTCTTTTAGGGGAAAGTTGTAAATTATGCCTCACTTTTGGGAGGTCCCTTTGGCAGGTAGTGGTGGTAAGAAGTGGTGGTCAGACCAGGAGTCCAGGGAACCTTGTAGGTCTGCCTTAAATCTTTCTGAGGGTGATATTAAGGCTCGACAGGGTGCTCTTATAGGTAAATGGTAGAGGTTTGGGGAAGCGAGGGACGGGATCATGAGAAGGAAATTTGAAATTGTGATTGTTTTAAACTTGGCTAAGGGTTGATGACCCTTGAGAGTACAGGGGATGCGGTTGCAAAGACGGCAGAGAACAGATTCTGCTTTAGTGGATGAAAGGTTTGAACCCAGAATTGTTAAGAGGCTTCAATGATTGTACCCTAAAGACACATGTGCACGTATATTCATCGCGGAACTATTCACATAGCAAAGACATGGAATCAACCTAGAGGCCCATCAGTGGTAGACTAGATAAAGAAAATATGGCACGTATACACCATGAACTACTACACAGTCATAAAAATGAACAAGATCATGTCTTTTGCAGCAACATGGATGGAGCTAGAGGCCATTATCCTAAGCAAACTAATGCAGGAACAGAAAATCAAACACCACATGTTTTCACTTGTAAATGGGAGCCAAACATTGAATACACAATGACACAAAGAAGGGAACAATAGACACAGGGGCCTCCCTGAGGGTGGGGGGTGGGAGGAGGGTAAGGACCAAAAAACTATCAGGTGCTATGCTTATTGTCCGGGTGATGGATTACCCTGTACACCAAACCCCCGTGACACAGCATTTACCCATATAACAGACCTGCACATGTACCCCTGAAACTAAAATAAAAGTTAAAAATATAAGAAGATTCAATGAGATAATTAACACCCAGTGCCTTTGCACAGTCCCTGGTGCTTCGCAGGTTAATAATAGGGTTAGTTCCCTCCCTCTCCACCACCTTCCACTGCCTGCACCTGCCGCCCCAGATACACACAGGTGGACACCCCAGAACGAATGGGAGCCTGGGTGTGGAGCAGTAAAGATCCATCTCCAGCTGTTAACACAACTTAGAACACGTGCACTGCTGCGAATGGCTAGAGGCAGAACTGGGCATTGAACTAGAAGAAAAAGAATCTGTGATGTGCTGTTTGTAGAAATGTGGCCTAGACATTTCAAGACACGGTGAGGGCATGAAGGCAGTGAGAGTCAAAAACTCATTAACTGCCCAAACTGCTGAGGACAAATAGAATAATAAACTTCTAGGCAAGAATGAAATGCAGTTTTGCTTCCAGGAGACCATTTCTGCTCTCAGAGCTGAAGGCAGTGGGACTCTGTGCCTTCCCCCACTGTCAACTTCCAGCCCCTTTCAATTCAAATCACAAAAGCTCATGATGTTGAATCTAGTTATTGGGAGAATCAAATGGCAGGACCTTGGGGACATTCAGGGACGTTATTATTACGTACATGAAATTTAGCCCAAACAAAGGTGACTGATACCCTGATCATGAATCTTCATTGGCAACGAACAGTAGAAATAGCTGTCAGAGTTGTATCTGAGTTTGTTTTGATGGCTTTAACTATAAAGCCGTGGATGGTTACATCAGTGCCTTAAATATATCAAAGGAGAAAAATATTCTGCAGCGGAAACTTTACTCCTGGAAATACTGGATATATTCAGCAAAGTTACACGGGGTAAAAGATAAGTCCTTTACTCAGTTGTTGGGTTCTTTAAAATCACTTTTTATCTTTTAGGTTCTAATTCACTCCAGTGTTTGTTTAATTCAGAATTGTAAAATTTCTGGAAAAATCGAAGTCATAGGGAAAATAAACCTGTCTTCATTTGTTTGATTTCTTTGTTTTCTGAGGAAAAACCCAGGGCCTAGCACGTAACACTTGGTAAATATTATTATAGCTATCACTTCAACAGTTTGGCACCCTTTTCGTACTAAAATGTATCTTCTTAGCCTAGGAGAATGAAACTCTTTATGTATGTCTTGGTTTTTCTGAAAAAGACTCACATTTTGGATGTTGAAAACTGTGTTTGGTCACCTAATAATTGGTTCTACATTTGCTAATTGAATTTACCTTTAAATGTTTTAAATTTGGCCATGAATAGAGCTGCTGAATTCAGTTTAGTTTTGAGGACATTTTTCCCCCTTTGTGCAAAGCAGGCAAACTCAAGAACAAAACAAGCCATCAACATTAGGGTGGAACAAAGAAAGTTCTTACGTCAAGCAGATTCAGAAAGCATTCATTTTGCAAAAAAAAAAAAAAAAAAAAAAAAAAGAATGAGAAAGAAAAGGAGGAAAAGAGATCTCCTTATCCAATTTAATGGAAGATCACAGGACTGAGAGGAGGAGGGGACAGGTTCAAATTTGGGGACTCTGAAACGCTTCCACTTGCCCCGAGCGTCTGTCTTGGAGCCTCTTGAGCTTCCGTTCTTCGTTTCTAATCTCTCCAGGCACAAAGAAGAGTGACTGCGAGTGGCCACTCGGCTGACGGTCCTTTGGGGAGCGGGCAGAACAATGGCCCCTCTGCCAACCTCGGGGGCTGCAGCGGACAGGAAGTTGACAGCAGGGGAAGGCACAGAGCCCCACTTCCTTCAGCTCCAAGAGCTGAAGTGGTCTCCTGGAGGCAAAAGTGCATTTCATTCTTGCCTAGAAGTTTATTATTCTATTTGTCCTCAGCATTTAGGGCAGTTAATGAGTTTTCAGCTCTCACTGCCTTCATGCCCTTGACATCCCCTTCCTCCTTAACCCCCTGCAGTCTGTCCTCTTGCCTACCTCCGTGAAAATGGCCCTCCCACGGATCAGCAAATTCAACAGCCTCTTCTCCCTGCTCAGCCCGTGTGGCTTATTCTCAGCAGAGAGGCAGCGATGAAGCTGGTGACCCTCCGTGGCCCCCTCTGCTTTCCTAGAACGCTGTCCTCCTCTGGCCGTGGCGACTCCATTCTCCTGGCCCTGCTGCCTTTGGGGCAGACCTTCCTGTCCCCTTTCTCCTTCCTCTTTCAGCACATAAGCCATGTCCTTGACCCCATCCTCTTCTCTGTCTGATTGCATCCTGGACATTCTCCCTCCTTCGTGAGTGGGTGCATCACCCATTCTCAAACCAGCATCCCAGACTAGACTTACCTGAGACTGCACCAGCTCAACACTTCCACCTGCATTGGCAGCAGGATGTTCAGCGTGCCGGATACAAGGTGGAAGTCAGCTGTGGTCCTTAACCTGCTCCTCTTGTGTACCTTCTGTCTTGTGAAGGGACCACCTTTTTTTTTTTTTTTTTTTTTTTTTTGGTCTCTTGGGGTGAAAACTTCCTTTGACCTCATCCCACATCTGATTTGTTGCCAAATCTCAGTGTTTCTGTTTGAAGCAGATCTCACATCTGCCTTCTCCTTTTCCAGTTCTTTTGCTGGTTATGCCTAGTATAGAGCCCTTGTTACCCCTAGAAAATCCAAATGCTTTCTGACTACCCCACACATCCACCCTCGTTATTGTCCCTTGTCAACTCATCCTATACCCCACCATCAACTGAATAGCTCTTCAACAAGATTATAATCAAGACACCACTAGCCTGGGCTGGCTGACTGGCTTGCTTGCCTGCTTGCTTGCTTTCTTGCTTTCTTTCTGTCTGTTTATCTATGTGTCTATGTATCTGTGTATCTACCTATTTATGTGTCTATCTATGTATCTTTCTGTGTGTCTATGTATGTATGTATCTTTCTGTCTATTATGTGTCTATGTATCTATCCATCTATGTGTCTATGTATCTTGTGTCTATATATCTATGTATTTATGTGTCTGTCTACTACGTGTCTATCTATGTAACTGTATTTTTCTATCTGTGTCTGGGTATCTATATATTTATCTTTCTATTTATGTATCTGTGTGTCTATGTGTCTATCCATCTATGTGTCTATCTATGTAACTATCCATGTGTCTATGTATCCATGTATGTGTCTATCTACTATGTATCTATGTAACTATTTATGTATTTACATGTCTATGTATCTATCTATCTAAAATCTTTGTCTCCTAAAACTGTGTAGTAAGTAAATGTAAGGGGGAAGACAGAGAGATGGAAGGAGCAAGGGAAGGAATAAGGAGGGAGGGAAGCCATAAAGGAAGGAAAGAGGAAAGAAATGAAGGAAAAAAGAAAGGAAAGAGGGAAGTACAAGAGAGCAACCATAGATTTCTAGGTTTGTTGCTAATTTGGCCTCTAGAAAATCACTAGTCTTCACTATGTCTCAGTTTCTCTCTTGGAAACTGTACAAACTCTTGCCACCACTCTTGTTGCATGGAGTACGTTCATTGACTACCTTGAGGGCTCTGTGAGCTCTTCATGGAAAGAGATCACTACGTATTTATTCATGCCATTGCCTCATCACTTTTGTTCGTGGTTTGAATTAGTCCCAGGTCCACATAAGTTTTTGCTGGTCCAGTGGTCTTCCCATATCCGATACAGTTAATATTCTTACATGCCAGCAAAGGATTTAGTTTCTTCTCCTGACTAGATGAAAATCTTGAGAGGACTTTATTTGCTAAAGGAAATTAAAAGAGGCAAAAAGAAAGTAAGTTTTCCTCTGGGTGGTAGTTCAGCCAGAGACCTGTGCTGCTGGGAAGATGTATAACCCTCTGTAACTCCAGGTGCTCAGAAACATGTGCAGCTAGTGGACATGGCCAAGTTGGGCATCCTGACATCCTTGCAGGAGGAAAGGGCAGCTCAGGCCCCTACACTGTCATGTAAATGATTTAATCACTCACAAACACAGGTTAGGTTCTTTTCTTTTTCTCTCTAGTAGATATAGAGCTTCGTTATATAAATTTTTTTCTCCCAGTGTGTAATCTCTGTTTCTCAATGACTTCCTACTTGTTTAATAGCTCCAGTTTTCCCCAAATTTCGTTTTTATCATCATCTGGTTTTATTATGTAGTCAACTTTTTCAGGATACTGGAAATGTGTCCCAGCCAGCCCTTCCTTGAGAAGGAACCTTGAAAAAGAGAGAATCAATATTACTTTGTTGGATCAGGCTCTATAAAAGCCACGTTGTCTGAAGCCACTTAGCATAAGGCATGGAGTTGAACATGGGTAAGAGAATCTCAAGAGATCTTCTTTTTTTCTTCTGCCTTGTTTTTCTTTGGGTGTGTGGTATAGGACTTTTAACCACTGATTTCCCAACTCTTCCTGTGTGATGCTAGCTGTCCTCTTTTAGAACAAGGATACTACGGCAGATGAAAGCTTTACTCGTGGCACGTCTTTTTCTAACCCCCAGATATAAGTTATTGAAGAGAAATGTCATCTCTTAAAATCCAACCCCTCTATTGTTTTTAAATGTTGACATATTCTCTGCATAAGACTCAAGTTCCAGGTCCCTGGGAATGTAGCAGAACTGGCGTACAAATGTGTTATTTTAGTATACTATATCAACAGCTCATGATCTTCTACAGAAAGTACCAAGAATTCTAGGCATTCTCACCACTGCGAATGAGTTACTCCTCTTAACTGCATCTCATGGGTAAATCATGACACTTAGGAAAGCACAATTGTGGATGTACTCTCTGCACAGACCAGATAGCATGGTTTTGTTCTGTGGCAACAGAAGAACAAAGGACTCTAGGCATAAGACCAGGGATGTCTCAACTCAAAGCATGGCTCTTGTCACATTGAGGAATAGTTAACACATTCTTGCCAATCATCTCTTTGGACATTTTCTACTCTCAGGATGCCCTTTCTACAAATGCTGCTGATATGGTTTGGCTGTGCCCCTACCCAAATCTCATCTTGAATTGTAGTTCCCATAATTCCCACATGTCATGGGAGGGACGTCATGGGAGGTGATTAGATTATGGGGGCGGTTCCTCCATGCTGTTCTCATGATAGTGAGTTCTCACGAGATCTGATGGTTTTATACGGGGCTTTCCCCGCTTCACTCTGCACTTGTCTCTCCTGCCACCATGTGAAGAAGGGTGTGTTTGCTTCCCCTTCCACCATGATTGTAAGTTTTCTGAGGCCTCCCTAGCCATGTGGAACTGTGAGTCAATTAAACCTCTTTCCTTTATAAATTACCCAGTCTTGGGTATTTTTTCATAGCAGTGTGAGAATGGACTAACACAGCTGCCCACAGATTTTCCCCTGAGGATCACTAAGCTAGTCCATGACCAACAAGAACACTAGAAGCATAAGGATCATCAGAACAAGGCCATCATGGAGAGAAAGGAAGAAAGCCACCAATGAGTATAGGGTTGATGTTACTCTTCCTTTCAGAAAGGACAAAGCCAGACCACTGGGAAAATCATCATGTCTTAAGCCTATTATCTTAGTATCTGTCTTTTAATTACCTCCCTGCCTCCACCAAACCACAATCATAAATATTTGATAATGACCCATCCTCCCCTCAATCTCAGCATCAACATGCCCTTGCCTCTCCCTTGTTCAGTGATCACAGTAGCTGAACATATCCACATCCACCCATCAGCCTAGAAGCTTTTTCTTGCTCAAGCCCACTTCAAAGTTCAGCCAGGCCATCTGTGTCTTAAAGAAGGCCCTTAAATAAACAACCAATGCAGTTTCTGACTACAAAATCCTGACGTTTGCCCCTATTGCATTCCCCATGTGGCACTCAGTGCAAAAGACTGTCTTGCAGCACATGCATGAATTGTTGCCTTCACTTTGCATGATCCTCTAACACAATCTGAAACTACCCTAAACCACACGTGTAATCAATCCCCTTTTTAATATCCATATTAACCAGAACCTGACTGATACCATCCCAATAACTATATTCATTAACCTGCCCAGATTAATTATGAAATCCACTTTATTTGCCACTCCTACTTTCCTTTCTTCCTTTCCTTCCTGGTCATTAGCTACTACCTGGGCCACCTGGGCTATTTCCCTTGTCTAGCAGTAGGTGGCTCAAAACTCTCTCCTCTCTTCCCCCATCCTGCTCTAAGTGTGAGGCTCCTTCTGCTGTTGGAGCGCCTGCTCATACTGACTCTACTTGATCCCTGTCACATTCCTCTGGGCTTGTCAAAGGTCTGCATTGTGTCCCTGAGTAGCTGGGGCATGCCATGAAGAGTGAGCCCAGCCCAGCCCTAATCATGACAACCCAGCCCCTGTGAAAGATGAATAATAACAACTGCTCTAGCCAGTCCCAGAAGAGCCCACTGAGGACGTTTGTTTTGGAATAATGAATATGGAAATTTAGAATCTGTAATAAACTGCAAGCAGTCTTTCAACTCACTCGTGCCGAAAATTCACACTCGCCTTTCCCATAACTTGTCACTTGTGTTTTTTATTGTTCGATATGTAAACAAGGCCGGGAAGGCCTTTGTTCCTTGGTGCCTACTTAGATTTGCCCATTAATCCCAACTCCCCCCTTCTCCGCTTTCCCACCAATGCATGCAGGATTACACAAAGCAAAAGTCATTAATTTTTATCTCTGACTATCTGTAGGGTTTTTAATGTGGCCTGGCTTGCTTATGCACCACCAATTACATGTCATAAGTGCTTGTAGATGCTGGAGCAGTATCATGGGCTGATGAATCACTGCCTCCTCTCCTGATTAGTATGCAAGGGGCCGTGTTCCTCTTGGAGCAGCTGGCATGCCAATGAGGATCTGGCTCCGCCGGTCGAGGCATCTGGACATGAATTCAATATGGATTGCTTTAATTAAATGGCTAAGCGCACAAGACGCTAAGAAACAACTCCATCATTGAGTGAAACTCGAAAATATAGTCGACACAAGCAAGAGGGTGGAAAGGGTAGGAAGATATTTCCTCAACACCGCCCACTGCCTAAAATCCTTGAGATCCCTCCCCCGTGCTCCCCACCATGTGGAGCACCACCACTTGCCAAGAGCGTGATGAATTGTGGAATCCACAATGAAACACCAGAGGTGAATCTGGTTCGCCACCCTTACATTTAGAAATCAAAACAGCAGAGCAAAACCTACTCTTCTTCCCTTTGGAAAGGTTTTGTTTTAACTAGACACTTGCTTGCAAACTACCAATGAGGCTGATTTTGAGAAGGAAGGCAGCAAGGAAAGGAGGGTAAAAAGTCTGAACTGAATGTACCTGTGACCAACAGTCCTAGAGGAAAAGAATGAGTTCATGTAGCTTTGCAAATATAAGGAGGACAGAGAGGTCCTTCGATGTGCTAATTCGCTGAAGAGGAGAAAGGAAGAGCAGCATGGATTTGCACTGCCCACTTGGGATGGGTTTTGCACAGATCAGAAAGATGAAGTATCTGCTTACTTATATTTGCTTTCAACCTATCCCTTGTTAGTCTGTTTCAACAGGAAGCAAATGGAATATTTTCATAAGGAATAGATATTGCAGCAATCACCCTGGTTTTATCCTTCTGAGCACTTATCTTTAATTCTGTTACAAGTCTCCTCTTATGTCCACCACACATCGTATTTGGTTTGCCTGTTTATTTCATCAGGAGACAGGATCATAGAATAGCTGAGAGAGAACTCTGGATACAGGTGAGTCTGAGCTCTCCTTGCAGCTTCGTTAACTTCTAGCTATGTGGTCTTAGGCAAGTTATGGGGCTTCTCTGAATCTCCAATTCCCCATATTTAAAACAGGGATAAGAATTAAACGTGCCTCATTAAAATGTCATGAAGATTGAGTTAATCCACACCAAACCTATAACTCCCGTCTTAGACTCTCAAAAATGATGGCTACTACTAGTGTCTTGTGGAATGCAATCTGGTCAAGCAGTGAGTGATGTTTCATTGACCAAATACAGGGAATACTATTTCCTGATATTGACCAGATTTACCTATCTACAGCAATAGGTATTTAAGGAAGACCTTTAAAATGGATGACTGTGCAACCACCACCTCCCCAGTTTCTACCACTTCTCTGTTCCCCACCGAAGATCTGGTAACATCAGTTGATTATAATACGCACTACAGATGGATCCAAGAATCCAAGACTATTTTCTTTTTAAAACAATTTAAGACCTCATTGTTTAAAAGACCCTGAGTTGCTCTGCCTTTAAAAAATAAAAATAAATAAAAATTAAATTAAATTTAAAAAGCATAGGAAAATGGTCAAATAGGTTCAGTATTCTGGCTGGTGTTCCCCCCGATCCTGAGCTGAAAAGGTTGATGACCAGTAAAGGAAATTAAATGCTTGTGTCTATGTTCACCCTGAGTCTGCACAGTACATTCTCTGGGATTTTATAAATCCATGGAGAATTGAGGCATTCCAGGCCAGCAAGACCATCAAGGTCCTCAGAGTCCCCTGGGGGCAAATGACAGAAACAAAACTGTCTACGGTGCACAAAATTCAGTTAAACCACACATGGGTGAATGTGAGATTGCAGTTGTCATCAATCACAAAGATTCTATTCCAGGGCAACTCAACATATGACACTCCAGCCTGCTGGGTCTAAGCTTCTTGACATAAAGTTGGTATTCTTGAATGATAAGGCAAGATACTTGCTGAATCTTGTCATTGTCTTTCAAATTTTCAGAATGAAGTCCAATTTAGGTTATCCTTGGAGCATCTTTCATTCATCTGCCAGGTGCCACCTTTGTAAGGAAGTATGTTATTAAAAGTGGGCATCATAGGAGAAGGGACCTGAAGACTGTGCTTTCATCCAACCATTGGTCATCCATGTTTTCAATATGGCAGGCCCAGATCTGCTTCTAGGGAAGTTGGGGAGGGAATAGAAGAGGGTTGTTTGGTTAAGGACTGACTCTTTGAAGGGTAGGAGTGGGTTTAGGGAATGAGTCATCATACCTGGTCTCATGGAATACTTGGAATATTGGGCAGCAGTTACTGCAGTTGTGGTAGGTCATGGCAGTAGAAGCCAGCATAGTTAAAATCAGCTCACATGCCATAGATTGCTTCTCCCTGTTCTACGTGCATAAGAGGAATGTAGAGCATACACAGAACTCAAGAACAAGTAAGCCAAAAGGCTTCTCAGAATACTACTCTCCCAGCAAATAAAAACAAAAATAGTTTGATCCTTAAGACCCATGACCATTTGTCTGGGCTTCATTTCTGCCAAATGTTCTGTTTTGTGTTATTTAGACAAAGCCTTTCAAAGAGCCTTTTGAGATACGGTTTCCTCAGGACTGAGAGTTATCTTATCCCCAGGAATGTTTATGTCCTATTCTTTAGAACCACAAATATGTGTGGAGAGCTATCTAAGATGTCATAATATGGACTTTGATGCGTTTGGCAAAGAAATCGATGGCATCGCCTCCAAGGTATGTTGATGTTGGGAGTTTCAATATTTAAATAAATACACTGGAGACCCAAATAGGGGCTATAGCTTCAGGTTTTGTTAAGAACTTTTCTGAGATATTATTCACTTACCGTAAAATTCATCCATTTGAAGTATAGGATTCAAGAGTGTTTAGTATATTCACAGGTTTGTGCAACCATCACCCTAATCTAAGTTGAGAATATTTTCATCACCCCAAAATAAAAACCACATCCCCATTATCAGTTACACCCTATACTTCCCTCCCCCCTCAACCCTTGGCAACCACTAGACTACTTTCTGTCTCTATAGGTTTGCCTATTCTTGGCATTGCAAATAAATAGACTCATACGATATGTGGTCCTTTGTGTCTGGCTTCTTTCACTTAGGATCGTGTTTTTAAGGTTCGTCCTCTTTGTGGTATGTGTCAGAACTACATTCCTTTACAACTTCAGTTTTAAAACTCATGAGCACCCACTGCATTGCACTGAGAACTGGAAAGTCGGCTCAGAATGGATTTCTGAACTTACTGCTGTTGAACATTAGCCCGTTATTGGACTTTAGGCTTTTCGTATGTGGTTCAGTGTCTTCTGGTCTGTCCTTTAGCTGCCTTCCAGATTTCCAAATTCTTAAATGGCCGTTGCATATGATATATTATTCTTTATGATTTATCTGTGTTAGGAAATACAAAGTAGCATTGAATAAATGATAAAGTATTTTGTCAATACTGCAGACCCTGAGACCATGGGCATGCCGCTCAGCCTCTGAGCTTCTATCTCTCCATCTGTAGAAGGACCATCCCTTTCCTGGGCTTCAAACCTCCATGATACTTCCATGACTTGGCAATCAAATGCCACCTTCTTAGTGTAATCACATGAGGCTCTCACGATATAGCCTCAGCTGACCTCCTCAGTATACTCTCCCCTGTGTGTGTGTGTGTGTGTGTGTTTGTGTGTGTGTGTGTGTGTGTGTGTTTGTGTGTGTGTATTATTAGACCAAACTCCATAATTCTGGGACACATGCATTTCTGTATATGCTGCTCCTTCTAATTGGCATGCCCTTCTGCCTTTCCCTTCTAGGAAAATTACTTCTCATTTGATATTGCTTTGATATTGCTGGATTTTTTTTTCCTAACGGTATCATTCTTGGAGGTGAAAAGGCTTAGCCCATGTTTTAATTGGCATGGATAAATTAGCAGTGGTATGTTTTCTGTTGTAGGCTTGTTGGATTGATCTTTGAATGTTGTAGACATGACTATCATTCACCAATACCCATTCTCCTCTACTTCTGGACACTTTGAAGAGCTACTTCGCACCTACCTTGAAGCAAGGCATGGCCATATGATATGAAATAAGAATGGATATGATCCATGTCATTGGACTGGCCACCTCCCCTGTGGAAAGCTTCTCTAAATTCCCCAGGCAGAGTCACCAGACTCACCCCAGATCCTAGGGCACTTAGATTCATTAGAGCCATTCTCTTATTGTGCCATAGCTATTTACCCACACATCTGTCTTAGCACTGCCCACACCATTTTTAGGCAATCTTAATACAGAGCACCTCTAAGCACCCAGAACCTAACCACATGCCTGGGCCATAGTAGAGCCCCATAAATATTAGTTAAACTTATAAATGAATTATTTTGAGGGAACTGACCTCACATTAACCATCCACCTCTCCCCATCCTCATGGCACCATCCTGGACTGAGCTACCATATTGCCTCTTGCCTGGACTACTCCAGGGCCCCCTGTGTTCTTTCTTCTGTCCTATCATCCATTCTCTACTTCGCAGCCAGAGAGGTTGTGAAAGAGTCAGATGAGCTCTAACATACACAAAAGAGATTTGTAAATTCCAAAAGCGCTATACAAAAATATAAGGTTTTTTATTATTTAATTTTATGCCTGTCCAATCTTGATTTTTAGAATAAAAGTGATCAAGAAAAGAGCAAATGTTGATCCCCTTGAGATAATTGGAAGCACTCTGGGCTGTCACAAAACCGAGGCTGAGAACTTCAGGAGGCACGATTATTCTCTCAGGTCTGTGCTCCACACCCAGGGCCTAGAAATTCTAACTTGACCCTTCCAGTCCTAATGGATATCTTCTCCAGAAGTTCTATAACTCCTGCCAGAGGACCTGAAATCACAGAGTTCAGGTGAAGCCTCACTAATTTGTACAGTTTCTGAAGCCTAATACTCCCTTGACCAAAGGCCTCTCCTTCTGTGTGTCATGTTGCAAGTAGTGGCTGGTGCCACACCCATTCTCAAATCCCCAGGACAGCTTTCTTAACCCACTTTCATCATTGCATTCTCTTCTTGTTCTCCATCATGTAATGAGAAAGCTCATAGGGCCACTTTACTTACTTAGTTTGCTTTGTGAAAACTACCATATCACTTCCTCTCTTGATGATCTTCCCACAAAAATGAATACCTTACTTCAAGGGAGCTGGGCAGTACAGCCCTTCATGTGTCTAGAAGTAGAGGAGAATGGGTATTGGTTAACTGTAGTCAAGTCTACCACACTCAAAGATCAATCCAATGAGCCTACAGCAGAAAACATACCACTGCTAATTTACTCAGGATGATTGAAACATGAGCCAAGCCTCTTCACCTCCAAGAATGACACTGTTAGGAAAAAAAACAATCCAGCAATATCACAGACAAATCCCAGGTGAATTTCAGCAAGCCTCCTATCTGACTCAGTTGCAACTGTGAATATGAGTCCATTCCTCTCCATGTGGTCCACTAGGTCCAGTCTGGCTACACTTGGCTACATGCCCAGCTCAAAGGCTCTTGTCAGCTACTCTAGTTCCTTTTCCCTCATGTGATAGATAATCCCATGGCCTCTACCATACACTCGGGCCCAAGGTAAAGGCCTCTGCCAGGAGGTGTTATCACAGTAAGCAGTCATGGCTCCCATGGAAGGTTTCTTTGATGCTTGAAGAGCCCTTCTGGCTCCTAAACAGATATTTTATTCACTTGCCAATCCTCTTAAGCCCAGATGGGTTGATCACTTTTGTTTTCATCCTTTATGAGATGAAGGAGACCATCTGGGAACATTGCCTAGCTACCCACTGCTCTACCCAGAATGTCTGTTTGCTCTCTCAGAGTCTTCACTGGTCTTAGAGGCTGGAAGTGATCCTCCTTCTCCTCCTCCCTTTTCCTGACTTTCTAGCTTCCTAGATCGTCAGCCCCTTCCTATCTGCTGTTCCTCTTTTACCCAAAGACATGTACAGTCTCTTTTAACCCGGCAAATTCTGCAGTCGACTTTGCCATTTACTCAAATTATTAACCTGCATCTCTTCTTTCATATCTTGGTCCAACTTCTCTAGCAAGTGGTCCATACTTATTACTTCCATTTCTTTATTTTCCTTCGATTCCTTTATCTTCCACACTCTTGTTCTTCTGAATGATAGCACCAGACACTGCTTACCTCCCTTGTTCCCTCACTTCTTGAAAATCCACTTTTCCCTTGGCTTCAGGAATCCCATACTTTCTTGGTTTTCCTCCCACTTATCAGACCATCCTTCCTGCCAACTGCTTTGGAATGTAACAGGCTGTCCTAGCTGGATGGTTATTCTTGCCATCCCTCAAACAGTCATGCTGCCTCTTTCCTTTGCACCTTTTCCTGTACTGTTTCCCCTACCAAGGATGCCTTCTTAACTCTGCTGGGTCTGTCCAGGTCCCACCAGGCCCTCCTGAAAGGCCATCCTTTCCATTATCCTTTCATGATTCCCCACCCCCAGCCATGATGATCGCTCTCCTTCCCAACCTAGAGCAACTCTTGTTCTTGGCAAACTCTTTTGGTAAAAGGCCAGAGAGTAAATATTTTAAACAGGCCACAGGGTCTCCGCTGCAGCTCTTCATCCCCAACGTTGTAAGGAAAAAGCATCCATAGACAATATGTAAACAATGTGTCTTTGAACACATTGAAACTGTATTCCAATAGGACTTAATTACACAAAACAAGTGGCAGACTAGTTTGGGCCTATCCAGGCTGCAGTTTGCTGACCGTCAGCTAGACCATTTTATTTTCCAACTAAATTATAAACTCCTTGAAAGTAGAAACTCTTTTTTATACTTCTTAGCACTTTGAAATGCACTTGAAGAGATTTTATACACATTAGTGGGCGTTCAGTAAATAGGGAATGGTCAAATGTGGAGACAGACCTTATAATGGTCTATGTCTTTGGATGCTTCCTAGTTAGATCACCCAGCATAGCTCTCACCACACATTTGGAGTTCAGTGTTTTCTGTTTGCTGTGCTCCCTACAAAAACACTTCCCAAGCCAAGGGCTATTGGGGAAGATTGGAAACCGAGAGCAATTCTGCCTACAAGATAAGGGCTATTCCTATGTTTGCTATTCCTGCATTTGTACTGCAACACCCGAAGCTAAACATTCTTCTCTAGGTGTCCTATTCAGATTCAATATCACAGCGTATTTCCATCACCATTCTACCTGATGGGACCATACATCAAGACATCCTGCATAACCTTATTATTCTGTTATGGCACATTTAAATGGGAAAGTTTCTTTAAACCTAGCTGCCTCGCCATTAAACGTGTGAAAAGTATATCATAAGCTGCAAAAAAAAAAAAGCCATGAAGATTCAAATGCGTTCTCTCTTTTCAGTGCTTTCTGGCTGATTTCATCTGCCTCTGGGCTCCCCCACGCCCCCATGCCTTCATTATGCAGACCAGGCTGGTGGACCAGGCAGGTCAGGGGCCCAGCCTTCCTCCCTCTGCTCTCCGAGCTGTGTGTAGGGCTACTGTTGCCAGCTTACTGAGCAAAGTCAGATCGACGGAGGGAAGCAAATGAACTGTGAGGGCTGGGCTTTGATGCCTTTTGGTTGGGAAATCACGAGTTTTATTCTCAGCGTCTACCTCCGGGATTTTTATGTGCTTAACGATTTCATACACTTTGTAGTTATTTTGGTCCTCAGGAGGGAACATGAGTGCAGCTGTCATGGAAAGTTGATAGGCACCAGAAGGTTTCCCTCTTTCTCTCTCAATCTCTCTCTCTCTCTCTGTCTTTTTCTCTACATACAATTTACCATGCTTAGGAAGAGACACCCGCCTACCCTTTGGGGGAGAGGGACAAAGCTGGTGTTTTGTCAGTAGTCAAAATATAAAACAAAAGGAAAGACATCTAGCAGAAGAAGGCAAGTTGAGCTGCAGGCCAGGCCTGCCTCTCTCTGGTGGCCTGCAGCATGTAGAGAAGAAGGTTCTGGAATAAATATGTCCAAGCTGCATCCTATTCTGGACCCTTCCAAAATAGGTGAATAGCCGTTGACCTGTTGTTCGGGAGCTTATCATCTGAAAGTCACGTTTTTGTCTGTTGCTAAAGTTGCAATGGAAACAATGCTGTATGCTGCAACTGGCTGGGTCCAAAGGGAATAATAATAATTCATAAAATGTACATGCCCTGGACTGAGTTATGTCCCTTTATAACTGTTACCTCATTTAAATCTCCCAACAACCTGAGGAGGTCAGGTACTGCTGTGACCCCATTTTTCAGGTCAGAAAACTGGGGCTCAGAGAGGTCACCAGGCTAGCTAGTGACAGCAGGTCTCTAATGCAAAGTTTAGGATCTCGCCTCCTGAGCTATCCTGCTTCCCTGTACTGCTTACATGGACTCCTGAGGAAGCCAGAGCGTATCATAGGACCCTAGAAAATTTTAGAGAGCAATGTTCTATCACGTAAGACTCAGGAGAAATGTGGGGATGAGAGTGGAGGAGGCAATTTATGAGTGTGGTTGGCTTTGCTCTCTGTCCTAGTATTCAGCTCCTTCTGCAGGTCTTAGAGCACTGTGCCTTCCCCCTTTTCTGCCATGACAGGATCTCCTGGGGGTCAGATCCCTCTGTTGGCACCAGACATCTGCAGCATTGGCACAAAGAAGGAACTGAGTCAGTGGCTCATGGTTAGAACTGAGCCCTGTGCTGGTAGGATCTCTGTCGTCAGAAACTATCACAGTCCCAAGCTCATCTTCTGCCATGTGTCCAATTCAAGAGACATTTGCCGGTGTGAAGGCTTCACTTCACTTTATGGTAAAGAGATTTTCAAATAAAGCACAGTCAGCCATAGAGAGGTGGGAAGGGGGCCAAACGAGTGAGGGGTGTGGGGATTTCGGGGCCTCAGACATCCCACAGATGGTTTATAGTACCACTGGGAGCCTTCAATGGGATGACAGAGCCCAGAGACTTCTGGCTGTCTCATGTGTGCCACAGCAGTGCTTGCTAAATAGCAGAAAGAAACCAAGCACAGGTAGATAGGTAGGGCTGTTGGAATAATACCCACTGAAATATCACCACCCTTTCGACATCAGTAGGAGGAAAAATTGTCACTATGTTAAAGGAAACAGGAAACCCGATTTCCAAAGGAAATCTTCCCCACTAGCTCAAATGTGAGATGATGTGGATCTGTAGCTGTCAATGGACTTTTATGTTCGATAAATAAATGCCGTGTAATTTGCCACCCTCGCGGTTATTAGAGTATTTTATTTAAGTGGCATTCGTGCTTGGCTATTGGTTATAGCCACAGCTCATGGGTTGAGTTTTGTTCACTGTTGTGTTTTCTACAGCCAAGGTACAGCAGGTTCATCTGGAATATGTTTTGTTTTGTTTTTTAAATAAGGGGTCATTAGTCTGATGGGCTGATTTGAACGATGAATTCCATGTCAAACAAAACTCATTGTCTACCTTCTGAATCCCAGGCCCTCGACTGAGACACAGAACTGAGGGTCTTTCTTTTCATAGTGATTGCATCCCTGCGGTTCTTCCCTCTTCCAGACCTCCAACCTTTACCTCCTCCTCCTTTTCTCCCTCATTTGTACTGGATGCCAGTCTCTGTCCAGCTCTCTCTGGAGATAAAGACTCGCTTTAGCATACAGCACACTTTCCTTAATGCAACCGAGTTCACTCTCATCATTTTAATAGTGGACCTAAGGTATGTTGCCATGTGAACAAACCATCACGTCGCCATAGCAACCAGCCAGATTGCAGCACACCAGTCTGAGGACTGGACCTTTCTCTCTGTCTCTCTCCTCTCTCTTCTTCTTCGCCTGGGCTCTTTCTTTTGTTAAATTTGCTGAAGTGCTCACAATAGGAAGATTCAGTCTGCTTTTTCAAGCGGGGTTTCGTTTAAACCTATAAATTGTTGTATAAACAGAAAGGCCAGTGTGGCACTAGACTTACTTTCAAAGCCAACTTGATGAGGACTTTGAATGTGGACCCCACCCCCACTCTCTGCCATGCCTTACAGTTTGATCAAAAAGAGATGATCACACGTATTGGTGGCATTTGGACTTAACCAACCCCCCGCCCCTGAGTTTCTTCTTAGCTTCCCCCAGCGGGACTCCATGACTCTCCTGTCTGGGCCTGGTGACCACAGCTAGCCCTCAACAACGCTCGGAAGCCCTTTACAGTTTCTGAGCTCTGTGGGACCCGAATTAGACCCAATTAAAGATGTGGATTCTCCTTCCCTATCCCCTATTGCCAAGTAACCTGTGCTGGTTCCAATTCCAACCACGTGGCGAGAGTGGGGATGTTGAAAGGATAAAATGATAAAGGGACATGTATCTCGTCTGCCTGCCCATATTCATCAACGTTGCTTGGCCTTTGATGCTCCTAACCTTCTCATCTTTGTTCAGGGAAGCATAAAGAATCATTCTTCCAAGCCCTCACATCTTTTCCTATTTGATTCCCTGCTTTCTTGCACATGGCGCATCTATTACCTGCTCCGGTCCTTGTGCGTCCTCTGCCCCCCCCATTCCACACCTCCCCTCCCCTCCCCTCAGCACCTCACCCCCTCCATGGTATTTACTGCTGAGCTGGTCCTGAGAAATGCACCAGTGGGCCAGGCTGCGTGTGGGCCGACCGCAGGCTCAGCTGCAGACAAGTGTGGGGTGGGGTGAATAGCCCTCCACAAGCAAGAAGGGCCAGTTGGGCTTTGTGCATAAAATTACAGCAAACAAGCTTCAAATAGCATAGGACACTTTCATAATTGATTTATGCAGGGGCGCTGAAAAGTTCTATTACCTTTTGTTTAGCTCAGGGGGCCTGACTCTATGCAATCCATTGCTGAAACTAATTACAAGATATAATTAAACTGTGACACAAAGATATTATACCGTTAGTTTACTAATGACACCGCGAAGCTGTACCACCAGCACAGGACAGTGATTACGCTTCATTTATTATTTATCCTTTTGCTAAATGAGACGCTGACATTTTCAAAAATTACTTTGAGGTTTCTTAATTGTCGGCAGCAGGATGGACTAGAAGGAGATCTCCTTCCTCTTAGTTACTTATCCAAACCTCAGAAGCATTATTAGCCAGAAGAAAAAGGAATAAAGAAAAAAAAAAGCAAAAACAGTCACCCAATAGTAATAAGTAAAGCCTAATTGCATCTTTGGACATTTTTGAATTTTTACAAACAGTGCTCTACACTGTATGGGGTTGCTGACCTGGGGTTTAGGTCCAGGGGAGAGAAGCTGTGTCGTGAGATTAAAGGTGACTCTAATTCTGTACCTGGACACGTGCAGGTGGCCCTGGATGTGTGTGGGAAGAGGTCGGGCCGAGAATGGCTGGAAGAAAATTGACCCCATGGTTCCAGCTTTTTCCAGGAGCCCATTTCAGCAGGTAGGGCTCTGATATTATATTATGGTTGGGTTTGGGGTTTTATTTTGTTTTGTTTTGTTTTTGCAACTTTTCACCTTCTCCATTTCCCCGAGCAAAACAACTCACTGGCATTACTGACATGGAAACTTTTGCATGTGAGACACTCAAGTCTACCTGGCAAGGACCAGGACTAATGTGCACTTCTGGTTTGGCATTTGCATTCTTATCCTCTGTAGCTGGGAGGATTCCCTGTAAGGACTCATAACCCAAATGGATGCTTTTGCTTCATTGTAAAGGTTGTCACCCTCCTTTGCCTTAATTGTCAGTATCACTCTGGCTATTGGCAAGAAATGCTCTGGGAAAGATTGGGAATGGGAATTCCCTCTATCCACTTTTAGGACTGGAATTCTCTGGGCCCATTTATTTGCCATCCCTTCATCTCCATGCGTGAACCTGGCTTTATTATCCCTCTCATTTATCACATTCTCCAAACAATGAAAGATTAATTTACTGGCCGCCGTTTGATGAGTATTTGATGCCGCGCATGTGTATGTGCATGAGTGGGTCTCCTTAGGGCTCATCTGGGTCAGGCATCCTTACGAGGTACTGCTGGCCCCCAATGGCCACTAACCTCTCCATAACCCCAGCAGTGATGCAATCACAGCAACCGCTGGTCGGCTTGAGACAGGGTTTAATTTCTTCTGAGTGTAATGGCATCCGGCATCTATAATTATGCTATTTTCTCTCCTGTGCTGATTAAATACGATTTACCCAGAGAGCTACATGATGAATATTTGAGTATAGTGTGTTGAGCCAATAGCTGGTAAAATAGCCACAATAAATAAACTTAGAGTGGGGGAAGGGCCCAGCGATGGCTGTGACTCTGCCGGGTAACATTAGCAGGTGCAAGTGGGAAGAAAGCAAGATTAATACTGAAGCCAGAACAATACCATAACCACCACCACCGCCACCCCCACCCCACCCCCCGGCTTCTGTTTAAAGGGAAAGCGGCCCTGGAACATGGAAGTCTCATCTTGGGAGCTTCCTGAACCTCAGCAGTAGTTATACAACCAGACCTGCCCATCAGTATCATGGTGGGTATTGTTTTCACCACCACCCACCCCCCTCTTAAGAATAATCTTATTCCCTTGTATATAGCTAAGAAATGAAATTCAGTATCACCTCTTCCCATCACCCTAGACCTGCCCATCTCACGTCTCCTGTGTTTATTAAAAAGAGGCCTGGCTAGTCTCCAAGTTCCTCTGTCTGTATCAAAGTTTCTCACAGATTGAGTAAAATGTCTTTACACATCTCACAAAAGGGCCAACAGCATGATACCAAAATCAGCCAGGAAACACTGGCAAGCATTTCCCTCCCCTTAGCTCAAGAAACAAATCAAGAATCTTGAGAAATGACAATTTCTTTCTCCACCATATCCGGATTTTTCTGCAAAATGATGCCTTGTGTGTTTGCATTCACTGGTCAGGAGTGCAGCGTGAATGTGAAGGCCTAAGTATAGCAACCGTTTGGAAGTATAGGTAGGGAGGTGATAAAAATCAAGCATTTTATCGCAAGAATTTGCTGAGGTCACCAAAGTACTAGATCTAGTGGAGTGGGGGATTCCCAACAAGTATAAGACGAGATCCTTTCTTTCAAGGCACATGGAATATTATTTGGTAGAAAAGACCTGTGTACATGAAACCGTTGGAAAAGAATATCAAAGAGTATCTACTAGGTATTAGGTTGAATGGTAGAGATGACTTAAATCATCCGAGGTCAGAGAAGGAACAGTCCATTGTGAGTTGAGAGCAACGGGGAAGGCCCAGCATAGGTGATGACCTGTGGACAGTCAAGAGTGTTGGGGGTGAGGGTGGGGTGGACATAAAGGGGCAGGTCTGGAGGGGCTGCCACTGCAAGAAAGGGAGGCAGCCTGTGCCTGGAAACAAAGCCTCGTGTCCTGTCACCTTTAAATTGTATTGCCAGAGACCCTGCTTTTTCTCTACATTCAGGTTGGTTTTCCTCAATGACCTTCACTGACCTCAGGGTTATACTGCAAGATAGAGATATGCAATGGGGATTTTTCTCCTGCTGTCTTTGCTAGAACACCTGAGGTTTGGGTTAGACTAGAAGCTTCCGGATTTATTTTTCCTGTGGTATCACCTTCTTTGTGATAAAACATCCAACAAAGGAGACACTGTCCTCTGAGAGCCTCTCCCCATGGTCTGGCCAGTGCGGGCCAGCGGTTTCCAACCCCCACTAAGAGGTCAGGGAGGGCTGGTCCAGGCAGGACGAGGAGGCTGATGGGTATGCGTCTTGTGTATCCTTGACTTTCAGGCTGAGCATTGCCTACTTTAGTAGCAACACCTTCTTCCTTGCAACTCCCAGGGGGGCTGAAAATAGAGTTAAAAGCTTCTCTTACACATAACTGAAAACGGGAAGTGAGTGGGCAATGACACCCTTATAGGGAAATATTCTTTGAGTGTATGTTGATGCATACAAAGAAAACACCATCTCCTTAGGCACTTTGCGTTTGCTAGTCATTTTGCTTTCCTTTCCTCTTTTGCTAACCTTGCTTTTTCCTTTCTTCTTTACCGCTGAAGGCTCATATAATAAAACCATTGTATTTCTGTTTGGGTCTGTTTCAATGTCTTTTTTTTTCAATACCTGGTCCCATGGCATGTTTTTGTGCAGCTTTTGTCTGTGTTGTCTTTTTGTTTGGAAATTATGTGAAAGATAAGCCTCCAGAGGAGGATGGCTTTGGATGGTCCAAAGAGATACCGGTATTAATGGAAATCTGGCAAAAGTGAAATTAAACTGAGAATATCAAGAGCGATTTTCCTATCAGCGAGAGGTATAGTAAACTAAAAGGTAGAAACTTTACTATAGAAATTGCTGATATCAGGGCAAGGCTTCAAAACTTTGAAAAGGCAACAACGTGAGTACTTGTGCATTTCCACCACATAGGGGAAGCTGAGGAGGCATTGTATCATTATATGTCACTTGAACTATATTAAATGCTCTTTTTTCTTTTTTTTTTTTTTCTTTTTGAGATGGAGTTTTCACTCTTGTCACCCAGGCTGGAGTGCAGTGGTGCTCACTGCAACTCCCAGGTTCAAGCGCTTCTCCTGCCTCAGCCCCCTGACTAGCTGGGATTGTAGGTGCACCCCACCACATCCAACTAATTTTTGTATTTTTAGTAGAGACAGGGTTTCACTACGTTGGCCAGTCTGGTATCAAACTCCTGACCTTAGGTGATCCGCCTGCCTCAGCCTCCCAAAGTGCTGGAATTACAGGCGTGAGCCATCACGCCCAGCCTGAATTATTTTACATATTCTGTATTCAAATCACAAATTATCTAATGAGAATCAAGAGTCAGGAGACAAGACAGTTGCCTCTAACTTATGGGAAAGTGGAAGGTGCTCAGTAAATTCTTTCTCTGTTGAATTGAACAATACCAGGAGGAAGAAAAGTTGTTGGGTCTTTTACCCTTCAATCTGTCAAATATTAAGAAATGTCCTAATGTGGCAAGGGCTATCTGGAAGAATGAGTAAGTGGCCATTTGGTAGGAGGAGCAGCTCAGGGATGTCATTCTTTCTCTGTGAACAGCAACTTTCCTGCCTTGAGAGTTTACCTTTTTCATCCCCTCATTTCATGTCACCTAGATCATAACACACACAGCAGTTGAGAGGAAGGAGCTCCAGAGAATGCCATGTAGGAGCACGGACTACAGAGCCCAGTGGTTGGAGTTTCCATCCCGGCTCTGCCATTTATTAGTCATGTGACTTTGACCCAGTTCTTGAATGTCTCTGGGTCTCTCATTAAAATGAGGATAATAGTTGTACCTACCTATTTTAGGGTTCTGCAGAAAAACAGAACCAATAGGAAAGGTACAGGCAGAAAAGGAGAATTATCGTAAGGAACTGGTTCACAAGGAGTGAGTATAGAGGCTGGGAAGTCCAAAATTTGCAGGGTTGGCCAGCAGGCTCAAGACTCAGGAGTGCTGATAGTGCAGACGAAGTCCAAAGACAACCTGCTAAAAAATTTCCTCTTGCTCAGGGAGGCCTATCTTTCTATTCTATTCAGGCCTTCCACTGATTAGATGAGACCCACCTCTTAAAGAGGACAACTGCTTACTCAAAGCTCACCAGATTTTTTTTCTTTTGAGACAGGGTCTCTCTCTGTTGCCCAGGCTGGAGTGCAGTGGTATAATCTTGGCTCACTGCAACCTCCACCTCCTGAGCTCAAGCCATCCTCCCACCTCAGCCTCTCAAGGAGCTGGGACTACAGGTGTGTGCCACCATGACCAGCTAATTTTTGTAGAAATGGGGTTTCCCCACGTTACCCAAGCTGGTCTCGAACTCCTGAGTTCAAGAGATCCACCGGCCACAGCCTCCCAAAGTGTTGGGATTACAGGTGTGAGCTACCGTGGCTGACTGAAGTTTACCAATTTACATGTTAATCTCATCCAAAACCACTCTCCAAGCTGACACATAAAATTAAGCATCATACTACCTCCTAGGTCTGCTGTGTTTGCCTGACACATAGTGTGGGCTGTGTACATGTTTGTGCCATTTTTATGACTGGGAAAATGACAGTGATGATGAGGATTCCTAGTTCTATTGTTACTAATACCGCTATGGAGTCTGAAGTGCCAGGTTTTAAAACCCAGGTGTATCGCTCATTAGCTGTGTGACCTTGAGCAAGATCTTCAACCTCCTCGAGTCTACATTTTCTCATCTATGAAATAGGGACAATAAGAGAGACATCCCTTAGGGTGTTATGGTAAATAAGTTGTATAGGTGCAGCATTCCAAACTGTGTTTTTTGACACGTAGTACATACTATACGAGCGTTTACAGCTGTGGTTGTGATGATGATGACTATTACTCTTTTAGCATTACTACAGAATCTGGCTGTATTCGTCTGTTCTCATACTGCTATAAAGAACTACCCAAGACTAAGTAATTTATAAGGAAAAAAAGGTTTAATTGACTCATAGTTCCACAGGCTACACAGGAAGCATGGTTAGGAGGCCTCAGGAAACTTACAGTCATGGTGGAAGGTGAAGGGAAAGCAAGCATGTCTTAATATGGCGGAGCAGGAGAGAGAGCGAGAAAAGGGGGAGGTGCCACACACTTTTAAACCATCAGATCTCGGGACAACTCGCTATCATGAGAACAGCAAGGGGGAAATCTGCCCCCATGATCCAGTCACCTCCCACCAGGCCCGTCCCCTGACACATGGGGATGACAATTCAACATGAGGTTTGGGTTTGGACACAGAGCCAAACCATATCACTGACCCATTTTTGGCCTTGGACAAGATTCTTGACCTACCCAAAACTTATCTGTAAAATGAGGATAGAGGCATAGCATTTTGAACTCTGATGCATAGTACGCATTATACAAATGTTTGCAACTACAGTTATGATGATTACTATTACTATTATTGGCATTGCTGTAGAATCTGATACATTAACTAGCTGTTGACCTTGAGCATGCCCCTAAACTTCCCTGAGCCTGTATTTCCTCATCTGGAAAACGAGGCAAATGTAGAGTTGTGCCTTTCTTGCAAGGTGGCTATGAGGAACAAGTTGGACAGAGCGTGTGAAGCATTTGGCACCATTCCTGGTCCATGGCCCACTGAAAGCCCTCAATGAATGTTGACCCCTCTGCATTTGCTCATGCATTGAGCAATAGGCACCAGGAATGTATGAGTAGCATCGCTGCTCTCTCATTTTCCCAGCCCACTGTCCTCTCGGCAACAACCTTGACACACTATCATTAAGTCAGTGATCGGGACTGGATGACTTCCCAAGTTAGCCACTCTATTTTTGGACAACTCTAAGATTTAGAAGAGTTTTTTTTTTTCTTTGTGTTTGGAAGTTATGTGAAAGAAGATAAGTGATCAGTTCTCATCAGTGATTAGTGCCAGCTCTGTGGTCTGGGCCCATGCACAGCACATATGTCCCTCTCCTTATGACAGCCCTCCAAATATTTAAAGATAGCTCTCACACCTCTCCTAAGTGTTCTTGTCGTCAGACTAAACATCCCAACCTCCTTCATCCTTTTGTCACGTGACACAATTTCAAGCTCCTTACTACTTCCTTCATCCTTTTGTCACGTGTCACAATTTCAAGCTCCTTATTTTGGTTGCTGTCATCTGGACCTACTCCAGGTTTTCAACAGCCCCCTTAAAATACGTCACACACCACTGCATTCAGCAGTCCAGATAAGTGCCCCACAGAGGACTGCTGCATGCGTCATCCTGGTGCAAAATTTTGTTAAGGTGTCCTAAGTTTAGATCACTCTTTCAGCAACCTCATCAGTTCTCTTCTGTTTGATTTTGAGCTTCCATTGACTCACACCCTTTTTACATAAATGGGTCATAAGCAAAAGCATCTTACTCCTGCCTTTGACAATTGATGCTTTGAACCTATATGTAAATGTTGCACGGTCCAATTATATTTCGTCTTGTTAAGTTTGGCCTATGTTTCAAATCACTGAGGTGTTTTGGAAAAAAATTATATTTGATCAGAAAATTAATTCATGCTTATCGTATTTCAGAAATATAGAAAAGTTCAAAGAAGAGAACAAACATTTTTATCTACGAATCAAGAGATAACCATTGTTGGCCTTTTGGTGACTTCTTTTTTTTTTTTTTTTTTTTTTTGAGATGGAGTATGTCTCTGTCGCCCAGGCTGGAGTGCTGTGGCATAATCTCAGCTCACTGCAACCTCTGTCTCACAGGTTTAAATGATTCTCGTGCCTCAGCTTCCCCAGCAGCTGGGATTACAAGCGTCTGCCACCTGGCTAATTTTTGTATTTTTAGTAGAGACAAGGTTTCACCATGTTGGCCAGGCTGGTCTCGAACTTCTGACCTCAGGTGATCTGCCTGCCTCGGCCTCCCAAGGTGCTGGGATTACAGGTGTGAGCCACTGCATCCATCCATTTTGGTTACTTATTAACAGTCCTCTGTCTTGGGGTGTTTGTTTGTGTATTTTTGTTTTTTGTTTTTTTTTGTGGAGGGAGACGAAGTCTCTCTCTTGTCCCCCAGTCTGGATTGCAGTGGTGCGATCTTGGCTCTCTGCAACCTCTGCCTCCCAGGTTCAAACAATTCTCTTGCCTCAGCCTCCCAAGTAGCTGGGATTACAGGCGCCTGCCACCATGCCCGGCTAATTTTTGTATTTTTAGTAAAGACAGGGTCTCACCATGTTGGCCTGGCTGGACTCAAACTCCAGACCTCAGGTGATCCGCCTGCCTCGGCCTCGCAAGGTGCTGGGATTACAGGCGTGAGCCACTGCACCTGGCTGGGGTGTTTGTGTTTATGACATGTGTGTGATGCATTTGTTGTTACAAAATTGGGATTGCATGTATACACAGCTTTGATTCTTTTTTTTTTCATTTAATATTACAGGGTGAGCCTATATCAAGTTATAATTGAAAACATGACTGCAAAGTACATCCTGTGGACATATGATAATCAATAATTTTTAACGATTCTTTTATTGTTAGAAATGAGGATTATTTCCAGAATTTTGCTGTTATAAATAATGCTTCATTGAGCACCTTGGTGTATATCAGTTTCTGAGCCTCAGTACTATTGACATTTTGGACTGGATAATTCGTTGTTGTGAGGATGGTCCTATGTACTATAGCATATTTTGCCTCTACCTATTAGATGTCAGCAGCACTGCTGCCACCCCAGTTGTGACAACAAAAAAATGTCTCTGGACATTACTAAATTTCCCTGGGGGTAAAATTGCCCCCATGGAGAGCTACTGGTCTTTGTCTCTTCAGTTGCATATGCAGGAAAGGAGAGAGCAAGAGCAGTGACCCCGAGTGCAGACAGCAAAGGAATGCATTGTCAGTGGAGAGTTTTACAACAATCATAAACCAGCTAAAAATTGGTCACTTTTTCTTATCATCCTGTGCTAATAATGTCAATAATAAAACTAGCTTTCCTGCCAGGGTGGAATGCTCCCATTTCACCACCACCACCACCACCACCTCAGATGGTTTTGCCATTGTCTCTGTTAGAAAGAGTCCCAAAGCAGACCGGGTGCAGTGGCTCACACCTGTAATCCCAGCACTTTGGGAGTCCAAGGCGGGCAGATCACAAGGTCAGGTGTTCGAGACCAGTGTGGCCAATATGGTGAAACCCTGTCTCTACTAAAAATACAAAAATGAGCCAGGCGTGGTGGTGGGCACCTGTAATCCCAGCTACTCAGGAGGCTGAGGCAGGAGAATCGCTTGAACCTGGGAGGTGGAGGTTGCAGTGAGCGGAGATTGCTCCATTGCACTCCATCCTGGGTTACAGAGTGAGACTCCATCTCAAAAAAAAAAAAAAAAAAAAGGCAAGAAAAAACGAGTCCCAAAGCATGTTTATGCCTCCTAAAGTTTTACAGAATTTTAACTAAACTGCTATTTTTGTCCTCACAGGTCTCAGACTACTTGAGGATACTGAGGCTATACTCAGAATTATCTTGTTCCTCTGTTAAGCATTATTGTCCTGCTGGATCAAATTCAAAGGGCTTAACTCTCTCTTCTCTAAGTTCCTGAGAGTACATGCCTGAGGCTCTGAGACCCTGCCCCAGTTTGTCAAAACATGTTCCCATTATAATACTCCTCTGCTTAAAAGTAACTTTCAGTATCTTCCTTTACTGCTAATCAAGGGCAAACCCCACTCTCATCTGTCGCTTCCCACATCATCAAATTTCATTTCCCACAACCCCCTCATGGGTTCCTTCCACTGCTGTGGACTAGTTTCCTTGCAGGAGTGCACATTAAACTCCATAAAGAAATTGTGGTTCATATACAGCATGGGATACAACACAGCCATAAAAAAGAATGAGATTATGGCCTTTGCAGGAACATCAATGGAGCTAGAGGCCATCATCCTTAGAAAACTAACACAGAAACAGAAAACGAAATATCACATGTTCTCACTTGTAAGTGGGAGCTAAATGATGAGAACACATGGACACAAGGAGGGGAACGAGAGACACTGGGGCTACCTGAGAGTGGAGGGTGGGAGAAGGGAGAGGATCCAAAAAAACAACTATGGGGTACTAGGCTTAGTACTCAGATGACAAAATAGTCCATAAAACAGATCCCCATGACACAAGTTTACCATATAACAAACCTGCACATGTAGCCCTGGACCTAAAATAAAAGATTAAAAAATCATAATAAAAAATAGTAAACTTCATAGCTTCCCATCTGTGTTCCACAATCTTGGAACACCCTTTCTTGTTTTCTATATAAACCCTACCAGGAGGAAGCCTGTCATGGGATCTAACTTCCTCATTGGTAATTCTGCTTCTCCAAATTCTTAGCTTGATTGTGTAGTCCCTATCATATCATGTCATATAATTTTGTACTTAACTTACATATCTATATATTTTTAAGATATATTTTAATATAATATATATAATATGTTTTAGTAACTTAGTCCCATCTCAACAATTAAGAATGTAAACTTCCTGCAGGAAAAAAAAAGTCTAATACTCATATGTCTTCTCAAAAATGGTTCTGAAAACACTCAATAAATTGTTGACGATAAATGCATAAGTTGTTCCATTGTAACACTACTTAATCAAGTTCCTCATTTCCTAGCTTAGCACTACAAAATTCAATGCGAGAATTAAAAAATAGGCTGGGCGTGGTGGCTCACACCTGTAATCTCACCACTTTGGGAGGCCAAGGTGGGTGGATCACCATCTGGTGAACTCCCACCTGGTCAGGAGTTCGAGACCACCCTGGAAAACATGGTGAAACCCCTTCTCTACTAAAATTACAAAAATTAGCCAGGCATGGTGGTGAGTGCCTGTAATCGCAGCTACTAGGGAGACTGAGGCAGGAGGCGGAGGTGGCATTGAGCGGAGAACCCAGGAGGTGGAAGTGGCAGTGAGCAGAGATTGCGCCATTGCACTCCAGCCTGGGTGACAAGAGTGAAACTCTGTCTCAAAAATAAATAAATAAATATATATATATATATATATATATATATATATATATATATATATATATATATATGCATGCATATGGCTCAGATAACTCAATCTAAACTTTTAACTAGGTAGACAGCCAAACCTAAATCTCAAAATATGTGCTAGATTTTTTATTACTTATCTCTCCGACAAGTATTTTCTACAGAAATCAAATGATCGGTAACTCTCTCTAGTTCTAAGTGCCTTTTCCCCCTCTTTGGCTGTTTATATCCTTTAGCCTTCAAACCCAAGCCATCATTTAGCATAGGTTGCAGAAATCACGGGAGCTGGCAAATTTGGGGGTGAGTGCTGGTCCTACAGAATTAAGGAGCTTCCTGAACTTTCTGTTCAGTGTTCCTGTAAAGGCAATTGCTCATCTTCAAGGTACCTGGTGCCCATTTCCAAATGTCATCCCACAGTTCATTTAATCTGAAAATAATGCCGAATACTTCTTGTGCCTTCCCCCAATTTTTCAAACTCTGAACTTTAGGAAATTATCATCACCTCGTGGGTATAAAATTTTAAGGAAAATTTCAACTGTGAATTTTAACAACCCAGGATAGTAAGAAACCAAACAGATATAAGAGAAGGAAAGTTGGCCAAGGGTGAGAAGGGAAGAAAAGAAAGATCTCCTCGCTGGGTTCCTCTTGAGAATGAGCCTATTTCTCTTGTTTCTCCAGCTGTGGTACCTACCTGTGTACACCAGAACAAAATGAAGTTAACCTTGACTTGGCTACTGGCGTGACTGTTTTGAAGGACTATCCTAGAATATGTTTTTGCAGAAAGAAGCAGTTTTTCCCGTTTCAGAGAAACAAGAGAGTTCTTTTAAGTCCAGCCTCCAAAAGCTCCTTGGCCAACAACCTTCAGTGCTCACTATCCTCATGGGGTCAGCCCAGATTGATTTAGTGATTAACTCCAACATTTTTCTGGCTTCTCCACTGTACCAGCACATTTCAGTTTTCTAAATATAGGTCAGCCCAGGCAATTAGGAGAGAACTTCTGTTTTTCAAAGGTATTCAGCAGGCAGGAAGCCCAGTTTACAAATGAGTGATCATGTGTACGATGGTTGGCCTCAGATGACTTGATGGACAGGGGCTGCTATCTCCTCAGCTACTGTATTTAAACATGTTGGGATGTATGAAAAGCTTCTGCACTTCTTACTCCAAAGATCATCTTAACCATAAGAGACTTTATCATCCAAAAAGGCATTTGTCAGTGATCTTATCACCTCCATTTTATGTTGTCAGTTTTGTGGTCTTGCTGTTCTTGTTGTGTAGGAAATGAACTGGTCCCACTTACCAGCCCACCATTGGTAACTTGATCAGTGAAGGTTTTCATTTAGCCTTCACCTAACTCTATACCCTTCTCTCAGTAATGTCTAAGCTGGGAAATTGATCACACTGCCCCAGGAGGCTAGAAATGATAACGTAGCATTGGCTGTGGGTAGAACATTGGCCACCGCATGAAGCCAACATTCTGCATAAACCATCTGATTCCCTGTGGGAGGGTCTAGCAGCCTGTCACTGCTGGGCCCAGAGGTAAATTGGCCTTGATCTTACACTCACAGAGAACCTCAAATATGGATTCTTGTCATCATCTCCAAGTGAGATGGCATATTCCATTTGGAGGCATGAAAAATATTCATGCGGGCCAGATGCAGTGGCTCACGCCTCCAATCCCAGCACTTTCGGAGGCCAAGGCAGGTGGATCATTTGAGGTCAGAAGTTTGAGACCAGCCTGGCCAACATGGTGAAACCATATCTCTACCAAAAAAAATACAAAAATCAGCTGAGTGTGGTGGCGGGCACCTGTAATCCCAGGTACATGGGAGGCTGAGGCAGGAGAATTGCTTGAACCTGGGAGCTGGATGTTACAGTGAGCCGAGATGGCACCACTGCACTCCAGCCTAGGCGACACAGCAAGACTCTGTCTCAAAACAAACAAAAAACAAGTATTCATGTGTTAAATGCAGATATTCAAATCACCACAATTTTTAAAACTCTGTTTTGATCTATATTGATTTTTTTAAGATATGAAGAACAAAGAACAAACTATTTGAGAACAGAAACAGACTGGGTTCTCTTGGGTTTGGAGCCACATATACACTCTAGGGCAGGAGAACAGTAGGTACGCAGTAGAACAGTAGGTACGCAGTAGAAACTTGGTAGAACCTAAAACCTCATTCCTTAATGTGTGGTCCACAGGTCGCGTCAGCGTCACCTGAGATTTTGTAAGAAATGCAGACTTGCGGGTTCCACTGAGCCAGAATCCGCATTTGAAGATCCCCAGGTAATTCCTGTCTGTTTCACAGTTGGCAAAACTTTCATTTAAAAGTCTGCCAAAGTTGTAGTCTGTGACTGTGTGGCTCTCCATGCACAGAGAAGCTAGGCCTATGTGCTTTTCCTGCCAGGATGCTGAACTGTACCCTCTCCAAAGAGGAAGTGGCCTATAACATAAAATATTCTACCATCATGAGATGTTAACATATCAAAGCCAGCTTTTCTTTCTTCCTTTCCTGGGCACCTCGCCCACCGTAATGGATATAGCTGGCAAGTTAGAAATGCAGAAACTCCCAGGAACTTGGGGCACTACAAGGAAGCAGAAATTCCTGGGCATCGGTGAGTTTTGGCTTCAGGTCTGCTGATTGGTCTGAAGTTGCAGGGCTGATAACTAGGAAAATGCACACGGCCATGTGAGCGCTCGCTTCTGGATCAGCAAAGACATGTGAGTTAGTGAAATCTGGGAAGCAACTGATTGTTATTCCTAAGCTGCAGGGGTGTCTTTCTTCCTCATCTTTCTGACCATAACATCTCACTTTGGAAGTCATCTCTGGGCTATTTCTGAATCCACCGTCCTCTTTGCATGGACTGATTGCCCGGTATCTTACCAGGGCAATGACCACCTAACTGATGTTTGTGAACAGATTTCTGTTGCTCTCCTTCATAATGATGTATTGACCCAAACTTGGGCTTTCTTCTTATCTGACACCATTACCTAGTAAGAGACCCCTTCCTCCAGGCTCCCCTGGTGAATTGCTTCCGTCCTGAGGACTCTGAAATTGCCCAGCTTACACCCACCTTCCTCCCACCTGGCCACCCCGCCTCATGTTGGCAGCTCATGCCGCTGCTGTGAGGTGAGCTTGGCTCTTTCTCTCCGATCTTGGGCCATTTTTCCTAGGCTGCTTTTTTTTTTAATTTTTTATTTTATTTTATTTGTGGTCTCTGTCATTCTGCTGGGGCAAGGGGGTAAAGAGATCTGACAGTAAGTGCAGGGAAATGCTGAATCTGGAATCTATCTTCCAGACGGCACAAGAATAAAAATTCATAGCAGGACAGCAGCTACTGACATGCTCCCAAAGACATATTGCAGGTAGCATTATTTATTGTGGCAAGGAGTTCATAGAAGTGCTACCTCAAAGCACCCTGAGAGATCCTAAAAAGCCCATCTCCCATCAGGTGAGGCAGATTTATGGAGGCTGCTCTTAGAGAGGTCAGGCGGTGGGCTCAGGAAGCAGGCTCCTTACAGAACGCCTGGATTCCCTTAACATATTTAGTGCAGTTTGATTGGTTCAAAGGAGGGCTTGAGTCTGTAATGTTGGCCATAAAATTGCAGTGACATGCTGCTTTAGATAAGAGGGCTGGAGGAAGGGGGCAGGGATGCTGTGGGCACTAGAGCAGCCAACACAGGCGAGACGGGAGCATGCGCTCATATTTTAGGCTAATGTGCGGGGAGAGAGTGGGGGATGGGACCGGGCAGATTAATACTTGCACAAAGGAAAGCTGAATCCACCAGCCTGGACACAGCAGACAACCCTGCCTCTCTGCGCATAAGATCACGTGCACACAAACACACAGAGGCACGCGGGGACCTCAAGGTGCGTATGTCTCCACCCAGATAGAAACAGCATGGCAAAGCCCCGCCAGCCAGTTTGACCTCACTATTGTTCCAAAGTCACCCAGAGGAAGGGCTCTTTTCCCATGACCCCTGTGAACTTCATCAGGGGTCTCCCAGCTCTTCATCTGCCCTATTTACATGACATCATTTCTCATGCTGCTGGCTAACCAGCCTTGGAGGCACAAATTCCGACTCACACCCTGAACCTGGACACAGACCAGAAATGAGGCTCTTCTGCAAGCTCCGTGAGGCTGAGACTGGTGGGAGGCTGCCAGAGAAGGGCACTGAATTCCTCTCTTCCAGAATCAGTGACATCTATGCAGGACCAAGGGTAGAGCAGGTAACCTGAGGATACACAACACAGAGAGATGACTTTCCTACATTTCTTTTTTTTTTTTTTTTTTTTTTTTTTTCCACCTAGGGTTTTTGAACCTCCATCAGATTGGGTGAGCATCACTTAGTGATTCAGAGCCAATGTCTTCCAAATCAGTTTCTTAATCCTGGTCGGTTTCCACTGATCCTGTTTCGAGGGTGCCACATTTGTAGTCCAAATCGGTGGCCTCCTGTTGGTGGCTTGGTTAAGAGACTTAATTGCTGTCGACTTTCCACATCCAGGTTAGAGAGATGGAGTATATAAGGGAATGAGATGGCCATCTAAATAATTGAGGTGATTATCTTTTTCTGAATTATTCAGCTAGGACCTAAATTGTCCTATAAATTCATAGGAAGGTAGGTTTTTGGTTTGACTTATACAGATAATAGCTTTAATTCTTCACTCAAACCCAGAGATCCAGTTATAAAGTGACTTTTTCTCTTTTTGTTGAGACTGACATCATTGAGGCCGTTGGCTCCATCTGTTTTTAAATGAGTCTCCAACCAGGTGTCTTATTTGTGTGAGGTGTTTGGAATGTCCATGTCAATTGTAAGATCAGCCTCCGGAATGTGAATCATAGGAAGTAGGAGCATGAGAATTTTTATACATTGAAATGAGCCTTCTCTCATTATATTCTCATCAAAGTGGAGAAGCTGTTAACATTTTTCCATTGCTCGGCCCAACATAATGGCTCATACCTGTAATTCCAACTCTTTGGGAGGCTGAGATGGGAGAATTGCTTGGAGCTAGGAGTTCAAGACCAGCCTGGGCAACACAGCAAGACCCCATCCCTAATAAAATTTAAAACTTCACCAGGCATGGTGGTGTGTGCCTGTAGTCCTAGCTACTAGGGAGGCCGAGGTGGGAGGATCACTTGAGCCCAGGAGTTTAAGGCGACAGTGCACTATGATCACATCACTGTACTCCAGGCTGGGCAACAGAGCAAGATCCTGTCTCAAAAAAAAAAAAAGTCTCCATTGCTCTTTGCTGTTTCAGAATCCTGCCCATTTAGAGAGTCCCCTAATCATTTGCATACTCTGTTGATCTCTCCCATCCATGATTTTAAAAATGTAAACACCTGCCACAGTTTAATGCCACCTGCTCAAAGCAAATAGTCCAAGGCATTGCTGTTTTTCTATTTTGCCCTCAGTTCTAGCCTCCCTGCAAGCTCTGTCCTGAGGGATGTGGCCACTGACTTCTCCACAGCAAGGAGGATGCTCAGAGCCTCTGAATGCCACTGCTCAGATGGTCATCGTCACCCACCGGCCTTGACAGTCATTCCTCCAAGTACCACTGTTGACTCCCTGAGGTCCCACGCTTGACCTCATTAATACAAAAGGGGAGAAAGCTAAGTGAATGTTTTCACAGCCTCCTTTTTCTCCAGGCCAACTGGAGGTTATCAAGGCCAGAGGCTGCTCTCTAGTTCATAAACCTGTTAGGGTATTCGGAGTCATGATTCTCTTATTCAACTGTCTGTGCTTTTCCTTGGGACAACTAATCCCTCAGCGTGACTGGTGGAAGCCGCAGTATTGATTTCTGTGTCTCTCTAAACCTCAGTTGTGTTCAACGCTTGTTAGACATCTGAAGGAATATCCAGTGGGCTCTGGGGGCAATTTGAGAGCCAGTCTCAATAGGCTGCTCTTGAGAGAAGTTTCTGTAAGGTTGCTGGGCAAGCCAATTGAATGGATTTTTAAATGAGAGGGAGAGAGAGAGGAGAAAGGGAGGGGGAAGGAGGGGATGAGAGAGAAGAGAAAGAGAAGGGAGGAAGGGAAAAAGATACAAAGGAAAGAGAGAACCAAGACAGAGGAAAAATAGAAAGGGCATAGAAAGGGGGAAAAGAAAGAGAAAGGGAGCTTTCTTCTGCTAAGACAGATCTTGAAGGATTTCCATCTTCTGCTCCTTTTGTCTTCTGTCTCCCTTTGTTAATAAAAGGGGATTTTTTTTTTATTTTCCTGGTCAACACTACCTGGAATGAGAAGAGGGTGTCCCCGTGTGTGGCTGGTGCACAGGTTGGGGCGCACCTGCGTGGGTTTGTGGCTTGCATGGACTCTGTCGGGCCTTGTGGTTGCCGCAGCACCCACAGCCCTTGTCCAGGTTTCATCTCCGCTTCTTTGCAGAGGTAGGGGCTTGAGGATGCTCTTGCCGGATCAGATTGAAGCCGTAAGAAAGGCTTATGCACACTGCAAGATTCTCTTTAGTGTTAAGAGAATCTTAAATGAGTGCTTGTCACAAAAAAAAAAAAAAAGCTGGAATCAAGTTTCTTTTCCAAATATAATCATGAGGTGAAAGACTGGCTCATTGCATTAAGCCATGAGGGACTTGGCAATGATCTTTCTCTCTTTCTTGGTATCGGGACCTTGTTGAGGTGCCCACATTGCAAGGCCTCTAGGACTGTCTAGGCCAGTGGTTCTCAACTGGGGCTAATTTTGTATCCCCCTAACCCTGTCCAGAGGACATTTGGCAGTATCTGGAGATGTTTTTGATTGGCACGACTGATGGAGGTTCCAGTAGGCATCTGGAGGGTAGAGGCCAGGGTTGCTGCTAGAAATCCTACAATGCACAAGACAGCCCCTACAGTAAAAAATCATCCTGTCTGAAATGTCAGTAGATCCAAGATTGAGTGACCCTGATGTAAGCTCTGAAGAAGTTTGACTTCCCATTTTTTTCTGTCCTATTTGCTCCACACTTTTACCTCTAATCCTTCCTTCTTCCGCCAGAAACATGATAGTCACCTCTAGGAGGTTTCTTTAAAAATAAGAGAATAAAAAGGAAAGACAAAGGATGTCCTTATGTCCAGGCCACAACTGCCCAAGTCCTCCTAAACCAACCTCTGTAGGGATGGCCCCAAGAATTTCTATTTTGAAGTTATCCAAAGGACTCTGATACACAACCAGATTTGAGACTTCTGGAAAAAGATAGCTGGTCCCTTCAAGATGCCATCGAGTGTCCAGATGCTGAACATGTCCAGATTTCTTTCAGTGAGAAATCTATTTCCTGACTTCTAGAATTGGAGGAGGGTCCACCCATCTGACACAGCCCACAGCAATGCAGGCCGATCTTATCAGCTCTCCAACATCAGTCTCCTTCTCCACCAAAGATCAGAGACTGCTCCAGCATCAATGTGCTGGACACCTCCCAATGTCACAGCTTTCGGAACAGGTAAAGCCTGGACCACTGGTCTGCAAAGTCAAAGAGGACTAGGCTGGGCATGGTGGCTCATGCCTGTAATCCCAACACTTTGGGAGGCCAAGGTGGGCAGATCGCTTGAGGTCAGGAGTTCGAGACCAGCCTGGCCAACATGGCAAAACTCCGTCTCTACTAAAAATACAAAAATTAGCCGGGCATGGTGGCAGGCGCCTGTAATCCCAGCTTCGCGGGAGGCTGAGGCATGAGCATCACCTGAACCTGGGGAGCAGAGGTTGCAATAAGCCAAGATCACACCATTGCATTCCAGCCTGGGTGACAGAGTGAGATTCTGTCCAAAAAAAAAAAAAGTCAAGGAGCACTCTTGGCTGTTAGACTCCCAACATCCCGTATCCTGGCACACACGGCCACCTATGGGCCACACCTGCAGGACATCTTTATGCCTCAGTGTCCTCTAGGTAGAGTCCAGAGGGGCTGCTGAAGTGTTCACATGCTATTTGAAACACATCAAACCTCATCCTTATAATGGCCTCATGGAATCTTTATTTTCTATAATGGGGCATTTCAGGGAGTCCTTTTTTTTTTTTTTTTTTTTAAGAGACAGAGTCTCACTCTGTCACCCAGGCTAGTGTGCAGTGGGGCATTCTAGGTGACCACAGCCTTAAACTCCTGGGCTCAAGCCATCTGGGCTCAAGCCTCAGTCTCCTGAGTAGCTGAGACTACAGGTGCACACCACCATGCCCAGCTGATTAGTTTACTTTTTGTCCTTTGTCTTGCCAAGTAGCCCTTGGAGCACATTTGGGAAGGAACAGTAGCAAAGGAATCACACCAAACTTGTTAACTGAAAAAAGCCAAAGCAATTCATGGTACTATCCATCACAGTCAAAATAAAGTAGAGACTTCAGATGAGAACACAAATCATTCAGATTTGTAAAATGCTTTCTTTCTGCCACAGAAGAAAGAGAGAGATCATGAGACTACCCTAATTGTTTTTGGTAATTGTCATAGGTCTGCTTTGCTGGGCCAGTGGAGAATTGACTTAGAAGCATATAGCATGCTTCTCATTACCTTTTGTTTGCTTCCGTCAAATCCTGCAAACATGGTAGGCCCTATGATTTGCACGATGAAATATGGGGCATTTTGGGTAAATAAACAGGGCCAGTCAGCCTGCCCTTTGCGGGCCCAGGTCTCAGCCTGCTCCTCCTGGGCTGGGGCACGTTCTTGGTTTTCCTCTTCGTCTGCAGCATGGGCTCTTGCCTCTTCCTCATGATCATTACTTTTCCAGAGACTCAGGCCTGCCCCTCATCAAGATTTATATCGCCACATTCATTAGGTGATACAATACTGTCAACAGAATCAGCGGTGGCAGCGATGGCCTCATTATCTCAGTGGTTAACCCCTGCTTCCCCAGTGTTGGGCCCTGTCAGGGATTTTAAATTCAAATTAAATTTTAATGCAGCAGCTTTGATGTTGGAGGTAGAACTGCCTAGTCAGGAGGTGGCTGGGGATAGAGATTCTATTGTTACATTATTTCACCCTCTTATGAACTCCAAGCAAAATGTCCCTGGAAAATGCTTTTTCTCTTCTAGGGGCTGAACAGCAATGTTCGGATGCTATAACTTATTTCAATATCTGGCTGCAATAATAAATTAAGGAATGTTTGTTTCAAATGTATAGATTGTACTAGATTGTCTAAGGACTATTGTAGTAGGGCTCAGATGCTGTATGTGACTCTAGGGGCTGGTAACCGGACCCCAGTCTGTAAAATAATCATCATCATAATTTATATTTAGAGAGAAAATTAGTCAGTTTAGAGACTTTTTGACATTAGAAAGTAAGAACACCCTTTTCTGGAACTTCATCCCCTTGTAGTTCTCCCTGTCTGCACAGATACTGGTGTTGTTTGAGATCTTTAAGAAATACACATAGCTTTTGTTTTCATACATTTACAAACTGAAGTGAAATTGTTCTGACTGTATCCACAGCTCTGCAAAGTAGAGACCTTACCTTACGTCAGGCATCACTATCAGTAACGAAACAAATTTTCACTGTGGTAACTGACATATGGTAGGTATTCCTGGAATGTTAGTTTCTCTTTTGCTTACAGCATCTCCCTTCCCTGCCCCCATGCCTGTCTAAGTGGAGATTCTCAGTAAAAGCCCATCAGTTCGCATTGCTGAGCTCAGCCTCCATCCATTGGCCTCACAGTTAAGAGCATCACAGCTGGCCACTGCACCACTTGGTAAGGCCCAGAAGTCTAAAATATGCTCTGTGAGCTTTCTACCTTATTGCCCTCTACACAATCAACAACAGTCTCTCTTAAAATTGTTGATTAAAGAAGTGAAAAAAAAAAAAAAAACGACGACAACATAAATAGGTTGGGCGCAGTGGCTCACACCTGTAATCCCAGTACTTTGGGAGGCTGAGGTAGGCGGAGCACCTGAGGTCGGGAGTTCGAGACTGGTTTGACCAACATGGAGAAACCCCATCTCTACTAAAAATACAAAATTAGCCGGGCATGGTGGCACATACCTGTAATCCCAGCTACTCGGGAGGCTGAGGCAGGAGAATCGCTTGAACCTGGGAGGGGCGGAGGTTGCAGTGAGCTGAGATCAAGCTCCATATAAAAAAAAAAAAAAAAATTCTGATTTTTGTTGTTGTTGTTGTTAGAGACAGGGTCTTGCTCTCTCACTCAGGCTGGAATACAGTGACTCAATCATAGCTCACTGTAACCTCAAACTCCTAGACTCAAGCACTCCTCCTACCTCAGCCTCCCAGGTCGCTAGTATTATAGGCACATGCCACCATGCCTGGCTAATTGTTATTTATTTATTTTTTTTAGAGACAGGGTCTGGTTATGTTGCCCAGGCTGGTCTCAAATTCCTGGATTCAAGTGACCTTCCCCCCTCAGCCTCCCAAAGCACTGGGATTATAGGTGTCAGTCACCAAGCCTGGACAAAGTCTAATGTGAATTATGTTCTCATTATGTGCCAGGAACTGTGCTAAGTGCTATCTCATTTATTCAGCTGAACAACTCTACAAGATAAGGTTATTATCGCACAGACACTTTCCAGAGAAGAAATGGAGGCTCAGAGAGGTTCTATAACTTGCCCAAGGTCACGTAATAAAAGAACAGATTTGAACCTGGTCTCCCTATCTCCAAAGCTCATCAGCATTCTCCTTACACTCCTTCTTGTTTCTCTTTTAAAATGAGAAGTCCATGAGGTATCAGGGCTACATGTGTCCCGTTTGACTCCTGCATGCTAAAGCAAGCAGGTTGTGGATAGAAGGATTTGGCTTACTTCTACCTTTAATAGTTTATCCTACATTTACCAGGTCTACCTACTCAAGCTGCATTATAAATAAGACTAAAAATAGGGGTTGGATATTTGTTGTAAATATACATGTTTGTAGGGCTCCTACTGTGTCCATGTAAGATAACAGGGTTACCAGCTGTCTGGGGAAGGACAGTGCTTTTCAACACACATGTAGGTTTGTCCTAGAGTCAGTGGCTACAGCACCAGGAACATAAGAGGGCTCTTCATTATTAAACACGTGGGCTTTGAGACCTGGGTTTGCATCTTGGCTCCACCACTTGCGAGCTTGGCAACCTTGGTCAATTACTTAGCCTTTCTTAACCTCAGTTTCCATATCTTAAAAAATGGTTAATCATCATTCCTGCTGGCTCGGCGCAGTGGCTTATGCCTGTAATCCCAGCACTTTGGGAGGCCTAGGCGGGCGGATCACGAGGTCAGGGGATCGAGACCATCCTGGCTAACACGGTGAAACCCTGTCTCTACTAAAAATACAAAAAATTAGCCGGGCAGGGTGGTGGGCGCCTGTAGTCCCAGCTACTAGGGAGGCTGAGGCAGGAGAATGGCATGAACCTGGGAGGCAGAGTTGCAGTGAGCCGAGATAGCGCCACTGAACTCCAGCCTGGGTGACAGAAAGAGACTCCGTCTCAAAAAAAAAAAAAAAAAAATTCCTGCTTCACATGGCAATTATAAAGTAAATGAGAGGATGCTTCTGAAGCCCTTTGAATAGTAGATGGCCCATGATAGGTGCTTTATTGTCACTTTGTTATTGTTTATTCCCATTGTCATTGTCAATATCATTATTAGTAGTATTTGTCTTAGACAAATGAATGCAAAGAATCTACCTGTAACCATGATCAAATACGTAACTGCCTATCTTAGGTAACAGATCAAGGGGGTGAATTCTATTTATACATCTTTCTGAATAAGGGATTGGGGAATAGAGGAGTGAAAAGCAAGAAGGAAGCCATTAACGGAATTGTTGTCTAGTAAATTTGTTGGGCCTTGTAATGTACAAGTCAATCTTAAATATTGCTAAAAGAGAGTAATTTTCTAATTGTATTCACATAGATTATCACCATATTAGGACAGTACTGTCCTTGGATATATTTCCAGAGTGAGGCCTGGAAATGCTGCTGTTTAACATTCATTCCCCACATCAAGGGTATGGAAGGCCCATTAAAGTTCTCCCATCCTTCCTTCATGGAATTTATTTCTGCCATTTTCTTAATTCAGTTGTAACATTGCACTTACCCATTATCATACAAGGTCTTAGCTTGTAGTGATGTTTTTAAATGAGAGAGTTTGGACATTTTTATGCTTTTTCAGTTATGTATCTTAAATGAAATTTCATAAGCAGTTAGCTGTTAATATGAAACAATTGCCTACATTATTTCCAAACAGAATATGCAAAAGTCAGGACACGATGGTTTGAAACACAGACACACACACACACACACACACACACACACACACGGGATTGTAATGAAAGGGCTAGAACTGTGAATTTCCCTGGGGATGATGCATGGACTGTGGCTGAACCATTAGACCCCATCCAGGGAGCCAACAGTGGCTGGGGCACCATTCCTGCTGGTGCCATTGGAACTGGGGCAAGAGACACAGGTGGCTTTTCCACGGTAGGATTGGAGAAAGCTACTTCCTGCAGAGGAGGTGCCTGTTGGGTAAAGCCCAGCCAGAGATGTGGTCTCCCTCTGTCCCCTATTCTTCTTGCTTATGCATCTCTTCCATCCTTACCATCCCTTGTCCCCCCAGTCCCTTGACAAAGTGTGAAAGGGCAGCCACTGCCTTCTCATCCATCCCCTGTCCAGCCCAGGCCCCCACTCCCTTCTTTTTCCTGGTGACCCTCCATCAGGCGCTTCACAGCAGCTTCCCATCTGTGCCATTAACTGAAAATCAAATGGACTTGCTGACATCGTAAACGTTCTTACCCAGTTCTACAAATGGAAACCAGGCAACCCTAAAAATTCTGCAGATTGCGCATGCAAGAGGTTGTCAGTGTTCAGAAAGTGTGCTGAAATGTAGTTGGAGCTTAATTCTCAAAGCCAATGAGAAATGTTTAACAAATGCACAAATGCACAAATTAAACCTTTAAAAAATTCACACCTTACATTCGATACTCTTTCCAAACCAGCAAATGCCCAGCCACTACCAAGTTTCGTTTTCTAACACTAAACAGTGAGGAAACAGGACATTGGAAGAGGGAGAAGCAGAGATTCAAAATCGTCCCCCAACTGGCTCAGTGCTTGAAAAGTCAAGAGTTGGCCATTCAGGAAGAGCGTGGCTGTGGATGTTTGTTTGTTTGTTTCTTTTGAGACGGAGTCCTGCTCTGTCCCCCAGGCTGGAGTGCAGTGGCGCGATCTCAGCTCACTGCAAGCTCCGCCTCCCGGGTTCACGCCATTCTCCTGCCTCAGCCTCCCTAGTAGCTGAGACTACAGGCACCTGCCACCATGCCTGGCTAATTTTTTTTGTATTTTTAGTAAAGACTTGGTTTCACCTTGTTAGCCAGGATGGTCTCGATCTCCTGACCTCGTGATCCGCCCGTCTCGGCCTCCGAAAGTGCTGGGATTACAGGCGTGAGTCACCGCGCCCAGCCGTGGCTGTGGATGTTGAGACTAATATCCGTCCATGAAAGAAAACCGTAAGAATTCACATTTCTGCCTCTTCCATGGCCAATATGAGCTCTTCTGTTTTGTTTTTTGGTTTTTTTTTTTTTGAGATGGAGTCTTACTTTGTTGCCCAGGCCGGAGTGCAGTGGTACGGTCTTGGCTCACTGCAACCTCTGCCTCCCGGGTTCAAGTGATTCTCCTGCCTCAGCCACCCTGAGTAGCTGGAATTACAGGCACCCACAACCACACCCGGCAAATTTTTGTATTTTTAGTAGAGACAGGGTTTCACCATGTTGGCCAGGCTGGTCTCAAGCTCCTGACCTCAGGTGATCTGCCCATCTCGGCCTCCCGAAGTAATGGGATTACAGGCGTGAGCCACCTCGCCCAGCCCCCAGGCCTGTTTTTAAACTATGTTACTGAGCACCATCTTCTTGTATTCTACTGTCTCCAAAATAAGCACATTATCCAGCCCCCCACTTTATAGTTTTAAGAATCGTTGCTGTTGTTTGTAGAAAACTTCAATATGAACAGCATGTCCATCCTGGGGGAGAGGGGCTGCTTATCTTGGGAGAGGCTTTGAGGCTTAGCGTGATGTCTGTCGCCTGGCTGGTTTTATGATATTCCCAGATGTGGTTCTCAACCTTCTAGGCTAAGAAACCGATGACACCCACCTTCCAGGAATGGGACCTCCTCCTCTCAAGGACAGACTCACTTAACCACATTTGTGAAATAAAAAAGGACAGTTTACAAATGTATAGTACTGTATATATCCAATTGTCATAAATATCCCAACACAACAAGCTCTGTCACTAAAATCATAATCGAACTATAAATGTATTAATTTACAGCGAGAATAACTTTTCCAGAAACTAGATATTTCAGAGTTTCAATACTGAGCTTTGTGGTTTTTTTTTTTTTTTTTTTTTTTTTTTGGCATATTGACTTAGAAAGCCAAGGAATAATGCAAAGGTTTTCTAGTGAGCGTTGAATCTGATCAAAGTAAAACGGATGAAACAAATGTACAATGGAAGTTCTTGCCAATGACCCCAAATCCTCGAGGTCTTTGGACAACACTCACTGAATCTTTATCCACGTTGACTTTGCCAGTAATACTCCAATACTGCTTCAGCTCCAGTGAATGGTTCTTATTACCCACCTCCGTGAATCACCTTGCCCTGTGCTGCCCAACCCTGACCCACCATGCTTCTGATGGACACGTTCTTCTATTACATCCAACAGGCATGGCCATGCTGGCCTGGGCTTTAGTCTGTCTCTTTGAAGTGACTGTGCCCAGAAAGAGTTAAACTTCAAAATCCACACTCCTTTAATTCATTTTCCTCATTCCCAGATCCATGGGGGAATCTTCTCACTATTGTCTTCATGCACCAATAGCAGAAAATAGAGGAGAATAGAAGATAGTTAATTAAACTACAGGGACATTACAGGCACCAAAATCTTGAAAGTACCATTTATGATGATTCCTGGCTTTCATTTAAATTTGTAATCCCCTTCCTAGAAATTTCAATGGAAACTCCTAGTTCTCCTCCTGCAAATCAGTCAGTCTTTACCCTCTTGGTGTTGGGTGCTTCATGAAGGGCTTTGTGGAGTTATTTCCTGGTCTAGCGGGGTTCAGAGTCTCCTTCATAGCCTCTTTCCCAAACTTTTACCAGCTGTGACTCTGGTATTGCCCAGGTATTCTCTCTCAAAAATTCTAATCTTGCAGTGGTTTCTCACAGCTGCCTCTGATGTGATTCTTGTCCCCATCCCCATCTCCTCACGCAAACCTGTGTTCCTCTTCTGGTAGGTTGGTCTAAAACACACATCGCAGCCGGGTTTGAAGGTGGTTCTACCTTTAGACAAGCACAGTGTCTCTTCCCTTTTGTTTCAAGGCAGTTAGGACAAGCTCTCTCTGGAGGCCACTTGCCTCCATGGTAGATGCCATCTCTGAATCCCAGATGTGTTGACTTGGCTTCTTCCAAAACTGTCAGCAGACTGTCTACCTTCTTCAAAATGTAGGTCCCCTATGGAACATACCAGAAAGTTTCTGCTTCCAGCCCGAGGAATACCTCCTAGCTTTAGTCCATGAACAGAACAAAGATGACTGATGTGTCTTGGAATCAAGCCTACCTGGGCTCAAGAGGCCACCCCTCACCATGGCCTCAGGCTCTCCCTGGTGACCCATCAAGAACCCCATCCCCTTCTTATGCACCCCCTGAGGCCCGCTCCCGCCACACACACACACATCACACAGTAGGAAGCATTCGCACCAAGGGAAGAGCTGGGCAATTTCTCTTAGAAGCTTCAGGAAAATGTTTTACCTTAAGATTTGAAAGGAGCTGATGGACATAAAAGATCCTTTTTCAGGTGATTGTTCTGTTACCTCCAGAATTTACATATTTTGAGTTTTCATTTTAGCCTCCTAGAAGTGTTCTACTAAAATAAAACCTGGCATTTCTATAAAATAACTCACAATGTCAAGGGGTTCTAGATTTGGGCTGGAAGTTAAAGCCACAGAATGCTGCCATGGGCCATCACCCTGGAGTAGGGAATGTCAGAACTCCTTTGCAGGCTCTGAATGCCTTTACTTCAGGCCTGAGACATCCTAGCCATCACCCTGGAGAAATATCTATACCCACATGTCACACCCTGTGCTGTGCTCGGTAAAGGACACTAATCACAGCCAAGGTCATTAACCTGCCCTGATTCCACTTCTTTCTCTTGTTAATAATAAATTTCCTTCTGTCTTCTAACATGGGCAGTGTTTCCCTTTGATTTGTTTTATTTTTGCTTTTAGGGTTTCCTCCCCAATCTATACAACTATCTATAAGATAAGTAACATAATGAACTTGAACATGGTCTTACATGGCATCTCAGAACCTCACTAATATCAATACTTAGAAACTTCAGTTCCAGGCATGCCCTCTGCTTACCCAGAGGAGAGGTACAGAGAGCTCTATCCAGACCATTTCTACAAATGTAAATAAAACATTATCAAACAAAGACAAAAGTGAGATGCTTGCCAAGTGACTAGCACCCAGAAGTTCTTCCCAGAATATGTGGCATACTCAGAGACAGCCCCCAAGCCAGGCCCTATTAACCTTGGCAGTTTATATAGATCTCTCATGTAGAATGATCAAAAGCATCTTCTCAAAAGCCTATCCAGCCTTCTAGAAATGGCCATATGGCTCATGACAGGTTCTAGGTAATGCATATAGTTAAAGGTACCTGCCTATTCCTTCAGGGGCAATACACCTGCTTACCAGGTGCTAAGACCTCTTCTGGTGGCTGTCCATTACAGAGAGGGAGAGGCGAGAGAACAGATGCTGTTCACACTTCAGGCTTTCTAATCAGGGGTGAGCAGATGCTCTCCTGAGCAACTCCATGTTGAGATGTCATTAATGTAAAAATTAGTGTTTGTCTCTTTCTGCCAGAATGTGGGATTTACATGATCCTTCACACGTATCTCTGGAGGACTGGCGTATAATCTCATAACCAGCAAGGAGCCAATAAACCTTCATTCCAGAGAAAATGTTCAAGAACCTGGAAACTCCGAGAGCTTTTTTTCACTGGCAGCTCCCCGAATTCCTCACCCCTGCCTTCCCTTTGATGATGGCCATGGGCCCAGCTGTACCCTAGGCAGCCAGAGACATCAGTGGGGATGAAGATGGGGAAGGCCCGTGTCTAGGTGAACATATACAGAGCTGGTGTGGGGTTTGATTGTCAGGAAGCCTAAACCATGGGTACCGTTGGAAGGAGAATGGGATAACTCTACAGACACTGAGAGCACTTGGTCATCAGCTTCACAAACTGCACTTCTGTGCTGTGGGGTTTAGTTGGATTGGGTTTGTTGTGGCAGGCGAGGTCAACTTGATTGGCTAGAATGTGTTTCTAATGGTTTTACATCTTCTAAGCCCTCCTGATCTGCTGCAGATATCACCAGCCCTGGTCAGAAGGTTCTCATGATGTTTTTTCCCAAGGCCATGTTTTCTAGTTCTCTATGTTCTGCATTTCCCATTTGCTCCCAAAAGATCCTCATGGCTTTGCTCTGAATAGGAATTTATCCCACTAACCAAGGTTCCTTAATTCTACTCCCAACACAGCTAAGCCCCCAAGCTATCTGGGAACTTGAGAAATAGCCTGAGAGGCTGCTGGCTCTGCGAAGCACCTTAGTGGCTCTTTCCTCCTCTATCTACACTGAAACCCAAAAAGCACCAGGGAAGAGAGCAGGCTCCCAGTGAAAGACAAGCAGCTTTGTGACATGTAGCATAGTAGAAGAAACCCATCTCACCATTAGTCCCACACTCTGAGCCCACACCCAGTTGGGGTCCTTTTCCACCTCTCTTCCCTGTCCACCTCTATTCCTTCTGGAAACCTACTAGGCTGAAACCTACAAGTTAGGCTTCAGGCTTGGAACATTTTTAGCTGAGGACCCCATGGCATCCTCCTTCTGTTGCATTAAACAGGCCCCTGCCCACCCCAGGGCCTTTGCACAGGCTCTTCCCTCTTCCTAGAACACCTTTTCACCTGCTTCATGCCAACTCATCTTTTCCATCTCAGCTTTAGTGTGTTTTTTTCGAGGGGGCTTTCCTGACCTCCCAGATGAGCTTCCAGTCTCTCTCTCAGGTTCTCATGGTGCTGAACACTGCAGTTTTATACTCACTTCCCATCGTTTGGTTAGGGGCTGTCAGTTAGGGAATTCACGAAGCTATAATCTCCATCAGGGAAGGCACAGAGTCTATTTGGACTCCTTCCTGATTCCCCTGTGCCTAGCACTGGGGAATATGGCGAGCACTCAATGAATACTGTTTGAAACCTTGTGATTTACAGAAATGAGCTTATGTTCTTAGTTCGTATATAAATGTCTATATGTGTGTGTGTGTGTGTGTGTGTGTGTGTGTGTGTGGTTATTTCTCTCTAATTAATACCTATCACTTCCACATTATAATCTTCATATTGGAATTGAGGCTCAGAAACCACCTTTCCTCAGCACCCCTGAAGGGGGCATCCCAAAGGGGCCCCGGGTGACTTGACACAGGGGGCCTGGTGTGGACATCCCACCCAACAAGGCTTTCTGCAGATCCCCTTTCTCTCACACTCCCTCCTGGATTCCTGGTTTGTAGCCACATTTCGGTGCACCTGGTAGGGTCTCCTGCTCCCCTGGGGGCTCACCAGAATGGTAAATGGGTGGTTGTTTTGTCTCTTTAGCCACCACTGACCAGTAGGACCGAGACCAGCCACACTGGCTTTGCAGAGCGGGTGTACTAGGAAAGGATGATGCAGCTCCTGCTTGGGGATGGCACTCAAGGTGCCCTGGGGACATGGCTTGGATTGCCAGCCTAGGACCTCAGCTGTGGATTAGAGAGCAGTACCTCTGAGCTGCTGAGAAATGTTTCATGTGCCCCGTCCCCTCCTGTTAGAGATACATATCTGGGGCTCTTCACATGGCGTGCAAAGCCAGGTTTTTTCCCCACCTTGAAAACACACAGCTGGGCTTCCCTGAAGATGCTGTTTTGAGTCACCCTCTTACATCCCCACCAAAAGGGTAGAGTAATTGCTAATGAGGGAACCACCTACCTCCCCCCACCCTGCCCTTGCTCTGAATGGCTGGAGCAGGAACACACACATATAATGAGTTACAGGAGCTTTAAATCACCAACTAAAACCACACGCTCGATTTCCCCTTTGGAGGGATGTTCAGCCAGACAGCGGCATTTTCCTCCCCAGCCACACGGTTTTTAAATATTGCATTTCAAATAGGAACAGGCCAGCGATTGGAGGACCTCTCCCATTTTAGGAGAGGAGCCCCTCTTCAGTCCTGGCCTTCAGTTCATACACTTTCTGCTTTCCTTTGAAGGAGTAGGGTTGATTCAGTACTTTGGGGACTTGGTGACATTAATTTATCTGTTTTATGTAACACAAAGTCGTTATTAACAGCATCCTAGATCATAAAAAAGGTATAACAAGAGACAAAGAGGGTTTTTTTTCCCCTTGAAGATAATAGCAGTCTTGCTGAAGAAGAGAGGGGTCGCGGAGCCGCTCTCCGATTGGTGGCTTAGACCCCGCATTGACATTTCTGCAGTTTCATCAGAAATTCTAAATAATCCATGTGAAAACGGGCGGTTATTTACCGAAGATATACGCACTGCATGTGCCCGTAATGCACTGAAGACATAATCTTGGCTCTCGGAGCCGCCTTTTGTGTAGAGCGGCAGCAGCTGCTGCAGAAGCCTCAAACGAAGCAGTCCAAGACATCTGGGGGAAACTGAGTTTGGGGGCGACAAATAGGAGGGCTTGATAACAGGAACGTTAAAGAAATCCATCTCCGCTGCGGACAGCGTGGGGAGTTGCTAAGTTGGCACATCTGGACCAAGTCACAGAGCCTAGACGCACGGCCTTTTTGTTTTTCCAAGCTGGTTCTCATTTTCTGTAGGTGAAGAAAAGCGTCTTCAGCTATCAGTGCAGGGGCAGGTCTGTGCAATCTCGTCCCTTCCATTTTGTAAGTGCCCATCAGCAAGGAGGTCTCAGCACCTGGCCTTCCTTTTTCCTTTTTACGCTAATAGGACAGGATCGAGAAACAGAACCACATGGAGGGATGTCCAGCTTCTGTCTGGGACTGGGAGCCTGCAATCCCCTGGCCGGATTTTTATTTGAGAAATAATTCTGGCTGCTTTCATCTCCTTTTCCATCTCCTTCCCACCTCTCCACCCCAGCCCCCAAAGTCCCCCTTCTCTCCCTCCCTCCCTCCCTCCATGGGGTGACAGGCAAGAGAGGCTGATAAAGAGCCAGACCCCCACCCTCCTCCTTGGCTCCCTGCTGAGATGGAACGGCTAAGAGCAAATGTGCAGGGTCAGAGCATTAATGGGGGCACAGGCAGTCCATCTCCGCCGGCCCAGATGCTGGGGACGCTCTCTATCCTGTGAGAGGGAGGAACGGAGGGGACAGCAAGAAGGCTTGGAGGAGGGCTCCTCCTGAATGGGGATGTTTGTTTTCCTGGATTTTCATGAGCCTGCTGCCGGCTCACACCCACACAGCCGTACACCAACCCACACATCCACACACTGACCCACACAGCCACTCACCAACCCACACAGCCATACACTGACCCACACAGCCACACACTGACCCACACACCCACACACTTACCCACACACCCACACAGCCACTCACCAACCCACACAGCCACACACCGACCCACACAGCCACACACTGACCCACACAGCCACACAGCCACACACGCACACATCAACCCACATAGCCACTCACCAACCCACACAGCCACACACCAATCCACACAGCCACACACTGACCCACACACCCACACAGCCACTCACCAACCCATACAGCCACACACCGACCCACACAGCCACACACTGACCCACACACCCACACAGCCACACATGCACACATCACCCCACATAGCCACTCATCAACCCACACAGCCACACACCGACCCACACAGCCACACACCCACCACCCACACACTGGCCCACACACCCACACACCACCCCACACAGCCACACACCCACCACCCACACACTGGCCCACACACCCACCCACCGACCCACACAGCCACACACCCACCACCCACACACTGGCCCACACACCCACACACCACCCCACACAGCCACACACTGACCCACACACCCACACACTGGCCTACACACCCACACACCCATACACTGACCCACACAGCCACTCACCAACCCACACAGCCATACACTGACCACACACCCACACACTGGCCCACACAGCAACCCACACACTCACACAGCCACACACCAACCAACACACCGACACGCTGACCCACACTCACACAGCCACACACTTACCCACACACCCACACAGCCACACACTGGCCCGTACAGCCACACAGCAACCCACACACTCACACAGCCACATACAAACCCACATAGCCACACACTGACCCACACACCCACACGCTGACCCACACTCACACAGCCACACACTGGCCCACATAGCCACACACCAACCCACACAGCCACACATACCAACCCACACACCTACACAGCCACACACCAACCCACACACCCACACAACCACACACCCACACACCGACTCACCAGCCACACACCGACCCACACAGCCACACACCAACCCACACAGCCACAAACTGACCCACACAGCCACACACCAACCCACTTAGCCACACACCAACCCACACAGCCACACAGCCACACATGAACCCACACACCCACACACTCACACTCACACACCAACCCACACATCCACACAGCCACACACAAACCTATACACCCACACAGCTACACACAGACCCACACACCCACACAGCTACGCAGAGACCCACACAGCTACGCAGAGACCCACACAGCCACACACCAACGCACACACCCACACAGCCACACACCGACCCACACAGCCTTACCAAGGAGACCGGGGTCTGGAACACTCTTCCCGTACACCAACCACACAATTTGATTTCAAATCAAGTCTTGTACTTAAGGTCACAGCTTGAGGTATTTGAAGAACGTACTTGACTGGGGTTCACAGAGCCATTTCCCTAATTTGGGGCCGCCCAATCTATAGGGTTCTGAATTGTTGCTTTTCACAAGGTTACTTTGCTTGATGATTTTTGTGCAGCTTTGAAAATCAGGTTTATTCCTAACAGAGCTTTCCTCTGGGGCCGTTGTTCCATTACTGTTTTTATTATTTATTTGTATGGGTGTGACGTGCAGGAGGAGGGGGAGAGGGGCATGTGTGTGTGAGAGAGAGAGACAGAGAGAGAGAGGGAGGGAGAGACCATGGGAGCCGCGGAGGGAAGAATTGGTTGGCCCCGTCTAAAGCATTTGTATGAAGTCCCTTCCAGAAATGTGTTTACGTGACAGACTGTCTCAGATCCAGCCAGGCGGAGGCTGCTTTTCTGCGCATATTATGAATTCCAAAATGTATAATAAATACGCGTTTTACAAAAGCAATATGTGTTTTAAAATATAATATATGCAAACAATCTTATAAATCACCAGGCTTGACACTAGTCAGCCAGAGAGGCTTCTGGGGAAATGGTGTTGTGCGGAAGCGTGTGTTTTTAATAATGTAAAAATATGTGTAATATGTTTGAAAAACAACAGCCAAAAACCCCTTCTACCTGCCAACTTTACAATACTTATTTCCCCAGAGCCTGCTGTATCCTAGACTCTCAGAGAAATAACAGGGGGCTTAAATAAAAAGTGTAAATATGAGTAAGATGTGAAAGCTCCGCCCATCTTGGGATATATTTCCCTGACGGACATGACCAGCCGAGGCTTCATATGTCAAAAAATATGCATTTCATGGTCTTTACGCAGAGGTTTCTGTAATATTAGTACATGAGGCAGAGCCACAGATGGCAAGAGAGGGGAGAGTTTGGTCAGATCCCCCGTCCTGACACACCCCACAGAGCCTCATGCTGTCATGGTGTGTTAAGGGCTAAATGTCAACCCAGAGTATGAATTTTGTGCCCTTTGTCAGCTGACGACACCCTTTGGATTTTTTTCATGCCACTTTTAGCATTTAATGGTTTAATGGTGCTCTCCTGGTGTTAGGTAGTAATGGTCCCAATGGGATTTCTGACTCACACAATTACCCTCTACCGATCCCTTAATCTCTTCGAGTTGTTATGTGGACCTCATCGCCTTGTGGGCACTGCCTCACAGAGCATCGATATCCTAATCCTAATCCAGGGTTGTCTACCTCTCCTCCCACCCAACCAAAACTAGCAAAGAGAACCACCCTTTCTCAAGGGTTGCAACCAAGTTTTCAACACAGAATGAGGCCAGCTCCCAAATGAGGTAAAGCATGTTTGTAAAGAAGAATTCTTTTACACAGTGCAAACTGCTAGCCTGGGCAACAAAGGGAGACTCCTTCTCTACAAAAAAGAAAATTTTATAAAAGCATTAGCCAGGCGTGCTGGTGCAGGCCTGTAGACTCAGCTACTTGGGAGGCTGAGACAGGAGGATCCATTGAGCACAGGAGTTAAAGGTTACAGTGAGCTGATCACACCAGTGCTCTCCAGCCTGAGCAACAGGGAGAGACCGTGTCTTAAAAACAAAACAAAAACAAAGCACCCTGGGAAAAAAAAGAATATATGCCTATTTAGGTGAAGGGATATTCATTTCAGTGTTGGTCATAATATTGAAAAAATAGAAGCAAAGTAAACTCCCAAACAAGGGGAGACTCTTTGAATAAGTCATGGTACATCTGTGCAGTGGAATACTATGTGACCATTGCAAAAAACAAAAGCAAAACAAAACAAAAAAAACAGAGACTTATAAAAGTTTTCATGATATTCTCGTAAGAGCAAAAAGCAGTTTATAAAGCAGGCCAATTTGAGAGTATTTCATACTCGGTGACATATGTTATTGCTCTCATCTATTACTTACTGATGGCTGCAAAGTGCTACATATTCAATATGAGTCCATTTTAATTTTAGTGTTTTAGTTTATAATAATACATTTCACATATATTAATATTTTTATAGATTTATATTTTGAAGAATATATCTAGAAATGTTAGCGTTAGTCATCTTAGGATAGTGGATTCAGGATCATATTTATTTTCCTTCTTTTTTTTTTTTTTTTTTTTTTTGAGACAGAGTCTCACTCTGTTGCCCAGGCTGGAGTGCAGTGGCACAATCTCATCTCACTGCAACCTCTGCCCTCCGAGTTCAAGCAGTTCTCCCGCCTTAGCCTCCTGTGTAGCTGGGATCACAGGCGCCTGCCCCCGTGCCCAGCTAATTTTTGTATTTTTAGTAGAGGTGGGGTTTCACCATCTTGTCCAGGCTGGTCTTGAACTCTTGACCTCATGATCCACCCGCCTCGGCCCCCCAAAGTGCTGGGGTTACAGGCGTGAGCCACCGCGCCTGGCCAGGATCATATTTATTTTCTTCTCTTTGCCTATCCGCATTTGTTTCTGCAGTGAATAAAAACTGTTTTTTAAAATAAGAGGGCTTTTTTGAGACAGGGTCTCACTCTGTTTCCCAGGCTGGAGTGCAGTGGTACGATCATATCTCATTGCGAATTCGAACTCCTGGGCTCAAGTGAGCCTCCTGCCTCTGCCCCTGGAGTAGCTGGGATGACAACCATGCACCACCAGGCCTGGCTAATTTTCTTCTTTCACTTTTAGTAGAGATAATGTCTCACTATGTTGCCCAGGCTGGTAATAAGAATTTTAAAATGTATTTTTAAAGTATTTTCGTGGCCTAGAAAAATAAGCTGACACTTAAATGTTTAAGTCTACCATGTTCGTAAAAGAAATCAGGCAGTAGGAGCAGTACTAAGTCAGCAGGTGTCATTACAACATGCCTGTGACCTCTTACTCCATTAGGGAACTTTCATTGGTGGATGTCCATGTTTTCTTATTATCTGGGTCCCCCATTAGTTGATAGTCCCCCCAGTAGCGGGCCTGGAGAGTTGCAGGATGAAGCCAGTATCAGATTCCAACCTTCACGTTCTTATATACAGACAACCAGAAATGGATCATGGCCAGGAGAGGCCAAAATGACCCTTTCCCCTTGGTCTTGAAATAATTGTTAAGTGAAGGAAAGGGCTCAACACGTGTCCCTGGGGATGGTCATCATCCTTTTTTCTCTTTACTGGACTTTATACCTCATTGTCATAACATCAGTAAGCGCAATGACCTCAGAAAGCAATACCAAAACGAGGATGAGAATAACATCGGTAAATGTAAACAGTTGCCGGAAAGCAGGTGTCAGCAAAGTTTTCTTGGAACACAGCAACGCTCATTAGTTTACCTATTGTCTGTGGCTGCTTTTACGTGGCACTGGCAATGGAGAAGTTGAGAGTTGAGCAGTTAGCCAGGAGTTCACAAACCCAAAATACTGACCAGCTTGATGTTTTAGTATAGATTTATTTATTTGTTGTTTGACTTCTCTGTCTGAGATGTGATATCCATGAGGGCAGGAATGTGGTTTCCCTAACAGGCTTTTCCCTAACATTAAGAATAGTGCCTGACACATAATAGATGCTCAATAACTCAATATTGAATGAATAAAATTGAACACAAAAATGACAAATGAAGGACTTAATCTGGAAGAAAACATAAGCCAAGGAAAGGAAGACAATTTTATGCAACCGCATCATGTTGTTAATGAAATAACATACATATTTTAAAGGAAATCAAACATTATGAAACAATGAAACAAGAAGAAAAGAAAGACTGCAAAGTTAAAGAAGAAACTGAGGGCTAAAACAACACTACCATTGAACTGATAGATAAATTAGAATAGCAAAGACTGAAATACAATTAGCTAAATTAAAATTCTGATATAAAGAAAAGGCTTAATTTAATCGTAGTGAGTGCAGAAAACAAAAGACAAAGCAACAAGAGACAATGTAATCAATATGGAAGACAGTCAAAAAGTGATCAATATAAAGACAATTGATGTTCCTGAAGTAGAGAACCCACCAATGAAAAATCCATCAAAGATAGAATAGCCAAAAGAATTCCCTAAAACAAAGAGATAACAGAATTACAGATAAAAAGCAAGTTAATAATAGACTTGTAGAGAAATACTAACCTTAAGCTATATTCTGGTTAAAATTTTTAACCTTGAAAACAAAGAAAAATTGTTTAGATTTCTAGGCAGAAAATGCAAGTCACCAGCAAAGGATCACCATCCTTCCAGGATGAAGATCAGATAACCTCTTGGCTTTGCCGAACCATTGCTTACTGATGGAAAAGGGGGTAAACGCTACTTAGGACTGGGAACAAGAAATGCACCTGTGGAGTGGGGGAAAAATACAAAGGGAAAACTGTGTTAACTTTGCAAACAAATATCTGGAAAAATAAAAGATGCACACAAACGCGCACACACAATTCGCGGACTTCAGTTTTCTTTAGAATTGCAATTAGTTTTTTTCATGTTATGTGTCATTTTGGCGTTTTGGATTCCTTTGAGGTAGCTTTGTGCTGTGAGTCTTAATGAATTCTCATTTGGTTGTCCCTAAACTTGGTATCTCCATGTCTGGCCCCAAAACAGGCCGAGTAATCAGGTATGCTGCCCCTGTAACCCCTGATCATATTTATATTCTCTGATTAGTGTGTTTCACAAGCCTTTTGTTTGTTCGTTTTTCTTAAACCGCTTAATTGAGGTATGATTGACATATAAAAAGCTATGCATATTTAATATATACCTTTTGATCAGTTTGTGGATAAATAAACATCCATGAAACCCTCACCACCATCAAAGTTATAAACATATCTGTCACCTCTCAAAGTTTCCTCCCATGCCCTTTATTATGACTGTTGTTTGTTTTGTTAAGATCACTTAACGTAAGATGTACCCTCTTAGCAATTTTAAGTACACAATACAGTATTGTTAGCTATAGGCACAGGCACAGTATTGTTAGCTACAGCCTTAGCTATAGGCACTAGGCTGCAACTCTGTACCCTGTAACCATCACTTCCCAGTCTTCCCCTTCCCCCAGCCCCTGCAACCACCATGCTACTCTCTGCTTCTATGCTTTTCACATATAAGTAATATCATACAATATTTGTCTATCTGTGTCAGGCTTATTTCACTTAACATAGTGTCCTCTGGGTTCATCCATGGTGTCACAAATGGCAGGGTTTCCCTCTTTTTTAGGGCTGAATAATATTCCATTGTGTATATACACCACCATTTCTTCATCCATTCATCTATCAATTGACATTTATGATTGTTTTCATATCTTGGCTATTGAGAATGCTGCAATGAACATGAGAGTGCAGATATCTTTCCATCATACTGATTTCAATTCCTATGAATATATATTCAGTAGTGGGATTGCTGGACCACATGGCAGTTGTATGTTTACTTTTTGGAGAAACTTTTATACTATCTCCTCCCCTCCCCTCCCCTCCCCTCCCCTCCCCTCTCCTCTCCTCTCCTTTCCCTTCATTTCCCTCTTTCTTTCTTTTAATGGAGTTTCAGTCTTGTTGCCCAGGCTGGAGTGCAATGGCGCAATCTTGGCTCACCACAACCTCTACCTCCCAGGTTCAAAAGATTCTCCTGCCTCAGCCTCCCAAGTAGCTGGGATGACAGGCATGCACCACCATGCCTAACTATCATTTTTTGTATTTTTAGTAGAGATGGGGTTTCTCCATGTTGGTCAAGTTGGTCTTGAACTCCCAACCTCAGGTAATCCGCCTGCCTCGGCCTCCCAAAGTTCTGGGATACAGAACTTTGTGAGCCACCATGCCTGGCCACCTCTATGCTATTTTCTATAATGGCTGTACCAATTTACAGTCCCACCAGTAATATACAAGGTTTTCCTTCTTTCCACATCATCACCAACACTTGCCTTTTTTTTAAAATATGAGTCATACTAACTAGCATGAGATGACATCTCATTGTGCTTTTGATTTGCATTTCCCTGATGATTAATGATGGTAAACACCTTTTCCTGTGTCTATTGGTTATTTGTATGTCTTCTTTGGAGAAATGTCAACTTAGTTCCTTTGCCCATTTTTCAATCAGGTCATTTGTGCATTTTTTTGCTATTCAGTTGTATGAGTTTTTAATGTATTTTGGATATTAAACTCTTATCAGATATATGGCTTGCAAATATTTTCTCCCATTCTATAGGTTACCTTTTCATTTTATTGATTGTTTCCTTTACTGTGCAGAAGCATTTTAGTTTGATAGAGTCCCACTTGTTTATTTTTGCTTTTGTTGCCGGTATTTTTGGTGTTACATCCAATATCAAGGATCTTTTCCCCTATGTTCTCTTCTAAGAGTGTTATGGTGTCAGGTCTTACATTTAAGTCTTTAATCCATTTTGAGTTGATTTTTTTAGTATGGTGTCCAACAGGGGTCCAATTTCATTCTTTTGCATGTGTGTGTCCAGTTCCCCCAACATCATTTATTGAAGAGACTGTCATTTTCCTATTGTGTATTCTTGGTACTCTTGTTAAAATTTAGTTGACCATCTATACATGAGTTTATTTCTGGGCTCTCTATTCTGCTCCATTAGTCTATGTATCTGTTTTTCACAAACCTTTCTGTCGTGCATAGTTGTTATCACAGACTACAAGAGCATCTTAGGTACTTTTTAATTTGTTGCAGTGTCTTATTTGTGGAGCTACTGATTGCTTCATTTGCTCAGTTGCAAGACTCTGTTCTGAGAGAAGCAGGGTTAATATTCTGTGCAACGTCCTTCAAGCTGCAGCTGTATGTCCTCATGTCTTCAGCCTGTTCTGCTTGAAAGATGGGTTCTAGTGCCTGCCAAGCTTCTAAGTACAAAGAATAATGCCATTGTTGAAAAGATCCAAAACCACATGAACGAAAAGACCGGATTGCCTTTACAATGCCATGTAAGACATGAGAAATGTACAGACAAAAGAATCACTCAGTACTTGACACCTTAGAGAGTCTACTAGCAATTTCCATTGGGTTCCTCATTACCTTTGTCTTAAAATTATTTTCTCAATATAAAAAATGCAATGTTCCCTTGAATATGAGCTCATTCTTTTTTTCTTTATAGCCATAAAATAGTATGTCACTTTCAGATCCCTAATATATGATAAAACGTAAATACACTGTATACTTCTGACCCCTAGTAGGATAAAATACCCAATAATTTATGGGTATTTTACTTACGACAGATATCGTAGTCTTTGGGATGTTTGATAACAAAAATCTGATTGCTATCTGGGACTCAGTTTTCTGAAAACTCCTTGGAGGGAAAAACCAATACCTTTGATGGGATCCTTGGGTCAAAACTTCTGTCCTAGCTTAAAATTTGTGCAAAATGAATTAACTGTAAGGTGAGAAAAAAAAAATCCCTAAGATGATTAGCATTGTAATTTGTAAAGATTACAAAAAGAATGCATAGACCGGAAGTTTAAGATTATAAAGGAAGTTGTATTACATTTAACTGAGAAGTATGGGGATGCCCCCCACTTAGTAGTAGAAAAAACAGAAGACAGGTGAAAATTTTTTGAAGCACTCCTGCTGAGAGGTGAAGCCAGCTGGACTTCCTGGGTCGAGAGGGGACTTGGAGAACTTTTCTGTCTTACAAGAGGATTGTAAAATGCACCAATCAGCACTCTGTAGCTAGCAAGGGGATTGTAAAATGCACCAATCAGCGCTCTGTAGCAAGAGGATTGTAAAATGCACCAATCAGCACTCTGTAAAACGCACCTATCAGTGCCCTGTAAAATGCACCAATCAGTGCTCTGTAAAACGCACCAATCAGCAAGATCCCAAAAGTAACCAATAGCAGGGAGGACTGAAAAAAGAGCACTCTGATAGGACAAAAACGGAACGTGGGTGGGGACAGATAAGGGAATAAAAGCTGGCCACCCCAGCCAGCACCTCCTACTCGCTCAGGTCCCCTTACACAGTGTGGAAGCTTTGTTCTTTTGCTCTTCACAATAAACCTTGCTACTGCTCACTCTTTGGGTCTGTGCCATCTTTAGAGCTGTTGACACTCACCTTGATGGTCCCTGGCTTCATTCTTGAAGTCAGCGAGACCACGAACCCAGTGGAAGGAACCAACTCCAGACACATTACAAGCAAGCAAGCAACCACAACTTTCTTCCTCCATCGTTACACTTTACCAAAAACATGCACGCTGGGATTAACTCACACTTTTGACTGTCTGAGACTCTAATGATAAAATTGATTAACAAGAGATTTGCTACAACAACAGTAACAAAAACTTTATTTTAACTTAGGAGAATATCAGTATAATTATTTAGTTTGAGAAACTTCTTCCTTGGGTTTAAATGATCATTTACCAAATTAATGGAAAAGATAAAAGTACCCAAAAATGTTCCCTTTTGGACACAAACATTTAAATAGACTGGTATGGTTTAGATCTGTGTCCTCACTGAATTTCATGTCAAATTGTAATCCCCAGTGTTGGAGGTGGGGCCTGGTGGGAGGTGACTGGATCATGAGGGCAGATATTCCCCTTGCTAATATCATTGAGGTATTAAGTGAATTCTCATGAGATCCTGTTGTTTAAAGGTATGTAGCATCTCCCCTGCCTCTCTCTCTTGCTCCTGCCTTGTAAGACACCTTGCTCCCACTTTGCCTTCCACCATGATTGGAAGCTTCTTGAGGCCTCCACAGAAGCCAAAACCACTATATTTCCTGTACAGCCTGCAGAACCGTGAGCCAACTAAACCTCTTTTCTTTAAAAATTACTCAGTCCCGAGTATTATAGCAATGCGAGAATGGACTCATGCAGAGACATTTCTCTTTCCACCATAAGCAAAGCAGATGAATTCAAAGATGAGTGAATCAGAAAATATTCAGCGATGAATTCCCCAGCTTTATTAGGTACATTGGTGACCTACAGACAGAAATGCTTGCATTGGGAGACATCTACAAAGCGGACAAAGTCATGAGGATTTAATTCATCGACAATTTGGGGAGTTGTTCTCCTCTATAAATGGTAGCCCCTGAGGATAAATACTATCATGCTTTCGGATTTTAATAAAGATTTCATCTACCCAGTAAGAAAGAAAAATGGGAGGACACCTAGAGCTAAAATCCAGGGAGCCTGGCCCTGCTCTGGGCCTCTGGAGACACAGTGCTGCCCTTGAGAATGATTTGTCATCTGAGGCAAGGTTGGTATTAAGTAAACCCGGGGTGACTTTCAGTTCATTCTGAAAATTAAATATTTTCATTCGATAGAAAACAAGGACATCAACATGCAGTTTGTCAGCCCTGAGATTTGTCATGATTAAAATGCTGAGATCATGCCAACCGTGTTTTGTAAGTCAACTCAGCAAGTGTTTGCCAAGCCCATAGCAAGTCCTTTGGAGAACATTTTTTAAAGTGTGAGGCAGAATCACTCCTCTTAAGGATCTTGCCAGTACGTTTAATGAAAATAACTCAGGATACCCAAAAATGCATTATGTAAATTAACCAGTTTCTCAGTTTCTGTAGAATATCTCCTTTAGAAAACATGGCATTTTGTCCATGTCTGACCTGTTCTAATGGGGAGAAATTCCTCCTAAACCTTGGAAGGTAGAAAGGAACATGGCAGAGGATAGTTTTAAGGACGTCACAGTTTGACTTAGCCCATATGATGGAATGTTTGCCTCATCCGCAAACATCCTTTCCCCTCATGTAATCGACTATTTCCCACATTCATGGAAAATTTGACATTTGTCTTAAGTGGTTCCCTTGTGAGAATATGAAAGCATTTCTACTTTTGAAAAAATAAGAAAATAACCACAGCAGAAATATGACAAGATTTCACATTTAAGATCTCAAAACACCATTTCACTCTATATAGGAAAACATCGTTTTGTACACTTTAAATACATACACTAAAAAAAGGAAATATTTTTAAAAGAACCAAAGAAATGGAAGAGTATAATTTTTTTACATTTTATTGTTTTCAATATTATGTAAACCTGTACCATGTAAGTAACAATACTGTAAGAAATACAGCCACTGGGGCTGGGCACAGTGGCTCACACCTGTAAATCCCAGCACTTTGAGAGGCCAAGGCAGGCAGATCACTTGAGGCCAAGTGTTCAAAACCAGCCTGGGCAAAATGGTGAAACCCCGTCTCTACTAAAAATACCAAAAATTAGCCAGTCTGGTGATGTGCACCTGTAATCCCAGCTACTCGGGAGGCTGAGGCAAGAGAATCGCTTGAACCCGGGAGGTGGAGGTTGCAGTGAGCTGAGATCGCACCATTGCACTCCAGCCTGGGTAACAAGAGCGAAACTCTGTCTCAGAAAAGAAAAAAAAAAAAAAAAGAAAGAAAAAGGAAGAAAAGAAATACAGCCCCTCCAATGCCCAGTTTTCTAAACAAACAGCACAACCAACTAGATCAGAGAATTCATATTACACAATTTGTTGTGTAGGAAAAATGATAAGAGTTTTAAAAATGGGGCATGGACGCTTCATCTTCTAATAAGTTCCCAATATCATCCTTCCCTGTCCCCCCCCATCACTCTTGACCGCCCCTAACTTTCGAGTTAGGTGTGGAGCAAAGGATACGGTCCATAGAATAAAGCTCAAAAGTCTCACTGTAAGGCTAAGCAAAAATATATACCAGGATACCTTCTTTTATTGTGCTTCACTTTACTGCACTTCACAGATATGCATTTTTTACAAATTGAAGATTTGTGGCAACCCTGCATCAAGCAAGTGTATTTGCACAGTTTTTCCAAGAGCATGTGCTCCCTTCATGATTCAGCATCAGCATTTGTTAGCAATAAAGTATTTTAAATTGGGCTTTAAAACATAATGCTATGGCACACTCAATAGACGACAGTATAAACATTAACCTTTCTATGCAGTGGAAAACCAAAAAGATTGTGTGACTCACTTTATTGTGCTACTCACTTTATTGAGGCAGTCTGGAATCGAACTCAGAATATCTCTGAGGTATATAGTGGAAGTCTTGATTATGCATGGGGATTTTAACATATTGGAGTTTCTAGATGTAAAAACAAACCTCCAAAAGACCCCCTAGTGAAAGACGACCATGTGATCTTGTCCCCTGAGCCCCAGCAGTCATGACCACCCGAAGCTTCGTCAAGTGATGCTTCTAGATTCTGAGAATCTCCTTTTGAAAACCTAAGAGGGAAATACAGACACACAGATTTCCTATCAGGAGGGCATGGTAAATTCACACATTGACTCACCCCCTCTGTTCTAACATGTAAAATAGAGGAAGAGAAAGGTAAATATGTAACTGGACTCAAAAGCGTCATAGATTTCCCTATGGGCCAGAAATGGAACACAAATACAAAGTAACAAGTGAGACTAAAGCCAGGGACCTCTAGACTCTCTGTCCCGAAACAGGAAATGGCAACCTGGAATCGGGCTACTGCACAGTGATATAGACTAAATGTGCTTCATAAAAGGTGGGAAATTAGCAGGCTCTGTACATCTCTGTGCTTGAATCCAGAGGCTAAAGCAAGTTTTAAAACAGAAAAAAAAATTACAGACAAAAGTCTTGCTTGCTTACTGCCTGTGGACATAGCTTTATAGGGAACTACAGTTTCTTAGACCAATAAAGGGTATCTATCCGAAATATACACCAGATGTCATATAGAATATTTATAGCATTCCAAGAGGCATTTCCTTTTGGTAGAGAAAGTTCAGAAAATAATACTGGTAATTACTGTGGCATAAATACAAAATAGCAAGGAATCTTCAGGGAGGAGGTAGGGAAGTCTAATGGAGTAAGTTGTGCCTATTAGATTATCAAAACAGATTAAGAAGCAACAATAATTAAAGCAATTTGGTATTGCTAAAGAACTAAACAGATGGGTGGAATCCAGACATAGACTTAAACATAAAAATAGGGTATCAGGTCAGGAAAGAATAGATGAATTACTTAATAAATAGTGTGGAACACCTGGCTAAACATTTGAGGAAAAATAAAGTGACATCAATAAACCCAAATAAATTCCAAATGGATCAAAGACTTTAAAGTAACAAAAGCATGAAAGTTATAGAATAGAACATAAGTGAACTCAGCATACTGAAGAGGGCACACTTTCTAAAACAAAGATAAAGACCAGAAGCCACAAAGGAAAAGATTAGTAAGTTTGACTGTATACAAACCAATAAAGAAATGCTGACCAAACAAATATGAAAATAAGCAATGCAAAACATAGATGTCATATCAAAAGTCAACTAACAAATTGGAAAAAATGCAAAAGTTTGAGAACACAAATCCCTGGCAAAGAATTACACCACCGTTCTTCACAGGAATACAAATTTGTGCACCTTTTTGCAAGGCAATTTGGTAATAACTATTACACTTTTTTTTTCCTGAGACAGAGTTTCACTCAGTTACCCAGGCTGGAGTGCAGTGGTGTGATCTCAGCTCACTGCAACGTCCACCTCCTGGGTTCAAGTGATTCTCCTGCCTCAGCCTCCCGAGTAGCTGGGATTACAGGCGCGCACCACCATGCCTAGCTAATTTTTTGTATTTTTAGTAGAGATGGGGTTTTACCATGTTGGCCAGGCTGGTCTCAAACTCCTGACCTCGGGTGATCCACCCGCCTCGGCCTCCCAAAGTGCTGGGATTACAGGCGTGAGCCACCGCATCCGGCCTACAAATTTAAATACATACATTCTTCTAAGCAGCATTCCACCTGTAGAAATTTGCAGATATACCTTAAAAGTACACTGAAATACCTATACAGAGACACTCCTTAAGGCATTATTTGTAACAAAAGACATTAAATATCTGGCAAGTGGGAGATTGGCTTTAAAAAAAAAGTATGGAATATCCTCTGATAGAATACTCTATAGCCTTTACAAAGAGGGGGCTAGATCTTAAAAAACTGATGCGGAAACATCTCTGGGATTTATTTTCAAGTAAAAAGAAGTGGAGAAGAGTGTGGTTCAGTATGAGTCCTTTGCGTAAAGAAAAGAAAAAATGGACAGATTATGTATATTGTATTATATGTGTTTTATATATAAATTTTGATGGTATATGCATGGAAAATACATCTGAACAGATACATGGAGCTGGCCTACTGAGCGGAGTCAGAACTCATTTTATGCCATCCTATTTTTAAGTTGAATTTTCTAGCCACATGAGGAAATGCTTTTTATTTTCATATCCAACAGGAGTTATTTTGATTGTAGGTTTTTGGTTCATTCTTTATATTTTAATATTCTTTATATTTTCATAAATGTTTTTCAAATGATCCATAGCCCTTATATCTATGCTTTTTTGTTAGAAGTCTTATTGCTATCTGCACTTCCTCCTTGTAGCAGGTGAACCCCAAGAATGTTACCACATGAGGATTAGAACACCCTTATCAGTTTAGCCTCGTTAGGGGCTGAAAGACTGGTGGAGAAATAGAAGCATTGTGCCCTGTCTAGTGGTATTTTTCTTTAAGGGCCAAAAGACACCCTTGGCTGGGCACGGTGGCTCACACATGTTATCTCAGCACTTTGAGAGACTGAGGCTGGAGGATCACTTGAGCCCAGTAGTTCAAGACCAGCCCAGGAAACATAGGGAGATCCCATCTCTACAAAAAATTTAAAAATTAGCCAGGTGTGATGGCACCTGCCTGTAGTCCCAGCTATGTAGGAGGCCAAGGCAGGAGGATTGCTTAAACCCAGGAGGTTAAGGCTGCAGTGAACCATGTCATCGCCACTGTGCTCCAGCCTGGGCGACAGAGTAACACTCTGTCTCAAAAAACAACATTGCATTAAAGATACCCTTAACAAATGTTGATATTGATTGAATATTTTTACAATATTGATATTTCTGTTGAAATATTGATTGGTTATTCTAGCAGCAATGTTCCTTTTTACTTTCTCCAACCTCACTGTTGGGAATAACGCTAGGTTCTTTGAGGGCAGCGGTTGTGTTTTATTTGTTTTGTGTCCATAGACTCTAGCACAGTCCTTGGTACAAGTTAGGTGCTCAGTAAATATTGGTGGAAAGAAATTGAATTAGGAACTGAAAGATTTTCTCTTCCTTCCTTCTATTGGCAACAAGTTTGCGTCAGGAGTTAATGTAAAATGTCATATGTATTGACTTAACCAATACAGATTGAGCATCATTTTATATACAGCTGTTTTTCAGACTAACAGGTCTCAGATTTTTTTACTTCAAAGACCAATAACATTTTACCAGAAAAAAACTGGGAGAGAAAAATATAGAATACTCAATAATTTATTTTGCAATGTAAAGTCATTTAAAAAAATCTGCAACCTACTGTCACTATCACATGCCGTCAGTGAAAGAGCACTTAAAATTTTTTAAAAAGGGAGTAATATAATCTCCAAATAAAAGCTAGTCCTTTAAATAAATACGGTTAGCTCTACCTGCTCTTTTCTCATTTTTGCTTCAGACGGATGAAAACTTCGACATGGATGAATGTTATCCCATAGGCTGTGTGAACTTAGATGGTTATACAGCCTCCCTGAGGTATGGGTTGCTTGTCTGAAAAACAGACATTCAAAAAATGTTAGCTATTATTATTTTGTGGATGATGACATTGTTGCCTTGGAACAACCACTGTGGAAAGAAGGGTGTAAAACCTTGTCTCTCCCCTCTAAGAACCCAGCATCTAACTGAGAAGAGAAGCAGGTGATGAGACAATGCCCCATCAGCAATGTGGCCAGTGAAGACAAAACATTGTCAGAGAAGGAAGGCAGTTCGGTGGAGGGCAGGAAGCATGGCATAGGGTGGACCAGAAGACGGGTAGGTGTCAATCAGCCAGGACATAATTCCTCCTTTGTCAGGCACCTGCCATGCTCCTGGCCTGCAGCAGAAACTTAACCATCCTCTCGTTTCATCTTCATTTGAAAGCTATACAGCTGTTCCTATTATCATCCCCATTTTACAGGTGAAGAAACTGAGGGACAGGGAGGTTAAGGAACATGTCCAGGGGCACAAAGCTGGTCAGTGGCCGAGGTGGGATTCTGATCCAGTTCCCTCTGACTCAGAAGCGGGGCTGCAGTGTGGACTCAAGCATCTGCCCCAAGCTCTTGACAGCTTGCTGTGCTGCCCCTCCGGAGCAGCCTGGGCTTTCACCAGTGGCTCGGGAAAAGCCACTGGGGAGGAGTGAGCAGGGGGTGTGACCTGCCAGTGGGTGCCACAGGGAGATGGCCTATGGGACACACTGAAATCGGAGGGTCTCAAAACAAGAAGACTGACTTAGAAGAAAACAAAAAGGGCCCATTTGGTTGAAGAGTTGATGTTTAAAATGACAAGGGCTCACACATGACTGGGCTCTTTCCCGGTGGCTTGTAGCCTACACCTGGTCATTAGTGGACACTGTAACCATGTGGCTCAACCCTGGGGCATATTCCACTCAACGCCAAGCTCTAAAAATTGCCAGGGCCTGGGCCACACCCCAGACAAATTAAATCACAACCTCTGGGGTGACATCCAGCAGGGGCAGATCCAGGTTTTGTGAGAACTTCTTAATGAAAAACAGAACAAAACGAAATCACCAATTTAAAAAATTCCATGCTTAGTATTGCTTTAAAATGAGGGAAGAAATGTTACACATTACCTAGTCAGATCCCTTGGTTTAGAGATCTTTTCGAGTGTTCTAATTGCAACCTGGCTTCTTCCCCTCCATACCTAGAACACTCTAGAACTCCGAGGACCTCCCAGCACGCAGTGGGTACCATGCAATTGAGGCCTTGAAGCTTGAATCTCATTAGTGTCAAGGTAAATCCGCCTCTGGTCCAGGGCATCCATATGTTTTTAAACTCTTTCCCTGGTTCTAATGAGCAGCCTGATAGGGGACCGCTGACCTCCATATACCATGAATGCCTTCCACTGGGCAGATCTTTTAGTAAGTGGTCAATCAGCCCTCTCTAGGTTCTAACACCTCCCACTAGACAGGCACAAACCCTAGTCATGTCCACTGGGAACAAGAGCCACCATCTTGCTTCAGTCAATCATCAAATATTTATTGAAGCACCTGCTGTTGTGTTTGACCCTGGGCTGGGTGCTGTGGGCGATGGAGAGGCTCGGTTCCTCCCCTGAGATGAGCTCAGCATGGAAGAAAAGTTAAATAAAGCAGTTCCTGTTCTCCACGCACATCAGTGGTCGTGGCTATGTTTTCCTCTTCCTGGGCTGCATGTTTCTAAGCACGTGGGAGAGATTTGACAAATTCCCACTAAAATAAGTTGCATGAGACCTGTCTTCAACATGAATTTGAGCAGAGTAGATTTAAAGTGATTTTTTAAATAAATTATAACTTGAAAAGAATCTCAGTATCATTAGTCCTTAGGAAAATGCAATCTAAAATCACAACTAGATACTTCTAGATCCTTATTAGAATGACTAAACTTTTCAAAACTTCCAATACCAAGTGTTGACAAGGATGAACAATTTTAGTTTGCATATGTTGCTGATAGCAATGCAAGTTGAAAAATATATGGGCAGGCCGGACATGGTGGCTCGTACCTGTAATCCCAGCACTTTGGAAGCCCGAGGTGAGTGGATCACCTGAGCTCAGGAGTTCGAGACCACCCTGGCCAACATGGTGAAACTCCATCTCTACTACAAATAAAAAATTAGCCAGGCATGGTGGCGCACACCTCTTATTCCAGCTACTCCGGAGACTGAGGCAGGAGAATCGCTTGAACTCAGGGGGCAGAGGTTGCAGTGAGCCAAGATCACGCCACCGCACTCCAGCCTGGGTGACAGAGTGAGACTCCGTCTCAAAAAAAAAAATAAAGAAAAGCAAAAAAGAAAAATATATGGGAAGTTTCTTGTAAAGTTAAATATATGATGAAGGACCAAGCAATCCCCCTCCTAGGTATCTACCCAAAAGAAATAAAAACATATACCCAAACAAAGATGTACATGAATATTCGTGGAAGGTTATTAATAATAACTAAAAGTTGGAAACAGCCCAGATGTCCATTTGCTGGAAAATAAACTACAGTACATCCGTGCCATGAAATACCACTTAACAATAAAACAACAAACTGCTGATACACAAGGGAACATAGATGGATCTCAAAGGCATCATACTAAGTGAAAGAAGTCGCTAACAAAAAATACTGAATTATTCCATTTATATGGCATTGTGGAAAAAGCAGAATAATAGGAATAAAAATTAGATCAGTAGATTCCTGGGCTGGAGGCAGGGAAGGGTAACTGACGAGAAACAAACAAGAAAGAATGTTCAGGGACAAAAGAACCATCCAATGGCTCCCTGGTGGTGGTGGTGGTGATGTGCCTGTTGACATTTGTCAAAACTCATAGATCCATACACTTTAAAGGGGAGAATTTTCCTGAATGTAAGTTATTTTTCAAACCTAACTTTAAAAGGAAAAAGCACAAAAATCAATAAATGATCAATACCAAATTAGGACAGAAGGTATATTCTTAGAATAAGCCCAGGTTCTAGGTTAGATGATGAGGCTAAAAGAAAACAATAACCAAAGAGCTTTTTAGCTTGAAAGTGGAGGCAGCCCAGGTCTTTATTCCCAAGTACTGCATCTGCAGTGACTTGTGAACAGTCTCCATTGGTGGGCACTGCTGTAGACCAAGCTTCTGCACCTCTGTGGAGTGTCCCCGGGGCCCACCCTGTCTGCAGTTGCCCACAGTAAATAGCTGCTTGGGTTCCCTGTTGCTCGCTGTGCCCCTTTGTAGGAAGCATGTCCCAGGGATGGCCACCAGGATGCACTCCAAGTCTCCCCTGGGTCTCCATGGTTATCCCTGACCAAGGAGAGAATGCAGTGTTTCGGGTTGCACCAACCCCTCATTTTAAAACAAAAGGCTGATGAAAGGGCAGGTGCGCCCCGAGCCCTCTGTGATTAGCTGTAATTCTTGGCGGAGTTGCGACAGGCTTATTCTTCTGAATTAGCACAGAGCACAAGGCATTTACCACGGTGCTAATTGCTATTGGATGAAAACAAGCAAGTCCCAGTGTGTGGGCTTGAGGCAAGACAAAACAGATGCCAGAGCCATTCAGAGCCATGCCCTGCGTCGGGCGCAGCGCCAGTGGCTGAGAACAAGTTTGTCTAAATGTCAGTCTCCTGTGGGTAGGGTCTGGGACGTGACTCTCGCTGGGTAACTGGGCAACCACACACCCTTGTCTCTCCCCTGCAATGCACTCAGCATTCTGTTCTGTTCTTCAGATTCATATAGAGTTTGAGGGGAATAGTGCACCACATTCTAAAGCATCTCCCCCAGAACTCTGCAGAACAGAGAATTTCCTACTCCATATGGGAATAATTGTGCTCAAGCAAAACCAATTGAGGCCAAGTTTAACTCATACCACCATGCTTCTTACAAAACCCTAGTCTAGGGAAAAAAAAGGAAGAAGAGTATGATTTCAGTCATTTATTGTGGAAAAAAATGGATTTATTCACATCCTACTTTGTGTTTCTTCTTGACTTCCCACTTATCACCATAGCCATACAGAGATGGAAATACTGGGTAAATCAAATCTTCTGAAATCTTCCAAGTATAACGATGGAGGTTAATAATAGCACTAATATCACTTTCCATTTTTACCAACAGATACACTGAGAGGCGGTGATGAGGGGACATCACAAATTGAAAAAATAAATACACATCCTGGGGCCCTGAATTACTTCTCCTTTAGTTAAACATCAAACTCTGGGGAGAAAAATAAAATGAGGAAGAAGTTCACTTAATGAAAATTTGCGTATCATCTTAAAGATGAATGGAAACAGCAATGCTGAGTCTTTGAGAATCTACTGGGATAAACTGGTCTAGCCCAGCGTCCCCTCAAGGTCTAGCCCAGTCACCTCTCAAGGCTACCCCAGGCTAGACCAAGCTGCCCATGGAGGGCTTTGGCAGGCAGAGGGGTCACAGAATGCAAAGGTTTCATGGCAGGTGGTCAGGGTTCAAGAGGGAAAAGGCATCCTGTAGCAAGGAAACCACCACCGGATGTCATTGAGGCTCGTCCCTTTTGTATAAAAATGCCCCATGATTTGGTACATGTTCAATTTGTAAGACTGGGATGCTGTATAAATACAGATCTGAGCCTGGTTAGTCATCATCAGGGACGACTCCATATGCCCAAATTCCACTTCTTCAAACCGAGTCGGAAGTACTCTCCCCGCTGAAACCTAGCTGTTCCATCATAGTTGGGGGTGGCCATTTTGAAGCCTTGTGTTTCCTGTGTAAACAAGATGACCCCCAAGACCCTGTGCCCCAGACCCAAGATGAAGTTACAAAGGAAATGTGTATTCCACAGGCCCAAGGGAGAGATGGCAATTCAGTGAAGTGCTTGATGCAGCAGAAAGATGCATCAGAACCCCCTTCTCCTTCTGCCCTTCCGCTAATCCCAGGCAAACGTATCTGCCATAGATATTTTTCCCTCTTCAGTGACACCACAGCCCTGAGGCTGTCACGAAAGTGTAATCAAACCACAGGTCATGCTTGTGCTTTTTTATCACCATGCACTTGACTACAAGTGTATCCTGAATGTATACTGGGATTGGAGTCAATATATCTAGGTTCACATCTCCTTTCTGCCTTGCAGTACCCAAGTGTATTGGTATGTTTTCATGCTGCTGATAAAGACATACGCAAAACTGGATAATTTATAAAGAAAAAGAAGTTTAATGGACTCACAGTTCCACATGGCTAGGGAGGCCTCACAATCATGGCGGAAGGCGAAAGCCCTATCTTATGTGGCAGAAGGCAAGAGAGCATGGGCAAGGAAGGAAACTCCCGCTTATAAAACCGTGACATCTTTTGAGACTTATTCACTATCATGAGAACAGCACAGAAAAGCTCCATTCCCAGGATTCAGTTACCTCCCACCAGTTCCCTCCTATGACATGTGGGAATTGTGAAAGCTACAATTCAAGATGAGATTTGGGTGGGGACGCAGCCAAACCACATCACCAACTAATCATGGCCAAGCCCCTTAAGTGCTTGGAATCTGTCTTCACGTCTGCAAAATGGAGACATGTGGATGAATATTACTCCTTCACAGTAGCATTGTAAAAATTCCAGATGCTAACACCTCTCGTCATGCCTGGCACCTCCTAGCTCTTCATTTAGTTCTTGAATCTCAAAAGGGAAGTATAGATGTTATCTTGTATGTAAGTTTGCTTTCGAAAGTAATACTAAATAGAAATAATATAAACTATACTAAATAGAAACTAAATATTAACTAATACTAATTATTTAAAATGTGTAGCAGTAACATTCCATACCCACCCACAAATAAATGCAGAATATGTGATGATAGGTTTATAAAAATACTAGAATTGAGAAAAGAACCCAGTCGCAACTGCCCACTGGATACAGGCGGTGAGCATTGTCTTTGCCTATAGGACCTAAAGGTTACATTTGCATTTGTAATCACTGCCCTGCCACATTTTGATGAATGGGAGAGCAGCTAGATCTTTCTCCTGAAAAACTTCAGTCCCTTTGCTGTAAAGAGTAAGTGGTTTGTTTTCGAAACGGACTTCCCCATTGCTGTGTTTCCTCTACTCTCTGTTAGCAATGGAGAAAGTGATCAGGTTTGGGAAATTCCTGCTGGAAGATGAAATCGATCAGATGGCACCCACGCCTGGTAGCTGTTTACATTTTCCTTATTCTCCTTGGGAATGCTTGCTTTTCCCTTCAGGACCCTTTATGCTTTGACCAGCATACCTTAATGTCCCTATAGAATAGAGCCTGAACTGCTCTCCTCTATCACCAAACAAAACGTTGTGAATCGCTGCAGCCATTTTTATACAAATGCCCAGAATCTTCTATTAATGTAGGTGATCTGCATTTAGGACAGAAAACTGGCCAGGGAAATTCCAGGAGGGCTGTTGAGGTCATGGACCAGAATTTCCAGGCGATGACACAGATTTCCTCATTCCTCTTCTAAAGCATTTCTCAAAAGTACCAAATGCCCGACAGGTAGATGGGAACGGGTGAAACCACTTTGCTCCAAACTGCGTGGTCAATGCATCTCAGCTTATTCCAAGAGTCCTGGGTAGAAAATTAGCATTCACAAAAAACAAACAAAAAAACCCCCACCATTTCAGAGTTCAAGGGTGATGGAATTCTGAGAACTGTATCCAGCACCAAGTTAGGCAGCATAGAAACTAGCCCTGGCAAGAAGAAAACTGCAGCAAAGCTGACTCCAGCTGGCTCCTCCCACCAGCATGGCTCCTCCCATCAGCATGGCTCCTCCTCATGACTGCTGCTCCGCCCCAGGATTTCCAGATCCCCAGCCGATTCCGCCCTTGTCTCCACAATCAGGTGTTCCCAAGAAGTCACCAGACGAAAAAGATACTTGCACATGTGTGTTTATAGCAGCACAATTCACAGTTGCAAAAATGTGGAACCAGCCCAAATGCCCATTAATCAACAAGTAGATAAACTGTTATATACACACACACACACACACACACACACACACACGCATATATGCGCTGAGGTGCTATTATATATATGCGCTGAGGTGTTATATATATATATATATATGCACTGAGGTGCTATATATATATATAATACACACATATATATACACATATATACACACATATATATATATGTAAAATGGAATACTACTCAGCCATAAAAAGGAATGAATTAATGGCATTCACAGCAACCTGGATGGGATTGGAGATTATTACTCTAAGTGAAGTAACTCAAGAATGGAAAACCAAACATTGTTCTCATTCATAAGTGAGAGCTAAGCTCTGAGGATGCAAAGGCATAAGAATGATACAATGGACTTTGGGGACTCAGGGGGAAAGCTTGGGAAGGATGTAAGAGATAAAGGACTAGAAACTGGGTTCACTGTATACTGCTTGAGTGATGGGTGCACTGAAATCTCACAAATCACGGCTAAAGAACTTGCCCATGTAACCAAATACCACCCGTTCCCCAAATATATAGAAATAAAAAACTAAAAAAAAAAAAAGTCGGTTGTTCCTTTGTCCATGTGTCTTTGGTCTCTTCATAATAATAGAGTAGCAGAACTTCCTAAGATTCTGATTGGGAAAATCTTGGGGCATTCATCAGGAGCCTGGCATTTCTAGAATCTCCTATATGAGGGCAGTTGTGGGGAAAGTTGTAAAAGAGAAAAATGAAAAGACTCCTAAAGTTGGAAGGAAGGGGAATGAGTAGAGGATATGGGCATTAAATTTAATGGAAACCAGGAAACCCTTCATTTATTTCTGGAAATGAATACGGATACCTTGAGGGAACAGGAAAGAAAATATTAATGGAAGCCAAGGAAAAGGGAAATGAGGGATAAAAAGAAGAGGGGGAATGAATACTTGGAAATCTGATACTCAAGAAACTCACTCCCAGGCCCTTTTTTCCCCGCAGATAGAGTCTTGCTCTGTTGCCCAGGCTGGAGTGCAGTGGTATGATCTCAGCTCACTGCAGCCCCTGCCTCCCGGGTTCAAGCTATTCTCATGCCTCAGTCTCCCAAGTAGCTGGGACCACAGGCGTCTGCCACCACGCCTGGCTGATTTATGTATTTTTGGTAGGGACGGGGTTTAGCCATGTTGGTGAGGCTGGTCTTGAACTGCTGACCTCAAGTGATCTGCCCTCCTGGGCCTCCCAAAGTGCTGGGATTACAGGCGTGAGCCACTGCGCCTGGCCATCAGGGCTCTCATTTTTATAGGATGTTCTTTCCCTGTTGCTTAGCACCTTCCAGCCAGTGCCAGATAAGCACCTTTCCTTTTAATCCTGAATAATTTAATAATAGTGTAGTTGGCATACCCAGTAACAGGGGTCTAGAGTCTGTGAAGTAAGAGGTGGGACAGGAGGACTCCTGCAACTAGCAGCTCTCTGGGTCCTGTACCAATCTCTCTTGCTGCTGCTGCAGAAGGACGATGGTCTGTGACTCTGGAGGTCATACATTTATCCCTCCATTTGTAGGATCACAGGCAGAAACAGAAGCTGCTTCTGGGAGGAGAGGGACATGGACCAGGCAACATGTGGGTAGGGAGAGACAGTCAATCTAGGTGGAGAATTGGTCACCCAAGACTTCCTAGAGGCTGGGCACAGTGGCTTACGCCTGTAATCCCAACAGTCTGGGAGGCCGAGGCAGGAGGATCACTTGAGGCTAGGAGTTCAAGATCAGCCTGGGTAACATACTGTGACCCCCATCTCTTAAAAAATGAAAATAAAAATAAGTTAGCCAAGTTTAGTGGCATTTGCCTGTAGTCCTAGCTACTCAGGAGGCTGAGGTGGGAGGATCATTTGAACCTAAGAGGTTGAGGCTGTAGTGACTGCCCTCTAATCTGGGTGACAGAGTAAGACTCTGTCTCTAAATTAAAAAAAAAAAAAAGGACTTCCTGAAAGTGAATTGTAAATGTAGTTTCATTGAAAAGAGGCTATCATTGGGTTTGTTATCAGTTAGCTTTCGCTGTGTAACAAACACTCCAGACTTAAAACAACAAGCATTTTATTGATTTATCTCATGGTTCCTTGGGGTGGCTGGGATGGCTGGATGGCTAGGGTAGCTCTTCTAATCTGAACCAACTCGGTGGGTTTCTGTAGCCTGCTGGTGGCTTGGTTGGGGCTGGGAGCTCTGGGGCCCCTCACTCACATGTCTGGCAGTCGGCCAGCTGATTGGCATGGGAGGGCTTCCTCGGGGATTCTTGTCTCTGCTCCATGTAGTCTCTCATCCTCCCACAGACTAACCCCGGTTTTTTTCACATGGCAGCAGCATTCCAAGAGTGAGAGGAGCAGAAGGAAACTCAAAGACCCCTTACAATCCAGGCTTGACTCTCACACAACTTCATTTTCACTACGTTAAAGGGGTAGAGAAAAACACTCTTTTTCTTGATAAGAGGAGCTGCAAGGAATTTGTGCCTGTCTGCAATCTACCTCCTATGTTCTAGGGCCAAATCTGCTTCTGGTTGATGATGCCACCTTGGGCAACCACTTTGTCTCCTCAAGCCCTTTTTTTACCTTGTCTCATCATCTGGAAAATAAGAGACACATATTAGATCACCTCTGAGAACCCTTCTAGCTCTAGAGGAAACTGAGGCAGATAGAGGTTGAATAACTTGTAACTTGCTCCAGGTCACACAACTAGTGTGGCAGAGTTGGACTATCAGTGTAAGTTTCCTGACTCTAAAAGCCATGGCATCAGCTGCTAGGCTGTGTTGCTTCCCTGGAGTATCACAATTCTTATGTGAAGTATGGGATCACAAAATGCATTAAAACAATCTATCTACCTTAAGTCTGCTCCTTAAATTTATTCCTGTGCTTTTAAAAGGTTTTTCTTGAAACTCAAGCAATTCAACCTAATTCTCCTCCCATCTTTGTTCTCCTATAACTTTACCCATCCATCCATTCATTCTTTCATTCACAAATATTGATTAAATTCACTTAAATGTGAAAATGTGGCATTATTAATAGTCACAGTAGCCTGGCACTTTGTGTTTTTAGACTGCTTCTCTTATTTCTACTGCTTCAGTTTCATTTTCTCTGCTATATGGGTTAGTGATGTTATTATACCGTATTACAGATGGAGAAGTTAAGTCATAAAAGAATCACAGGGCTGGGTGCCGTAGCTCACGCCTGTAATCCCAGCACTTTGGGAGACCAAGGTGGGTGGATCACCTGAGGTCAGGAGTTTGAGACCAGTCTGACCAACATGAAGAAACCCCGTCTCTGCTAAAAATAAAAAATTCGCCGAGCGTGGTGGTGCATCCCTGTAATCCCAGCTACTCAAGAGGCTGAGGCAGGAGAATCACTTGAACCCGGGAGGCGGAAGTTGCGGTGAGCCGAGATTGTGCTGTTGCACTCCAGCCTGGGCAACAAGAGTGAAACTCTGTCCTAAAAAAAAAAAAAAAAAAAAAAAACAATCACAGGAATGTTTATATTTATACAAAGGAATAGTGATCAAATTGGAGTTTCACTTTTAGCTAGCCAATTTTCTTGGAAAACAGAATTCCCCTTCTGATATTTGAGTTCTCAATGAATACCTTAGGTTAAAATAATGCTTTATTAATGCTATATTTATTTTATGTTTTATAGTATTTTATTTTTAATACTTCATATAGTCCCAAATTTAAATGGTACAACAAAGTTCATAGTAAACATCATCTTCCCTCTGTTCCCCATGCTACCCAATCCTCTTCCCCACAGTCAATGTTTTTGGCTTCTTGTGCATTTTTCCAGAGATATTTTATGCACTTATCAGCAAGCATATAGACATATACCTGTAACTGTATATATATTTCTCCTTTTAGTAGTGCACAAATGGTAACACACTAGACACAAAGTTGTATTTTTTTTAGTTTAACAATATATTTTTGAAGCAATTTATTAATCTTTTATGGATACATAATATTCCACTGTATGGATTCAAATAATTTATAGAACCAGTCTCCTATTAATAGATCTTTAGGTTATGTCTAATCTTTTGCTATCCTATATAATGCTGCAGTTAATAACCTTGCACATAAATCCTTTAACAAGTGTGTGGGCATATCTGCTGCAAGAATTCTTGAAAGAGAAATTGCTAGGTTAAAAGTTAGGTGCATAGGCTGGGCGCAGTGGCTCATGCCTGTAATCCCAGCACTTTGGGAGGCCAAGGCAGGTGGATCACCTGAGGTCAGGAGTTCGAGACCAGCCTGCCCAACATGGTGAAACCCCCGTCTCTACTAAAAATATAAAAATTAGCCGGGTATGGTGGTGGGCGCCTGTAATCCCAGCCACTCGGGAGGCTGAGGCAGGAGAATTGTTTAAACCCGGGAGGCGGAGGTTGCAGTGAGCCAAGACTGCACTCCAGCCTGGGCGGCAAGAGCAAAGCTCCATCTCAAAAAAAAAAAAAAAAAAAAAAAAAAACCAGATAGGTGCACCACTAACAAAGAACATGCCTAGCACCCGGATCTTGGTTTCTAAATACTATTCTCTACTTCAATGGAAAATGGCCCATTCCAGGACAGAAGCTGGGAAAACAGAAGATGAACCTGGGACATCTTACTGTGCCAGAAAGTAAGGAAATGCTCACGGAAAAATGGGGACATGTCAGAAGACACACATCAGGAGCAAGAATGAAGGGGTCCCAACTGGCCAAGCGTGCATCAAAATAAACATCGATAGTAGCACAGTATAACTCATTAAATCCATGAGTCCATGCTGATATAAACAGGATATTTCCAGAGTCTCAAAATATCTCCCAAAAAGATACTTACCAATTACAAAAAGGACAATAGAAACCTAGCAGACACCACTCTAACCAAGCAATCGAAATGGCATCACCAGTATTGGGACAAACTGACATATGGTGCACATAACGTCAATTCCATGTTATTTTTGTCAAAAATGCATACCCTGAATCTAATCATGAGGAAACATCAGACAAACCTAAAATGAGGGATATTCTTCAAAATAACTCACCAGCGCTCTTCAAAAATGTCAAGGTCCTGAAAGAGAAAAAAAGGACTAAAGAATTATTCCATGCTAAATGAAATTGAAGAGACTTGACAACTCAGTACAATGAATGATCTTAGATTGGATCCTGGGAAAGGAAAAAAAAAATTTATTTTACGGTTAAGGACAATAGTAAAGCAGTTGAAAAAATTTGGATAAGATATACAAATTAGGTAATGGTATTATAGCAATGTTAATTTCTTGATTTTGACAACTTTTCCATGGTTATTTAGCAGAATGTTTATAGAAAATTGTCAGAGTTAACATCATTGGAAAAATAATGCGTGTGCATATAATATACATGCACATAAATATTATAATTCAAATGTGATTAAAATGTTAATGTTTAGACAATCTGGGTATATAGAAATTCTCTTCACTATTTTTGCACCTTTTCTATAATTTTGAAATTATTTTTTTACGTTCAAAGAAAATACATGTGCATTTGAAATTTTGATAGATTTCATCAAATTGCCTGCTATAGAAACTGCACATTTTCTCTGCCACTGCCAGCAATGAACAAAGGTGGCACTTCATATTTACAAAATGCATTCGTATATTACACCAGGAGAATTTATTACTACTCCAAGAAATCGAAAAAGGTATTTTCTCCATTTTACATAACTGAAGCTTCAAGAAGCGTAGACAGTAAGAGTAGTGGTTAAGAACATAGGCTTTTGAAACAATAATTATATGCTATTTCACCCCAATCAGACTGGCAAACATTATAAAGTTTGAAAATACCGAACGTTGGCAAGGATGTGAAGAAATGAATAATCTTACAGTGTGTTGGAGGGAGTGTAATTTAGTACAATCATTTTGGAGAGCAATTTAGCAATATCTAATAAAGTTGAAGACATGCACATCCTGCAACCCAGGAATCCCACATCTAGCTGTGTTTCCTAGGGAAACGCTCACACGTGTGTACACACACACATACACAGTCATGTTCCCCGCGCTGTGACTTGTAACAGTGAAAAACAGGAGACAACCTAAATGTCAAGCCATTGTGGTATATTTATTCTCACACAGTTAAAATAAAGGAATTGAAACCGTAGCTCCAACATAGAAAAAACTCAAAAACTTAACGTTGAGTTTAAAGAAAACAGATTGCACAAGAATTTGTACTTTTATGTAGTTTTCTTCAAGTGCTATATATTATTTATGAGACTACTCAGGTACATGTAAGAAAATGTAAACTCTTACCCGGGAACGGCATGGCAGCAATCTCAGTAGAATGGTTATTTGGGGGAAGAAGTGAGAGAGAAAGAATTGAGAAAGTCTAAAAGAAAGATCCATCTCATTTATACCATTTTATTGTCCAAAAGCATAGATATAAAGCAAAGGGAGAAAATATTAGCAGTGATCAAAATGGAGTTCTAAATATATAGGTCTTTATTAGGTTATTCTCTGTACTTTTCCAAATGCTTAAAATATGTCATAGTGGCCGGGTGCGGTGGCTCACGCCTGTAATCCCAGCACTTTGGGAGGCTGAGGTGGGCGGATCACGAGGTCAGGAGATCGAGACCATCCTGGCTAACATGTGAAACCTCTTCTCTACTAAAAATACAAAAAATTAGCCAGGTGTGGTGGTGGGCGCCTGTAGTCCCAGTTACTCGGGAGGCTGAGGCAGGAGAATGGCGTGAACCCGGGAGGTGCAGCTTGCAGTGAGCCGAGATTGCACCACTGCACTCCAACCTGGGAGACAGAGCGAGACCCTGTCTCAGAAAACAAATATATATATATATATATATGTCATAGCAAAATAATAGGGAACGATGAATATAAGCCTTGAAGTCAAATAATTCTGGGCTCAAATCTTTTCCAATGCTTGCCAATTGTGTGATATTGGATGATTCCCTTAACATCTCTGGACCTTAGTTTCACCATGTTTTGAATAGAAATAAGAATGCTTGTTTGAAAAGCTGGTGTCAAGACTGAATGTGAAGATATATATTAAACCCTGGCACAATGCCCCTAAAAGGTGCTTAAAAAATAGTAGTTACTACTGTACTCCAGTGGTTCTTAATGGGGACATTTGGCAAAATCTGGAGACCTGTTTGGTTGTCATAACTGGAGGGTGGGGAGATGCTACTGGCATCTGGAGGCCAGAAATGCTGCTAAACATTTTACAGTGCACAGGACAGCCCACACACCCAAAAAATATTTATTCAGTCACAAGTATCTACTGTTGAAGTTGAGAAACCTTCCTATAGCCGAAGGTCTCCCAGAACTTGACCCAGGCCACTTTACTCCCACTTAAGTGCTCTTGCCTGTATAACCAACCTGTAAGGTTGTTAGGCCTTGGCCTTTCTTCTAAATTATTATAGGATTAATAACTAATTATGGGTATTTACCCTCCTTTCAGCCAATCAGTTTCACATTGGGTAAAACCTACCATCTTACTGAATAGAAGAACTGCTTAGCTCACGAAAAGTTTTCATAAATCGTTCTTGAATGAATGAATGAGTCAATCAATCAACCCATCAATGAGTACAAATACAAACTCTGAAATCATAAAGACCTAGTCACTCTTCTTGGCTTGCCTTCTCTGACTTCCCATTCATTTGAAATGAGGTTGTATTCAGTTTTCACTCTCTTCTAACAGGGGATCCAAACAAATGAGTCAGAAGTTCTCAGAGCTTCATATCCCATGTCTGAGGGGGTCTTCTATTATAACAATTCAGAGTCAAGTCCATGGGCTAATCTTCCAATGGCCCTTGTCAAGACACATCTGAAATTTGCTGAGACACAGAACTCTTCAGCTTAAACTGACAATGGCGACACAAAGTCAAGTGAGGTATTGACCTAGAAATGATGACCATATTTATAACACCTCAATCTAGTTTGACTCTAGAACAGCTTGTGGAAAGCATGTACTGTTGTTTTGATACAGTATCAGGAATATGTACCAAAAATAGTTTTTTGAAACTATTTACTTTTTGCTTTGTTATAGACTCTGATTTGGGGAACCCAGACGTTGTGCTTGTTAACAGGACAACTTTGAGTCCTTGCTATCTTCATCTTCACCCTCGATTTGGAGAAGGTAGGTGCCGTTTCTTTCTGAATTCATTTTTTCTAGTGTTTGTTTTGGCAACACTGAAGTTCTCACCAGTTGTTTCAATGATATAAAAATTATCCACATCATTATAATTATATTATAATTTAGATAGTATCATTATAATGCATTTGGATGATAATCCAAATGCATTCTAGTTCCTACTTACTTGTGTACATGTCCAACAGGACTTGATGGAGAGGAGATTCACCAAATGAAATGGTACAAAGGGCACTATGATTAAATGTTGCTTATCATCCTAACTTTGTACTTGTGACTGAGTGACCTTGAGAAAGTTACTTGATCCCTCAGTTTTTTCATCTGCAAAATAAGAAATTCAAACTGGATTATTTTGAAGGTATTTCCCTAAACTCTTTACATTGCACCCTTGCAAAGACTGAGAAACACTGATTTAAAGCAATGATTTCCAAAAGCATGGTGGACAGGCCATCTGCTCCCATCACTGGAGTGCCTGCTAAAAACTTCCTCATCCCAGATCTACCAAGTCAGAATCTCTGAGGTTGTAGAACAGAAATCTGCTTTTTTTGAAGTCTCCAGGTGATTGGGATGCTCAGTAATATTTGAGAACCGCCATCGTAAACATTGAAAACATCCTATTGTTCACATGTACATTCAATTCTATAAAACGTGATGAGCTAGGCCTGCACCATGCAGAAACTGGCAGAAACTACAAATAGAATCATCTTCTATTTGTAGAAAATGTAGCAAGGTCAGCATCTGATGGCTGTATTACCTTTTGATTCCTGGCTCTGTAGTCCTCTACTCGATACTTCATTGGCAGATCTAGTTGTCTGGTGTAGGCTCATTGGCTCTGCCTCCCTTGACTGCAATTGAATGACAGCAAAATTGTTTTGGAAGTGACCACTGAAGAATGGCATCTCCTCCTAGACGATGTTCGAGCGTGATCTTGTCAGTCTGTGTCACTCCCTGAGATGTCATGGTCATCGCCTCCTAATTTGCAATGAGCTTTGCCGTCGCTATTTTGCTATGTAAAGTTGGGCTTTGCTCCTCAGGGTGTCATCACTGTGAAATGACTAAGGGAATGTGAGTCCTAGGAAATCATGTTTGTATGTGCAACCAAGACGGCAGACTCCTAGAGAGAAGGGGCCATGCCCAGAGACCCCAGATCAAACAGCACCAGGCCATGTTCAGAGCTCTGGGCTGTGAATCAGAAAACCACTCAGACCATGCTGTATCCAGTTCAGTAGCCAGTACAGGATTATGTGGCATTTCAGGCTTTGCAGATTGTGTGCCTAAACCCTCAAGGAATCACAGGGACCCCTAAAAAGACTTACGTCTTTAAGGAAAACTAAATCCTGGCTTTGAAATACAAACAGTGTCTCCCAGTACTGCCTACAGAGACTCCCTGCCAGGATCAGTCTAATTGCTCAGTGGGGTGACTGTTACTCTTCTCCAGGGCTTCAGCAGACATTATTTTCTGGCATCAAATAAAGGGAATTGGAGCCTTAAGAATATAGTGTTGCTGTTGTCTACTGTGGACTGGATATAAAACTCTTCTCCCAAATCACAGGCAAGGCATTGTGTGTGATCTGTCAGGTAAAATACTAACAAGTGCCCCTTCATGAGATAACCACTCACCCATAAAGAGCATTCCATACAACACCCAGTGCTGGCTGGGGATGGATGTGGGCTTTATTTGATTTGGGGTTGATTTATTTGTTTACCTTGTTTCTAGAACAGCATAACTTGGATTTAATGTCTCAAATACTGAATCCAATACTTCTAGGTTCACTGGCTTGTTATCATTTAGCATTTATGAAGTATATGTCAACGCCCTTGGCACTTTACAATGACTCATAAAAAGGTATGATCCTAGCCGTTGAGCATAAGGTTGCTATCAGTTGAATTACTGCCAATGTGGAAACAATCTCAGGACTGATCTGGATATTCTTTGCCGGCTAGTCACCCTGATTCCTCATTGCATCTGGGCCCAAACAGAAGTACAATAGCTGCTGCTACCATTTTGATGTTCGTATCTCAGTGCAATAGAAAGTGCATAGTTCCTGACACTAGGGAAAGGCTTAGCAAACATGGATGGATGGGTGGATGGATGGATGGATGGTGGGTGGGTGGATGGATGGATGGATGGATGGATAGATAAACAGGTGGATGGAGACCTCTTTCCTCAGTAGACATCTCTCATATTCTATTTCCCCTTCCACCTGCAGCTTTATTTATGTGTCTTACAAACCTTGCAGTTATAGAGCTAGTTTACTTAGAAATAAACTATTACTTAAGTGACTTTTTGCAATGAAGATGAGATCAATATTTCTATGAGACAAAAACATGATGAGAATCTGATTGCATAAAATCATATAAACTGGTTGTGAATATTACATCGATGTCAATTTCTTGGTTTTAATATCCTTCTAGACTTATATAAGATGCTGCCATTGGAGGAAGCTGGGTGAAGAGTATAGGGGATTCTGTACTATTTTTGCAACTTCCTGTGAATCTATCATTATTTCAAAAAAGAATCCCATGATTCTTTCCCATCAGCCTCACATCTTTGTAGTCACACCTCACTGACTACACTTTTCAGTTACTAACCCCTCCATGAATTATTAGCAATTCCAGTTGTGTCAGTTCAGAACCTCCAACAAGCAGAAGCCAAAACAATTAGACATGCAAGAGATGTATTGCAGGAAATTTACAGTGAATCATAAAGTGAAAGGGCGCTGGAGTGGGCAGGGAGAGCTTCAACCTGCTACACAAGTCCAACACCTGTGAAAGGATAGTGGGAAGGATGGATCCGGTAAGAAGTGCCTCAGACCATGTGTATGTAATTCAGAGAAAAATCTCACCTGGGCCAATGAGAAGTCCCCAAGCAACCATTGCCTGTTAGAGGAGTCCCACAGGGTTGGGAATGGAATGCTGCAGTTCTGGTACCCCCACTGTTCTCAGTCATTACCTGGAACAGGCTGGGAGTGGCGTGGCCTGGAATGAATGCTGGATGGATCCAAATGTGCAAAGACAACTGCAGGCTGCCAATCAGCTCTGCTTCCAGAGCAGCTTATCTTAGATGGAGATTTGAACTGGACACCTCCAAGGCCAGTATTAGCAGGCAATTTTTTTTCTCTTAGTCTTCTTGCATTTCTAACCTGCCTTTTAAGGACCTTAACTCCTTCTCCCTCTGTTGGCCACATAATCAATCTCCCAAACCAGAGTGACATCCACTCTGTGTCTTCTGTCTCTGCTCCTTGCCTACACAGTGCATTATAAAGAAAATCGTAGAACCGGCTGGGTGTGGTGGCTCATGCCTGTAATCCCAGCACTTTGGGAGGCCGAGGTGGGTGGGTCACGAGGTCAGGAGATCAAGACCATCCTAGTTAACCCGGTGAAACCCCTTCTCTACTAAAAATACAAAAAAAAAATTAGCCGGGCGTGGTGGCAGGCGCCTGTAGTCCCTGCTACTAGGGAGGCTGAGGCAGGAGAATGGCGTGAACCTGAGAGGCGGAGCTTGCAGTGAGCCGAGATCATGCCACTGCACTCCAGCCTGGGTGACAGAGCGAGACTCCATCTCAAAAAAAAAAAAAAGAGAAAGAAAGAAAATCATACAACCAATCCAACTGATGCACCATTTGTGTGTTCTCCAAGATCAGGTGGTCCTCAGGGTTCCTTGGTGTATTTAACTTTCTCTTTCCATTGATTTCATTTCTCACAGTCTTTATTGCAACCCTGTTCTCCTTTCATTACACCCACACTCTTGCTGTTTTCTGGACGTAGCCTTCCCTCATGAACTCCCTAAGTATTCCTCACCTCCCTGCTCCGTATCTGTAGGTTTCTTGATTCTCTCCTTCTTTCTTTACATCTCAGCCAGGCCACGGAGGAGTCCTTGAGCAAACGTTGCCTGTTAGAGGAGTCCCATGGGGTTGAGGGTGGAATGGTGCAGTTCTAGCACTTTGCCGTGCTCAGTCATCGCCTGGAACAGCCTGGGAGCAGCATGACCTGCAATGAATGCTGGGTGAATCCAAAGGTGCAAAGACAGCTGGAGGTTGTCAATCAGTTCTGCTTCCACAACTGCTTTCCTGCTCTGCTTTCTCTGCTGGAGAAAAGGTCATTCTCTCTAAGCTCCCCTCTCTTTGGACTCCGGTGGCCTTCCGCCAGCATACTTTGGTTGCATTGGTTGTTCCTTTCTCTCTCATGCATTTTCTTTCTCTCTGCTCCACTGGAGTCTGCCCGTTGGTCTATGAACATTGGCTCCTTTATCCTCTGCTAGACTTTCTCTGGCTCCTTCCGCCCCTTTAACCTGTCCTGACGTCTCTCTTCTTTCTTCATCGTCAGTCCATGTGACCGATGTTTCTACATTTGCTGCTCCTCCCCTTTCTCACCGAACACTCAGCCGTAGCCCGTCTCCTCCCACCCTGAGCTTTTGAAGCTGCTTCTGCATGGGGCTCTGACTTCCTTCTTGAACTTAAACTCCCAGTGCCCCTGTGCATCTCACCAGGGCCTCATATTCTGTGCCTGCACTTCCGCCCCCATATTCCCTTCTTCTCCCAGCTTTCCTATTTCTCTTCATGAGACCCCCACGGCCTGTTAGCCATTCAGGTTAAACTCTTGCAGTCAACTTGACTTCCATACCCACTGCTCTACCTGTTCTGCTTCTACAGGGTCTCTGTCAGCTTCTCCGTCCCCATGCCACTACCCCAGCTCCAGCCGTCAATGCCTGCCCTGCACATTCCTGTAGGCCCCTCTACATTGGCCTTTCCACCTCAAGTCTTTTCTTCTTCCAGGCCCTCATACTCATGGATCACAGTTTTATTTTCCTAAAAGCATAGCTTTCATTATGTCCCTTTTGTGTTGAAATCCTTCAGTAGCCCTGCATTTTATACTCAACAGCTTCCTGCCCAGCAGCTAAAAATAATCTCTTCCCAGCTAAACTGCCATATTTTTTCTGGATGTTTTTGTTTGAGCAGTTATTACTGACTGGCTAATTCCCCAAGCTCCCTCCCCACCCCTCACTGACCCCCAAAGACATAAAGAGGTGTGTGTGTTTGTGTGTGTGTGTGATGTGTTATGTGTGTGTGCATGGTGTGTGCGTGTGTGTGGTGTGTATGTGTGTGTTCATGGTGTGTGTGTGGTGTGTGTGTGTGCATGGTGTGTGTGTGGTGTGTGTGCATGGTGTGTGCGTGTGTGCGGTGTGTATGTGCGTGTGCATGGTGTGTGTGTGGTGTGTGTGCATGGTGTGTGCGTGTGTGCATGGTGTGTGCGTTTGTGTGCATGGTGTGTGTGTGTGTGGTGTGTATGTGTGTGTGCATGGTGTGTGCGTGTGTGGTGTGTATGTGTGTGTGCATGTGTGTGTGTGGTGTGTATGTGTGTGAATGTGTGTTTTACTCTTGTCCCTAACCTAATCTATCTGTTTTTCATTTGGAATATCCAGCCTTCCAGAAAGAATGAGAAAGAAGAGCATTCTTCTGGGTTCTACTCATCTGGGGTCACGGTGTAGCGACTAAGACCAAGGTTCTGGGATTATAATGATTCACTTCTCTGAGCCTCAGTTTCCCCATCTATAAAATAGGCTAGTAATTGTGCATATGCCATGGGATTATCATGATGACCAAATAAGGTAATACACGTAACAGATTTAGAGCCACGCTTGGCCCCTAACAGTGCTCCGTGCTCGCTGTTGTCATTATCATCATCGTTATCGTTTTATCACACTTGTGGTGTAACATTATCCACAGCTTAGTGATTCACTGTTTAGCAAGAGAGACTAACTTGGGGACTGTACACAGTTGGTGAGTTAGTACCCATAGTACCCTCACTAAGACTTTGGGCTAGTCATTTTTGGTACTTTGGATTATCTGTGAGAGGTCTCAGAGGATTCTGAAACCAAGAGTCTACATTATTCCTGGTAAGAATAGACACTTTTTTGAGTTTTAACTGCCCGTAGTTTAATGTAGCAGCTTCTGCTACTGGACAACTGCAAGCCAAATTGAAGAAGAAAATAAATTCTTCTGACACAGAGATCGCTGGTCACCCAAACAAATAATGGTACACATGACTCAGATTGCAGATGAGACCAGGAGCTGGCAAAGATAGTAAAAGATGAAATGTAGGAGGGAGGAAGGGCTGTATTGAAGGAAGGGAAAAAAGAAGAAATTTGAAATATAAAAGTTGACTCTAACAATTCACATATTAAAATGAGGGTAGCTGGGCACGGTGGCTTAAAGGCTCACACTTGTAATCCCAGCACTTTGGGAGCCTGAGGCGGGCGGATCATGAGGTCAGGAGATGGAGACCATCCTGGCTAACGCGGTGAAACCCCGTCTCTACTAAAAATACAAAAAAATTAGCCAGACGTGGTGGCGGGCACCTGTAGTCCCAACTACTTGAGAGGCTGAGGCAGAAGAATGGCGTGAATCCAGGAGCTGGAGCTTGCAGTGAGCCAAGATCGCACCCCTGCACCCCAGCCTGGGTGACAGAGCGAGATTCCGTCTCAAAAAATAAATAAATGAATAAATAAAATAAAATGAATGTTGACACTGGACAACTAGATGGTTATTCATTGTGATTGTAATTAATGCCACTGAATTGTAAAATTAAAAATGGATAAAATAGCAAATTTTATGTTATATAAATGTTACCACAACAAAAAATAAACACACACACATCCACAAAAACTGAACGGCTAGAATATATAGCAATTGATAACATCTTGTTTCAGGAATGTTTTATTACATGACAGATATGCTTATGTCAACTTAGTGTTCATTGAGCATCTACTGTGTACAAGCACCATGCTTGGTATATCATGATATGTGGCTATTTTATGTATTAGTACTCAGGGGATACATTACTTTGATGAAAACATGTTATTGTACCTGAAAGGGTAAGAAGCTATCAGTGCAACCATATCACAGACTTGTGGGGAAAGTACACCTGCCTTCATTGAAAGAAAAGAAAAATAAGGACCTGGTTTCAGAATCATTTGAAAAGTACCTTCTGCATTACATAGACAACACTGAAGTATGAGCCAACTAGCACCAACAGTGTAGGAAGTTGCTGTCATCCTTTACATCCATGCTGACACTTGTTATTGTGAGACTTCAATGTTGGCCAAGGTGGTAGTTGCGGGAATGGTCCCTCGTTATGATTTTAATTTGCATTTCCTTAATTGCACTGATTGGTCTTTTGAATTTTGTGTGTGTGTGTGTGTGTGTGTGTGAAGTGCCTGTTCAATTCATTTGCCCATTTTTCTTTGAGTTAACTGGGTTTTTTTTCTTACTTATATGTCAGTACTATTTGCTGAAGATACAACAGTAGAATTTTCACTAATGAAATTTTAAAACCTAAGGAAATCTTAGTATAGTGTGACAAAATCTCTGATATGGTTTGGCTGTATCCCCACCCAAATCTCTTCTTGAATTGTAGCTCCCGTAATTCCCATGTGTTGTAGGAGGGACCTGGTGGGAGATAACTGAATCTTGGGGGCGGTTTCCCCCATACTCTTCTCGTGGTAGTCATGAGATCTGATAACTTTATAAGGGGTTTCCCCTTTCACTTGGCTCTCATTCTCTCTTGCCTGCTGCCATGTAAGACATGCCTTTTACCTTCTGCCGTGATTGTAAGGCCTCCCCAGCCATTTGGAACTGTGAGTCTGTTAAACCTCTTTTTCTTATAAATTACCCATTCTTGGGTATGTCTTTATTAGCAGCATGAGAACAGACTAATACAATCTCCTTTAATAATAGCAAGAAAAAATTAGAGAATTATTTTGATAGCCTCTTTTTGCAAATGGCTTCAAAGAAAGTAAGTTAGGGACATTTTCTTCAAACAAGTTACTAACTTTAGAGGCAAAAACATGTAGGGGAATTATCAGCATTCCCCATACATCCACTGAAAATGTGTCTGCAAGTACAAGGCCATCTTTAAGTGGCAATAATGCAACTGAAATAGATTATTCAAGGAAAGGAGGCGTATTATTGAGGTCAGTGTGACCACTGACACTTGTGAGCTTGTCTCTGAAGAACAAAACACTGAGCACAAAAGTTTGAAGTGAATGAAAACGTATCTAATTCCCAATCTAATGAAAATGCCTTGGGCGCTGGGCCAGAGAATAGATTTGGACCACAGACTGGACAGTTTTTTTAGGGTCTTAAATTTAAATTACTTGAATTATTTTTAAAATACCATCCTGCTCAGTCTTTTGGAATAAAAACATGTTTTTCAATTAAAAAAAAACTTCAATATAAGGATCGAATGCAACTTCTTTGACGTTACTCATGTGGTCTAGAAAAGCAGACGTTCCATTCTAGTGCATACTCAGCACATAGGGGAGACATCCAGTATAGCCTCCATTGAGCCACAACACACACGTGCACGTGCACACACACACACACACACATACATTCTCCACATACAGGCACGTAGACACACAGACACATACACAGGACATACACACATGCACATATACACACAGACACATTTTATACACAGTACACACACACATGTACACACAGACACATATACACGGTATCTACACACACACATAGACACATAGACACATATACATATTATACCCATACATACACATATACTCCACATACAGGCACATAGACACAAAGACACATTATATGCACAGTGCACACACACACATGAACATATACACACAGGCACATTTTATACACAGTATACAACCACACACACATACACACTCTCCACATACAGGCCCTTATACACACACACATATCATATGTACAGTATACACACACATATGCAAACATTCCACATACACGCACATAAACACACACACATATTGCACAGTATACACACACACATATATACACACAGACACATTATATACACAGTACGCACACACACTCCACATACAGGCACATAGACAAACACACACATTTTATACACAGTATACACACACACTCCACATACAGGCACATATACACACACACATTATATATACAGTATACACACACTTATACACTCCACATACAGGTACATATACACACACACATTATATACATAGTATACACACACTCATACACTGCACATACAGGCACATAGACACACAGACACATTATATACATAGTATACGAACACACACACTCCACATACAAGCACATATACACAGACACATCATATACACAGTATACACACACTTATACACTCCGCATACAGGCACATAGACACAGACACATTATATACATAGTATACAAACACACACACTCCACATACAAACACATATACACAGACACATCATATATGCAGTATATACACACTCATACACTCCGCATACAGGCACATAGACACACAGACACATTATATACATAGTATACACACACACGTATACTCCGCATACAGGCACATAGACACACAGACACATTATATACATAGTATATGAACACACACACTCCACATACAGGTACATATACACAGACACATCATATACACAGTATATACACACTCATACACTCCGCATACAGGCACATAGACACAGACACATTATATACGTAGTATACAAACACACACACTCCACATACAAATACATATACACAGACACATCATATACGCAGTATATACACACTCATACACTCCGCATACAGGCACATAGACATACAGACACATTATATACATAGTATACACACACGCGTATACTCCACATACAGGCACATAGACACACAAATACGTTATATACACAGTATACACACACCTACACAAACACTCCACAAACAGGCACATAGACACACAGACACATTTTATACACAGTATACACACACACATGTACTCCACATACAGGTACATAGACACACAGACACATTTTATACACAGTATACCCACACACATGTATTCCACATACAGGTACATAGACACACAGACACATTATATACACAGTACACACACACTCCACATACAGGCACATAGACAGACACATTATATATGCAGTACACACACATACACATACACTCCACATACAGGTATATAGACACACAGACACATATGCACATTATATACACACACGCATATAGGCACACAGACGTGTCACATACACATATATACATATACATCCACACTGGCACTCAGTGCCTGAAAACCTTGAAGCAAATACACACATACATGAAGGAGTATAAAGGGACATAACTTCCTCTGGGGACACTAAATATTACTTTACAAAACTTCTACAACCCTCAGTTTCTCAACCAGTCAAGAATGAAAGAATCATTTTAGAATTACTAGTTTGTATAAAACTTTATTATATAGGAACCGAAGTCAGTTGCAAGTTTTAAAAGTGAAAAAGTGTACCCTAAATTGCTGCTTATTTTAAGCACATCGTATCTAAAGAATATGTAGACTTGCTTTAAGATACGAGCATTTAGAAGGACATTGTGTTATCATGGCTCTCTCCTTTTTTAAATACATATAGATGAACAGCAAATAGAGATTAATCAAGAGATATGTTCAGCTGGGAAAGACCCCCTTCATTATGAGGCTATGGTCATGGAGGAGACAGCTTCCAAAAGCCTGGCCCACCCAGCACCTCGGGGTTCGATGGCTGGCGATGACCCAGCTGGCTGTTTAGGAGCGCAGTCAGCCTGGATTCTGAACCATTACCCACAGACTTCTGATCCTGAGTCTTGTGTTCATAGCTCCAAACCTGGATGGGGACAGAGACCTCATAGATATGTGACTTATGTGCGTTTCATTGGCCAAGCCTCATTCTCCCAAGCTCCTGGCCAGGAGGGAAGAGCTAGTCTCCAGCACTCACCTGATGCTGCCAGCCATGCTTGGTGTTCAGGATGGTTCACTCCTGGCTCATAATGCCTCGGCTCTCTCCTAAAAGGTCACAACTCTGCGGCTTGGAATCAACAGACATGTAACTGCCCTGTCATCTAGTGAAGCTCCTCTGGCCAAAGTGCCACCCTTGTTGGAAGCATAACCAAGAAACCTTGGCTGGGACCCTGGGACTGCTCACAGGAGTGGAGCTTCCTTACTACATCCTAAGAGAAGGAAACAGGGGAATGGCCTCTGTCCTGTGGAATAATCTCTGTGCACATCCCACAGCAGCCCAAGGCCCACATCTCACTGAAGTATAGCCTATCATGGTCCACGCCCAAGGACTCAACCCTCTTAAGGTTCCCAGACCTAAAGAGGCAGGACAAGTTCATCTGTCATCTCTTCTCACCTTCTAGGACCCTTACTCTTACGCTTTCACTTCTTCAATTACTAAGAGTTTAAAGTAGTTGAGGTGTGGCCCAGCTACCCTCTCTGCTCACCTCAAGAACACCTAGATCAGTACTAGGGGCTACAATCTGATGAGTTTCCATGGGGTTCTGGAAGGGCCCAGGTAGGGGCCAGCTCTGGACCATACAAATTCCTCCTAACTCCCCATGACAGCCTCCCCAGAAGGAGCCCTACGTCTTTGGAACAACATCCTTGGACACCATCTTTGCTTATTTACATAACCTACCTCTCATTTGAGGCCATCTCATTATTATGACTTATTCATCATCTATTTTTTTAAGGCATCATCTATTTATTCATCCAACATGCCTGGATTGAGTGTCTGCTGTTTGCCTGACACAGTGTTGAAAATTTGGAATGTGGGCCCCATGCAGTGGTTCATGCCTGTAATCCCAGTGCTTTGGGAGGCCAAGGCAGGAGGATTGCTAGAGCCCAAGAGTTTGAGGCTACAGTGAGCTATGATCACACAACTGAACTCCAGCCTGGGTGACAGAGCGAGACTGTATTAAACAAAGAAACAAACAAAAAAACAGAAAAGTGGGGATGTGAAGATGAATAAAATATAGTTCCTTTCCTCAAGGAGCTTACATCTTGCAAGAGGAGACAGATGAGTAAATCAACAATGAGAGGGCAGTGTGGTGACTGCTATGAGTTTTGGGGGAAATGTAAGCGCAAGGTTCTAAATTAGTTATCATTGTCCATACAAGTGGAGTTTGACCACCCATCCTCCCTTCACAGAGTTTCCAAGAATAGGTTGCTGAGATCACCAGTTTCTCTGGTCAAAGCTATATAGAGCTGGGCTCTGTTAATATAGGTGGCTTTGACCTCCACCTGCAATTGTAAGCCCCCACTTCTGCTCCAAATCTCCCCCAGGTACTCTGGGGAGTGAACTGGGAAAGGGGATGTCACATGTGTTCACATCAGTCTTCTCAACCCCTGCTGGTTTCTAAGTCCTCTGCCATGTATCAGTCTTTGTGAGGGTGCCCCATCCTGCTCTGTCCCTGCTGCTGGGAGATCTCCTGGTTGCTGTCCGTGCAAAGGCAGTCTCTCCTGTCCTTCCTCAAGCTGGTGGCATCACTGTGTGCCAACATCTCCCTGCTGCCATAGTTGGTGATATCACAGGTTCCAGTCACTAAGGGATCCCGCTGGACATGGGGCTGGTATGGCCATGAGCACAGGTGTCTGCTTCGGGTTGAAATTCCCTCAATTCCACTTTGTCATTTTCACCTTTGGCATTTCCACAGCCTGGAAACTCCTCCATAGCTGGGAAAGAATCTCTTTCCTTGACTGTTATGCCATAATCAGTTGCCTTGTTCCCAAAGCCCTTCTGGCCCCCATGTCCTGTCCCTCGAAGAGGCTTTGTGTGAAAATCATTCTCGAATCTTTCACTTGTCACTGGGATTCAGCCTGTGTGCTGGGATGTGGCTTGGAGGATGGAGGAGAGAAGGATAATCTGTCTTCTTCACAGTGGAAGGCGTCCTGTACCCCAAATCCGCCCACCCCTTTGATTACTGTGTCATCCTTCTTAAGTCAAGCCTGTGTGTCTGACCCTCTCCTCAGGATGAATACTCTTCTAGAATCCTTCATCTGCCACTCAAAAATATTCCCAAAAACCCTCCTCCGATGGACCAGTGCTGCCACTTCCCATCCTTGCAAAGGCCAAACTTGCTTTCCTGCAAATCCCACACTAAAAAAGATCTAAGATCCCAAGTCCTGATTTCACAAGCCTTTCTTTGAAAGGAGGGCTGCCTAGCATGGTGCATGATCCCCAAGGGCTCCTGGCCATCAGTGTACCATTCTTAAAACAGACCTCACATCCAACTGAGACCAAGCACTTGAGGCGTTCTCTACCGGCATTCTCTACCATCTCTGAACCTCCATGATGTCACTTCAGTGACAGCTTCTCCAGCTTCTTAGAAAACATTTATTATTATTATCAATTCCAAATAAGTAACATGGTTGCTGAATAATTAGATTCTGGGTGGGTGATCTGTTGCGTAAGTCCAAATTAAGCCACTGAACAGACTATACACACACACACACACACACACAAAACGTGTTGGATACTTATGTGTATTTGTTGTGATTTTTTGTCTATGTCTATAGCGTGGTGAAATCACTGAAGCAAAACCCCGATGAAAGCAATTCACAATTTAGCCTTTACCGTCATATGGAAATGTCAGTTCCATCTAGCAACGAGAATATTACAGGGATGTTCAATATAAAATGCAAATATAATAGCTTAGTGGGTTGGATATGTCAGCTGTGTTTCACTTAAACCTATTACCTTGGCAGATTAAATATAGGTACAGATCTTTCACAAGGAGGATATTCTGATGAAGTTACATCTGATATCAGCCTTTGTGGATCCTCAGTTTGATTGGCTATGAGTACAATGAGGACAAAAATGGGTGAAGAATAGAGAGTGAGTGGGACACAGCCATGGAGAAATAGAATTTGCCTGTTGCCTCCAGACCTTCCAATACCCACTAAGAAATATTGTTCTTTGCTGAAGCATGAGCAATTTATAGCAAAGATTTATCTCTTATGTGATGAAGTGGACGAAGGGACACCCATCCCACCAGGCCTATATAACCACTTCAAAATGTTGATACCTGCTTATATAACCCAACTTAGCTGAGCAGAGGTGAGCCAGCCTGAGCTGTGCCACTAGCTCCAATCTTGGTGCTTCTGTAGCTGTCTGGACCACTCAGCTCTCCTGGCTGAACTGCACAGTGGTAGACCCTACTCATTTAACCACACACTCCAGCCTCTGACCTCCTTTTCACTGTCAGGACCCACTAAGTCCATTGTGATTTGTCTTGCTATTGCCACGTCCTTCTGGTTATAACTTCTTGCCCAAATGCCTCGTGATTCATTATTCCATAGCACGGCCCAGTTGCTGCAATGGCTTCCCCAGGACTGTGCTATCTTACCCTCTACCCCACACCTCCACACTGATGGCAAGGTTGCTGGCACCTTGAAATGGCCAGTGTTAAGCCTGTACTCCGCTCGTTAAGACAGGCTTGTTGGAAATTAACCAGCCTCATCCAGTTTGTCCAGCACAGCTTTCTTGTCTCGTTATTGCATGATCAGTTATAAGCTTTAGGGTTTATATATCCAGCAGCATTTCCCTGTGGGCTTTTCCAAGGGAGCATCTTGCAAATTGCTACAGAGAACTGAAGAAATAATTGATCTCTTTTAAAAGGAGCATTCCTTCTGTAGCTTCTGTGATCCGTTTTGCTTTGTCTTACATTAATATGCTGTGAGTATTATCTGTTCATAGCTATTTTTATGTATAGTCAAGAGACACGAAAAACTCACACTCAGTGGTTCCTGCTCTAAAAAATTCTAACTTGGCTGATGTAGCACCAAGTCTTTCTGCCAAAGAAGACACTAACCCATGGAGCAGTAGTTACCAGGCTAATGGGGTGGGTGTGGGGGTGGCAGACAGTTCATAGTTGTAGAAGGAGGATCTGGAGTGGAAATCTAGGCACCAGGACCCTACTGTATAATTGTGAACTGGGCTTCAGGGAGCTAGGTTCTCCTTCTTATTCTGCCCTGACTACCTTTGTGATACTTGTGCTGGTTGGACCCCACTCAGCCTACTTTCTCCTCTATAAAGTAAGGAAGTTGACCCAGAGCAGGTCTCTTCAACTCCAGTCTTCCGTATCTCCATGAATATGCCCAAAAAGTCAGATTGCTAGTTAGGAACCCAGAAGATGCTAGCAAAAGCAATGATTACCAACTTTCTGCTGGACTTAGAGCCCAGCACTTGACATTGTTATCTCATTTAAGCCTCACAGTGATTCCAAGAGGTTGGTATTAGGGTCCCATTTCACAGAAGAGAGAGCAGTTCTCAAAGGGGTCACTCAACGTTTTAGGATCACAATACTAATAAGAGAGCAGAGATTCTGATCCTGATGGAACTAACTCCAAATAGACTTTTAATAAGACGTAGTAAGAAGTGCCCAACACTCCTTTTTTTTTTTTTTTTTTTTTTTTTGAGACGGAGTTTTGCTCTTATTGCCCCAGCTAGAGTGCAATGGCACGATCTTGCTTCACCGCAACCTCCGCCTCCTGGGTTCAAGCGATTCTCCTGCCTCAGCCTCCCAAGTAGCTGGGATTATAGGCATGTGCCACCATGTCCAGCTTATTTTGTGTTTTTAGTAGAGACGGGGTTTCTCCATGTTGGTCAGGCTGGTCTTGAACTCCTGACCTCAGGTGATCCACCCGCCTGGGCATCCAAAAGTGCTGGGATTACAGGCATGAGCCACCGCGCCCGGCCCCCAACCCTCCTTTTATTACTCTTAGTTTCTGAATCTCACTACACTTCTCCTCTCAGTCCACTCTGCATGCCTGAGTGACCCCCTTTCCTGACATCTAAAACACATGTACCTCTGTGCCTTTGGTTAGTGTGAAAAGGGTAGCATTGCGTTTTAGAATTCTGTATCCATTCTTTGCAACAAGATGGGACTCAATAAGCAAAAAGCAAAAATGAGTTTCTAAGCAGCTGCTTTCCATATGAAATGTCATGATGGTATAACTCAAAAAGGGCAAGATTTAGCTCAAAAGAATACTTTTCAGACTATCATGTATAATCCTCTGTATATGGGCACAGGTGCCTAACGTGAGTCATCTGTCATTTCGCCAAGGCCGACTTTAAATCATAAACAGCGGGAGGTCCTTCAGCTTCCAGTGGGGTCTCATCAATTGCCTAGTCTTTGCCTCTCCTGGCAGCAAACCAGTTTTCTTTCTTTGAGAAAAATGCACCACCCCATCCCCAACAGTTAGACAACTTCTGGTGAGTGCCAATTATTTATATGAAAACTTCTAAGAAAGCACAGATGAACTTTGCCAGAAAGTAGATGTTTTGTACAATTTAAAGAAGGGACTTCAAAGTCAGAAATGCCCTGTGAGTTTGATGATCCTTTTCTCTATTTGGAAATAAGCAAAACTCTACTCTTTCACTAGTATATCCTGATAGTATGTATTACCTCATTATTCACAGATTCCGTATTTGCAAATTCACCTACTCATTGAAATTTAGTTGTAACTTCAAAATCAATACTTGCAGCACTTTCATCATTATTCACAGACACATGCAGGGAGGTGAAAACATCAAGTCGCCCAATGTGTGTGTTCCCAGCTGAGGTCAAATAAGGGTCTGCTTCCTGTTTTATCTCTCATACTATAAACAAGTGTTCTTTTCATAATGCCATGTTGTTGACATTTTGTGCTCTTAGTTGGTGATTTTGTCATTTAAAATACCCTGCAACGCTGGGCACAGTGGCTCACACCTGTAATCCCAGGACTTTGAGAGGCCGAGGTGGGCAGATCACTTGAGGTCAGGAGTTCGAGATCAGACTGGCGAACATGGGGAAACCCTGTCTCTACTAAAAATACAAAAATGATCCAGGCATGGTGGCATGTGCCTGTAATCCCAGCTACTCGGGAGGCTGAGGCTGGAGAATCACTTGAACCCAGGAGGTGGAGGTTGCAGTGAGCCAAAATGGCACCCATGCACTCCAGCCTGGGTGACAGAGCAAGACTGTCTCAAAAAAAAAAAGAAAAGAAAATACCCTGCAAGCATGATGCAAAAGTACCGTCTGGTGGTCCTAAGCACAAGAAGGCTGTGGTGTCCCTTACAAAGAAAACACATGTGTAAATTAAGCTTCATTCAGGTATGCATTATAGTGTTATTGGCCATGAGTTCAATGTTAAGTAACTATATGTATAGATATACACACACACACACACACACACACACACACAAAATAAGGTTCTTAAATCTTCAACAGGAACACACATAAAACGAGGCTCTGTATTGATTCATTGATGAAAACATTGTGACCAGAGGCTTGCAGGAACCTAATTCTCTATTTCCCCTAGGAGCGATGGTTCGGTATTCACTAACTCAGTGTCTGTGGCAACTTTACAGAGCATAACTACTGCAAATAACAAGAATCAGTGCATTTCCAAATTTAGAAATTGCTCATAGTATCTTGAGATATTTCTAGCACTGCCAGGGAGGTCTGGTACTACTGATCTCATGCCATTTTCTGCTTTGTGGAAAATGGGAACTTAGGAAATCATCCCCGTTCCTTCTTCTGTGATGAGCAGATTTTCTCACTATTCAACTCCACCAGGTACTAATTGAGTGCCCCAGAATCTACCGCTGCTGGAAGATAGGCGAAGAATCAGTCCCTGACCTCAAGAGCTTTCACCTGTGTTGGAATGACTGGGCTTAGGGTGGCAAACCTACCCAGGTAAAAAGGAAAATGGAAACATCTTAGAAATGGCAGAGAGAAGAACAAACTCTCTGAGGCATAACATAGGGAAACAGGCCATTTTTCTAATAGTAACCTTGAACTGTTAATTTAGTGTTTCCTCCCAGGAACTCTGCAAAGGAAGTTCGGCCTTAGCCAGAGCTTCTAATTAACTCCAAAGTTTCTACCACATCAGCAAACACCTAAAGACCACCCCACTGCTTGTCTCTCGCCTGAAAGAAGTCAAAAAAGTGATGTAGGTGAGAATTGCCCAATAGGAAATCCTTTTTTCTCTATGGGAAACGGTCGCTGTATTTCCCTCAGCTTGATTATTTTGGAGGCCTGTAATCTTACAGCTGGAAAAATACTATTTATGATACTTGGAATAAAAATAGTAATATTAATTTATTAAGCACCCAGTTTATTTTGGGATCTGTGCTGGGTGCTGGGAAGACAGGGATGAAGGGCACGGTCTCTGCCTCCATGTGTCTCATGGTCAAATGGGAAAACTTGGTCATTGTGAAAGTGGAGTCATGCTGTGGGAGAGGGAAGCAGGAATAGGGTCTTGCAGTAGCACGTAACCCAGCATGGGAGGTTTCGGTCGGGGGAGAAATGCTTCTTGCTGGAACAGTCTTGAAAGGGGAGGAGGAGTTGGTCAAATGAAGGAAGCCGAGGTGAACGTTCCAGGAAGCAGGAACCTCATATGGAATCCTAGAGGCATGAAAGAGTTATGGGGCATTTTATGACCTAGAAGCAGAGCATGGGCAATGGACGAGTTAGAAGAGAGCAGGCGAGGGAGAGGCAGCACACAGGTCATGAACAGCCTGGAAGGCCATGTAAGAAGGTGGGATCCTCAGAAGGATCTCACAAAGGCGAGCAAGATAATCACATTTGCACTTTCTGTAGGTCAATTAGACATAGTACAGAGAAGGCATTGTGGGCAAGGCATATCTGAGAATGATGAGAACAGTTAGGCCTTTGGAAAAGCCACTAGGAAAATAAGAGAAGAGCGATAGGAATACAATAAAAAAGAGAAAATAGAAATAGGGAAAGAAATGAGAGAATTTGAAGAGCAGCTGGGGGAGAAAAAGAAGAGGGTGAAGGGAGGCAGGTTTGGGGATGATTTGGGGTGCCCTGAATTGAAGGGCTCGTGGACCATCCCAAGGAGGTAACAGCAGGGAGCCAGAGATCCTGGGTTGAATTCAGGAGAGTGGTTTGGGATGGAGATGATAATTGATGATCAGCCTATAGATGATCATTGAAGCCAAGGCTTTACATTACACAAAACAAAGTGTTTACAGTTAAGAATAGAAGGTGGCCACAGAAACCCTCTTCAGAAACACTAATATTTAAGGCATTAATAAAGGAAGATAAGTCTGACATGAAGCTAGAGAGGAGGTAACCAGAAATGAAGAAGGAATAGAATGATGCCAGGTATGACAGAGGAGACGTCTTGCGAGAGGGAGTGGTCACTGAATACAATGATTCAGAGAGGAAGGCACAGTGGAATTGGTTGTTAATGACTTAGAGCAGTTTTAATGGGAAAGTAGGAATGAAAGCAGATAGCCCTGGGTAGAGATGCAAAGCGGAGTGAAGAAGTAAAAATAGTACAAATGTAGACCAGCTCATGGGTAAACTTGACTTTCAAGGAAAGGAGGAACAAATAGAGGAAAATGGGAAGTTAAGGATGGCTTCTGCCTTTGCCAGTGGAAATTAGCTGTGGTTCTTCCTCGCTGGCAGGATACAGGAAGTATTTTCAAAGTGCACATAACTACAAATAACATAGGCTATGAGAAAAAAAACCTCATGGTGAAGAAGTGAGGCGGGGATGAGCATGGATCAAGAATCAAGGAAGCGGGTGGGCATAGTGGCTCATGCCTGTAATCCCAGCACTTTAGGAGGCTGAGGCAGGAAGATAGCTTGAGGCCAGGAGTTCAATACTAGCTCAAGCTACAAAGCAAGACCGTGTTCTCTCCAAAAAAAAAAAAAAAAAAAAAAAGGCTGCATTTGGTGGCTCACACCCATAATTCCAGCAATTTGGAGGAGGATTTGCTTGAGGGCAGGAGTCTCAGTCCAGGGTAGACAACATGGCAAAACCCCATCTTTTAAAAAAAATTAGCTGGGCATAGTGGTGTGCACCTGTAGTCCCAGCTACTTAAGAGGCTGAGGTGAGAGGATTACTTGATCCCAGGAGAATAAGGCTGCAGTGAGCTGTGACCACTCCAGCGTGGACAACACAGCAAGACCCTATCTCTAAAGAATTTTATTTTTTAAGAATCAAGGCACCTTTAAGTCACGGGTTCTAAAGAGGATGTTTTTTATAAGAACCTATGAAAAATACTAAAATGGCACCAGATTAAGACCCAGAAGACCTGCAGCTGTCTCTTATTATCTTTCAACCTTAGGCAAGTCCTCTCTCTGTGAGCCTGAGTACCCTCATCTGTAAAGTTAGCTAAAGACTATCTGTCTCGCCGATATCACTGGTTGTAGTGAGAATTAAACAGGGTAATATGTGTGAAGAGCACCGTGGAAATTGGAAAGCCCTGCACGATTGTGAGATGTCATTGTGTGAGAAGAGGAGCCTTCTTGCTGTCTTCACCATTTGCTGAAGTGCCCTTTGCTGTTGAAGTTATCTCAGGTACCGCGTGGCTTCTTCCAAACTACAGGCAGGATCTCTCTCTTCTGGGGATTTCTATCTTTTTTTTCTTACTCACTTGAGATGAAGAGTGCTGTGGATGGGTAAGAAGAACATTTTTTAAAATGAAAAAGAAAAATGTTGAACTGACACTAATCACTAATTGTTTTTAAAATGGATGTAGATCTGCATCAAAACTATGTGAATGCATTTCTTTTTAGATATTTAAGCTTCCCAGTTATGACCCTTTGTGGAGGAAAAACCCTTTGTAGAGATCACTACTTATTTTTTTTTTAAGGTGGAGTCTTGCTCTGTTGCCCAGGCTGGGGTGCAGTGGCATGATCTCAGCTCACTACAACCTCTGCCTCTCAGGCTCAAGCAATTCAGCAATTCCCGTGCTTCAGCCCCGCAAGTAGCTGGGATTACAGACATGTGCCACCAGGCCTGGCTAATTCTTTGTAGAGATGGGGTTTCTCTGTGTTGGCCAGGCTGGTCTCCAACTCCTGATCTCAAGCGATCCACCTGCCTCGGCCTTGCAAAGGGCTGGGATTACAGGCGTGAGCCACTGCGCCCAGCCAGAGATCACTACCTTAAAGAAAGATGGCATTACATCATGCCTGCTAAAATGATGTTGACCACAGGGCATGCAGGCCACACTGACATCCATTCCCTTCCTCTCTTTATTGTTTTAAATTAGCATTTCCCTCTTAGTCCAGCAAAACACATACTCCCTTGACGTATGCCGTGTCCTTGCTAATATCTATATTTTTAAATAATACAAAATAGAATAAAAGCCAAAACACCTGTTCTAGGAACTTTAGACTAACACAAAGACTACAGAGTAGTGTCTGTAGGCTAAAACTGTCTTTGCAAATATGTTTCACTTAACTCATAGATGGTTTTTAAAAGATTGATATATTTGGGCCAGGTGCAATGGCTCACGCCTATAATCCCAGCCCTTTGGGAAGCCTAGGTGGGCAGATTGCTTGAGCCCAGGAGTTCAAGACTAGCCTGGGCAACATGGTGAAACCTGGTGGCTTCAAAAAATACGAAACTTTGCCTAGCGTGGTGGCGCATGCCTATAGTCCCAGCCGCTCTGGAGGCTGATGGGAGGATTGCTTGAGCCCAGGAGGTCAAGGCTGCAGTGAGCCATGATTGCACCACTGCACTCCAGCATGGGCGACAGAGCGAGATGCTATCTAAAAAAAAAAACAATTGATATATTTGATATTTACACATACCAATCTCTACCACCTCTTGGAACAGTGGAAGATCAGGCAACACATGGCACAACTTTTATTCCCCCATACATCAGGTGACCAGAGCCGAGTGCCTCTCCGGTCCATTTCATCCCAAGCCCCACTCCTCCTCATCATCTCTTCAGGCTGGTGTGCACAGGTCCCTGGAGATTTCCGAGTTATGACCCCTGGTTTAAAGCCAAATCAGTGAAGTACAGTGGGAAGAAAGAAGTTTGTTTCTGAGGATAGAGTGGTTAAAATAAAGAAAAAGTGGCCGGGCATGGTGCCTCACCATGTAGGCAAAGTGCCTGTAGTCCCAGCACTTTGGGAGGCTGAGGCAGGAGGATGATGAGGTCAGGAGATCGAGACCATCCTGGTGAACACAGGGAAACCCTGCCTCTACTAAAAATACAAAAGATTTGCCAGGCGTGGTGGTGGGCACCTGTAATCCCAGCTACTCAGGAGGCTGAGGCAGGAGAATTGCTTGAACCTAGGAGACAGAGGTTGCAGTGAGCCGAGATTGCACCACTGCACTCCAGCCTGGTTGATAGAGTGAGACTCCGTCTCAAAAAAAGTAAATAAATAAAGAAAGAAAAAGTAAGTAAACATTTCCCAGCTTAAATACTGGGGCTAATATGCCTGATTCTCAGCTTCTAGACAGCATTGTCTGCTTTAGGATGGGATTCTCTAAAAGTGGACATCAAATCTTTTTCTCTGTGTACTTCTTTGTATGATAGAGATTAAAATAAAAGCAAGTACTATCTTTGGGGAAGGCCTAATGCACAGCCCAAAAGAAAAATTTCTATCACTTCAAAGGCTGAGGCAATTGGCCAAAAAAGTCCAGAAGACACTTCCTACCCCAACAAGGTCAAGAAACTTTGATAACCTTGAGCCCAGTGGAGAAACATCTGGTAGACAACACTTCTCTTTTACAGTTAGGAAGATAAAGTTCATTCTCGATATTATTAACACAGACACACCGGTCATGGCCGATCTGTGCCACACAGAAGAAATATTCCCAAGCAAATCATTCTTTGGATCTCCTCAAGTGGTCTGCTGTCTGTGGAATTTCCTATTCTCCAACCCCAGAGCAGAAAGCAATCCCCGCCCGCCTGGCTTTGGCCATCATGAGGTTTAAAGAGGATCATTTGTTTTCATTACAGCCCCTTGAAGCTCTTCCTTCCCTCCTCATTAATGAATTTCCAGTCTTTCATCAAAAAATAAAAACAAAAAAACAAACACAAAAAAGGATCTGACAGGGGACATAGTTAAGTGGCTGGCGCGCATGGCTGTGCCGGCTTTAGAGAGAGGAGACAGCCATTTACTGATTGTGAGGAGGGGTTGACATCCTTGGTTAGTATGCTAATTTCATCTCCTGCATTTAACATTCAGATCAGGTCTGTATAGGCCCTCCACAGCCACAGAGTCCAGGGATGGGTGACTGTCTGCCTTGCAGCATTGAACATTCTCTGCATGAATTACATAAATACCCAAACATTCCGCCTGTTCTGACTTCGCTCCCTTTCCCTCCCTCTCGGAGAGACACATAGACACGGAGCCACACTCATACAAGCACACATTTGCCACGATACCTTCACACACGCACACACACACACTGCAGACACAGGTCTCTATGAATGCCAAACACATGCGATGGAGGGTGCCCAAGTCATCCACAGCTGGTTTATTTCCTCCTCATTTGGGTCTCCGTGGCTCACTTCTGCAAAATCTATTTCTCCTGCTCAGGAAACTTGGAATGTACTGGGGAGTCCTAAATAAGGAAGCAATGTGAAATTAAAACCTCAATCAGAAAAGAAGGAGGATATCTTAAAAGGGTGACCTTCCAGTCCCAGAAATCCTTAAAGAGCCCCAATTCCACTCATGTGAAAGAGAACCATTTAGCTCAGTTAACTGAACACCCAGAAAGAAAGAAAATCCAGCTCGTTTTATTACTTGAGGTCCCCACTTTGTCATGTGTGTTTGGAACACTGTATTAAAATCACCAAGCCAAAGCTGGGTGACAACAGAAGAGGAATCCCAAACTGGCACCCCCATGGCTGTCCAAATGGCAGACGATCGCCTGGCACGTTTGCCAGAAACCCAACCAATGGAAAACTTAATTTCCTCAACCTCCTTTTTCCAGCGTCTTTCAGTAACCCTGCAGCAGCTTCTGCAGACAAACAGAGAATCAGCAGCTCCTGCTATCAGAAGGTACATTTGAGGGTTGCTTTTAATAAACTGAAGCAGAAGCCTCCCATAAAAAGGAAAGGACACAGGTTGGTTTTTATTGTTTTGGTTTGATCTGTTCTGGTTTTGGGGTTTTCATTTTTTTTCTCAATGTATGACATCACTGTATACCCTGGCATACCGTAGCTCTTTCCTCTGGACTCTGGTGGTCCCTAATTCTGTCCCCTTGTGCTCACACGATATTCCGTCCTTGGCTAAGGAACATCGAGCAATTCCCGTCGGAGCTTCCCACCGGAGCGACGGGTGTTTTCTCCGAGCTGCAGACTTGATTTGCCTCGATTTTTTTTTTTTTTTTTTTTGGCTCTGGTCCAAGATGTTTTCCTGTCATCATTTCACTGTCTTTTCCAGTAATCCCTTTCTTAAACATTGCCAACAATTAGTCGATCTAACTCTACCACCACCACTACCCCCCACCCCCATATCCACGCAAACACACCCTCCACTGAACCCATCACTGTCTCATCTTGCCTTGAAGTATAAGAAATTACAGCTTCTCATTAGCTGGAGAGCACGATTGGAACGGCTCTGTGTTTACTCACTTAGTAAGTGATGCTGGCCTTTTTAATTATTCTCCCTCCGCGTGCCATCAGAGAGCAGCAAGCTGTCCAAGTCACACCGCACGACTGCGCCTCCTCCGCAAGGCAGTTGGAAGTAATCGTGTTTTACCTCACTGCTGCCGCTGTCTTCCTTGCCTGTCAGCAAGCCAAGGAATCCCCCCAAAGCTCTTACGTAGGAGATACCAAAACTGTGAGTCACTTTGCACTCCCAGAGCAAAGTCCATTGCGTCCTGCACGTAACAGCAGACCCAAGATGGGGGTTTCCTCCAAGCCATCGAGATTCCCTGGGACCAGATGTCCAGTCATCGATTCCTTTTTTCTTGCTATTGCTCCCTCTTTCTCTTCCACCCGTGTCCATTCCTTGGTTTTGAGGTGCTTTTCTCTTTTTCTCTTCCCTTCTGTGTTGCCGACAGCCGCAGACCCAGCAAGAGCTGGGTCCCTCTCGCCTTCTGTTATTTTTTTCCCCCGCAGCAGCCTTTGCCTGCTACCTCTGCAAGCTGGATCACCAAAGACACACGACTCACTCACAATGAATAATCAATACGGATATTGATCTGGGGAAAATGTTTGTAAATTCCTGAAAGGGAATCAGGAGCAGGGGCAGGGAGGCTCGTGGAGGACGACACTGCAGTGCTCCACGGCCGGAGGAGGCAGAACCGCATTTGGATCCCAGGTCTCGCTGGCTCCGAGGTGACGGGTACCGGAATGCGTGCGAACCAGGGTGTGCGAGTGTGAGGAGGGGGTCCTGTATTCTCATTTCTCTACAGCTGCTTTCCCCGAAGAATCAAGAGCCAAATGGTCGGGGAGCTCCCGTCAGCGCCATGTCTTGGCTGCGGGCCAGCACTGTTTTGTTTTCATTATCACACGCTACTTTGCAATTTGCATAAATACAGGGTTATTTTTTATCGTGTCGCCCAAAAGATAGAAAAAAAAATAGAAGTCTTTGTTGTGTGCAAGAGGGGCTTGCTGCCTACTCATCGAGGCTAAGGATTTACCTCCAAGGCAGGGCTTTGGAGCCTATGTAGAGAGCTCCAGAAGAAATATGCAAAGAAGTGGTAATCACAGAGAGAAAAGAATACAGGAGACAAAGAATGGAATTTAACGAGAACTGAAGGGCACTCGGCGTGGTGAAACCCAATATTAGGGATACATTTGCTTCTTGGAGAAGTGGCGTAGACTTAGACAAGCAAAGTAGAGATAAGGACCACCAGGATCTAACCTGTGTCCCTGTTAGACACATTTCACGCTCTCAGCTGGAACGAACTATTGATCCCTGGAGGAAAAGGTATGCAGGACAATGAACACGAACTTGCCTTATCACCCCCTCGCTGCTTCCAAAATGTAGAAAGAGTGAGCACAGATAGAGCGTTCCCTCTCAGCTGCTATGCGCTGATGGTTTTCCAGCAGGTGAGAGGTTTTAAACGTGGTCTTTTTCCCTCACTTGCCCTACATCTTGAGCAGTTCAGCTAAGCTCCCTGAATTGCACTTGCCCTAGTATTGAATGGGATTTGCATTGTCCCCTCGGTTCTCTCGTCTTCAGGAAAGTGAACGCAAGAGTGTGTGAAGCTAAACGACAAGATATAGATGGCTTTCTCCTGCAAGCGCCTCTTGGCTTTGGGGATGAGGCCTCAGATTCCTGAAGTCATATCCCACAGTGATGCTGGGCATGCACCTGTGTCCCGGGGAGTGGTACCTCATTTCAGAAAAGCCTTCCAGCTCTCTCAGGCCATTGGATGGTGGTCCCCGCTCCCAGTCTTGGTCTCGGCTCCTTTCATCTCTCCCCATTCACTCCGTTTTTGCAATTTGGTAATACAATCTCTCTGGGCTCACATCACCCTTTCTCCCATTGCCCTATCTGTCTCCTCCTGGCCTGGCGACAGAAGGGCTGTGTCGCCTTTGAGATAGCTATCTAGAGTGAGACCTCCGCATGAGGATTCAATTCCAGCTCCCCCCGCCCTCCTGTCCTGAAAAGAGCTGTCTGCTTTATCAGCCAGCAGCAGCAGCGGCAGCAGGAACACTGATTTTTTTATTCCTTTTCTGGCTTCTGATTAGCTCTAGCAATCCAATTAGCAGAGGAATTTATATCACACGGGCTGAGGTGCCCCTACTCATCACAGTAGCTCAAACCCACTCATAAATTCTGCCAATCTTACATCTGCCTGTGACATGGATTAATTATAGCACCAGGCCTTCCCGAGTAGGTCTACTGATGAAGGTACATGTGAATATCAGAGTTAAGAAGAGGCAAAAAGGGATGACTTTTGTGTATCACCAAGGATGCATAAAGGCTGCCCAGTGAAGTCACTTTTCTCCTCCATTTGCATGGTGTTCTAAAGAGGCCAAATGGGCCAGAATGGGGCACTAGGGAGGATTCAGAAGTGGCCTAATCATGGCACACTCATGTATTTTTTTTATATCATTGAGACACTTATTATGAAACTTCAGGGCTCTTCGAGACTGACTAATTTTCTGCCACCAGTCCATACGTTCCTAAAACAGTTAAACTATTTAAAATAGTTCCATGAAAAGAAATGTCATTATCTTCATTGGTATTCCATTCCAGTTGGGTACAATCATAATATTGTCATACCCTTGCATCTATCTGCAATTTCATTCCAAATTCACCCTTGCATTCATCAATCTCTAGCATCTATTCATTCATCTACCAATATTCATTTATATATCAACTATTTATTCTGCTTCCAAGTCATCTATTCATCCATGTGCATCCCGCTACTCATTTACTAACCATGTATTGATCTATGAATATCTTTCTATTATCTGTCATCTCCTTGTCTATCCATTTGTGTCTCTATTAATTCATTCATCTGTATTATCCATCTATCTGCTTTTCTATCTATTCATTAATCCATTCATGTATCTATCCACTCAATCATCTATCATTTGCTTATCAGTTACCAATCCCTTTTTACTTTACTTTGTGCCTTTTGTTAGCTGTAATCTTAGCAGAATCCTAGATTCACATTCTCAATCATTTTTAAGGTAAATAATACCTAATTTCCAAATGAAGTCTATAAAGACTATATTATTTGGTTCTCTGTCCTCTTTCAAGAGTCTTATGAACTAAAGTCACTAGAATCACATGATTTTAGATGAATTAAAAATTACAAGGAAACTATTTTATCCTTTATTTCTGCGATATTTTCCTTACTGAATAAAAGCATGAGTTACTAGTCCCTTTTGAACCATGCTGCCCTTAAAAGAGGGGAATTTCAGATAACGTCTGCATGTAAATCTCATTCTGTCTATCTACCACTGAGAGACTTTCATGAAAGGGACCCAGTTCAAGCAGACCTTAATTGAGATTACTTTTATCATAAAACATATTAACCCTAAAACTATAATGTAGTTATACATTGTAATGTTTGACTTTCTCCTATATCCAGATGGGAGTTGAGGAAAAATTTGGAAACTAAAAATAGATAGTTATTTTCTCCCTCATTACTTTTATTCAAAATATATTCAAGTCTGGACCAAATCTTATGATTCAACACCTTCTCAGAGTGACCTCAAGTCCTTTAGCTCCAAGAACAATGGGTCAAGCAAAGTGTCACTGGGTTGGGGAAAGATTCTAATGGATAAATCATATTTCTGTTTAAGACAGAATCCCCAGTTTGTTGCTGTGAGCAGAGAGGGCTGGGGAGCTTGGTTGGGCTTTCTTTGTGTTTCCAGAGAATCACTTCCCAAGCAGTAGCACAAGTCAGAATCCTAGGTGAGCAGCAGATCTTGTTATCTCTGACAATACTGACCATCTCTAATATTCTATTACTTACAGGCAGGATTATCAGTCAAGAATCCTGAACATATTGAGTATATTGAGTATATACCGAGTATATTGAGGTAAAGTCCATGGAGACCACATCAGTTCTGGAGTTGTAGTCCTAAAATAGCAGGCAGGGACCCAAGCCACGACGTCTTCCAAAAACACAAGGGAGAAGGAAACCAGCTGTTTCCTTATCTCCTGTTTATTACGCTTACTCTGTCACCATAGTTTTCTAGATTCCATTGTCATGAGAAATGAGACCACGTAATCCCAGGTTCTGGTCTTGGCTTTATCTGTGATGCTAACCAAGGCTGACTTCTCCATGATCTACAGTAACTCAGTGCTTCAGGCCCACAACATTTTTAAGGGCCCTTGAAAGTGGTTTTCATTTGGTCTTGTTTTTTGAGACAGGGTCTCCCTCTGTCACCCATGCTGGAGTACAATGGTGCAGTCACAACCAACTGCAGCCTTGACCTCCCAGGCTCAAGCAATCCTCCCACCTCAGCCTCCCAAGTAGCTGGGAATACAGGCACATGTCACTACACCTGGTTAATTTTTGTATTTTTCGTAGAGATGAGGTTTCACCATGTTGCCTAGGCTGGTCTGGAACTTCTGACCTAGAATGATCTGCCCACCTGGGCCTCCCAAAGTGCTGGGATTATACGCGTGAGCCACCATGCCTGGCCTTGGTTTCTTTTAAACTCATTTTAAGAGTAAACTTTTAGGTCAAAGAAAATGTTTTAACACATAATATTTTTAATTTTAATATTTATCTTTATACCACTACAGTCATAAAATACAAGTTTAATAATTTTTAGAAAGGAAGGGGCCCTTGTAGGTAAAAGCACATAAGGCCTGCAAAAGCCATATGTAATGTGGCTTCAATGTTAACCAGATTATCAATAACTTAGTTGTTATGCTCCAAAAAGCATGATGGCTAAGTACTTGTATAGGAGCCAGACTGCCTGGCTTTAAGTCCTGATGGCACTACGTGCTAAAGTCATTTACTTTCTCTGGTTCTCATTCTCCTTATCTTTAAAATGGAGATAATAATAGTGCCTAATACATAGGGAGGTTGTGAAGGTTAAATAAAGTTATAGGTGTCAGTTGCTTAGTATAGAGTCTATACATAATGAAGGCTAAATAAAATTTGTTATAATAATTGTTGTTATTGTTGTTTCAGCTTCGATGTCTTTTTTTTTTTTTTTTTTTTTTTTTGAGACAGAATCTTGCTCTGTTGCTCAGGCTGAAGTGCAGTGGTGCAATCTCGACTCACTGCAATCTCTGCCTCCCTGGTTCAAATGATTATCATGCCTCAGCCTCCTGAGTAGCTGGGATTACATGCTCACACCATCACACCTGGATAATTTTTGGATTTTTAGTAGATATGTGGTTTCACCATGTTGCCCAGGCTGGTCTCGGGCTCGTGAGCTCAATCAATCCACCTGCCTCGACCTCCCAAAGTCCTCGGATTACAGATGTCAGCCACTGCGCCCGGTCTAGCTTGGATGTTTTTGCCTTATAAGCCTACCTCTCTGTAATCCAGCAGCTATGACCAAATCAATTCCTTTTCTTAAAAAAATTAAATTATCTTCTAGTCACCATGGAAGGAAGAAAAAGGTGGTAATTGAAGTTTCCTTCCTACTCTGAAAATCAGAAAATTTTCTCTCCTATAAGTAGAAAGTTCTGCACTCTACCTGGAGCTTGGTCTTTATTCTGTATTATAAAACTCCTTTAATAAATCAGCGTCATCTCTCCTGATCGGGGATTTGATTCTTTGCTAACCTAAAACAATCCTGCAAAAATCTTATTAAGAACCACAGGTTAAAAAGAATATTGTCAAAACTTTCTCTCTCCTTTTCTCTCTTTACTTTATTATCTCCTCATTTTTTTTGTCATTTAACTCCAATTATGAGATGCTAAGTGCTTTTGGAAATTCATTGTTAATATCTTCTTACAGTGCTATTAACGTAAATCAAGTTTAATAGTGTCCCAGAAAGTGTAAAAGCAATCAAAAATTCAGTACTCACGAATCATTCTGTAATTTCAGCATAAAATGTTAATAGAAATAATATCTAATACCATAAAATATCGGTAAATTCAACTTTAAATACACGTGATGAATTACTTCACTATCCTATAGCCCCTATTCGTGGAATATTCTAGTATGAAATACTTCATTGGCCAAGCCATACGTCAGTCACGTGAAGGCGCTAGAAGATCCCTCCTCTGCTTCACACTGACTAGCCAATCCTGGACGAATGAACAGTGCAATCAAAGCCATTTCCTTATCCCAAACAGACTGATGTCATTGGCAATGAGAAAAAAATATGTAAGATTAAGGTGGGAAGTACCATCAATTTGGAAGAATTCAAATATATGAAAACAAAGACACTGTAGTTCAAGTGTAAGAACACTGATCCATAACTACAAGGCCTTATTCTCTGTGCAATCAGCAAAGGTGGCTACAATACACGCTCTGTCTTTGGGGAGCTCACATCCCATGAGACAGGCCAAGGCCGAGACACATATGCCTAATATTTCAGGCCCAGCAGTGAAAACAGCTTTCATACGTGCTCATAGGAAACCTCTCATGAGCCCGTACTTGCTCAATTAATTTTAAATGTTGACTAAAGCAGGAGCGCACTTTTTAAAATAGCATGCGCTTTAAACATGTCAGCTTAGAACAACATGTGTACATTCACTCACAGATTCTTAGATGTAGGACGAAGCCGTTTCTGTGAGTGATCCACTTAGAGTTCCGCGCTGTCTTATTGCAGGAACCAGCTCCCTGTTGCTTGTCTACAGTTTCCTGTTTCCATTTCTTTGACAGGAAGGGAGATTTTGAGGCACCTGGGAGGCCCTGAGGGCAGAATCCTTCAGTTACAGTTGTCCTGCCTACATGGCTATTTATAGTGACTGACCTGAGTGTTTCCACAGAGCTAGTTTAGCTGTCACAGAAGCAACTCTTTTTGTGCCCCTATGTCCCCAGTTTATATTTTATTTCATTAAGTCGTGTATTTTATGAACAAGAATTACTTCCATGAAGAGGCTTGGGGGCAAACACATTGGACTCCTAGGAAGGATACATCTCAGCTTCTGGGACCAGGAGCTCAGGTGCTCGAGAGTGTAGGATATTACCTGGGACTGTGTGGAGTGTAGTAGGTGTCGGTCAATAGGACTTCCAAAGGGAATGGACGGTGACTGTCAGTTCAGTGAGTTAGTGAAGTGGCTGTTGCTTAAGGAGCCCACAGACAAGCAATGCAACGTTAGGTGGGAGTAAAAATTCATATGGGCCACTATTCAGCCTGTGTTCAGATGATACTATGCAGAACACAGTGTTCATGGGTCATGACATCACATCAAAGGACCAAGTTAGTGTCTTCAGTACCCCTACCTGAACAGCTTGTGGCGGATATGCCCTCTAGACATTTATTCAAATCTTTTCAATTTTTTTATTTTTTTATTTTTTATTTTGAGACAGGGTCTTGCTCCATCACCCAAGCTGGAAGGCAGTTGTGTGATCACAGCTCACTGCAGCCTCAACCTCCCGGGCTCAAATGACGCTCCCACTTTAACTTCCTGAGTAGCTGGTACCATGGGTGTGTGCCACCATACCAGCAAGATCTCCCTATGTTGCCCAGGCTAGTCTCAAACTCCTGGACTCAAGCATTCCTCTCACCTCGGCCTCACAAGGTGCTGGGATTACAAGTGTGAGCCACCACACCAGGCCCTCAAATCTTTTAAAACCTGGCTTGATTTATAGCCTATAGGGCTGTTCAGAATAATAAGCCTCAAATGTTTACTCTCTATTGTAGACAGTCATATTTTCCGTATTTGTCCCAAAAAAAGGATTCTTTAAACTAGTACCTCTCCAAGTGTGTAATACATACCCATGGTGATGTGAAAGACAAGACTTGGCAGTACACTAATAATTTTTTAATTTTAACATGTATGCATATATAAAAATATATAGCCAGTACATAATCTCATGATTTCATAGATATTATCTCTTAGGATGAGGCTAAATCTATTTAAATCAAAGTGTGAGTCTATTGCAAGAAAAATAATCACAGTGAAGGTGACACAGAAATAGGGCAAAATCATGAAGGTGATAGGCAGGTGATTGAAGTTTAGGAAAACCAGCTTAAGCTTTAAGAGGTATCTCTAAATCAGAGCATTCTGCAATTCAGCCACCTCCACCATTCAGCCTTTCCAAGCAGAAGATCGTGGAAGGTAGTCTGTGTTCACGTCAAGCAACTTTCCTTTTTGACCTTGTGCCAGTTACTGTTACACCCTCATTATCTTTGTCCATTTGGTTGAAACATTCAGGTTTCCATACATGAGCCTGTGTTTGAAAAAGACACCTAATAGACATCTTTTTAGCAAACAATTCTACATGGCTACTATAGCATTTCATCTGTCAGGAGATAATAGAGTCCTTTTTCCTATAAATGAGACTCTTTTGGCCACGTTTCTGCAAAATCTCTAGAAATATGGTGCCAGGCACTTACTCAGAAACAGCCTTTGAGACATGTTAGCTTGTGTTCCTTGACTTGTCTTGGTCAGATGAGGCCCATCTGCTTTTCATGATTTGTCCTTGGAAAACTCCATGTCAAGCAAAGAAATATAACCACATAATATGGTAGCTGGTTTGAACAAGAAAAACCTCCAACTATTTTATGTGTACATTGTGATGCTAAATCTACTTTTTGTAATACACTTTCGAGCAGTGTAGGCTCACAGCAAAATTGAGAAGCAGGACAAAGAGTTCTCATTTACTCTCTGTCTTCACACGTGTGTTGTCTCTGCCATTATTAATATCCACGACCAGAAGGACACATTTCTTACAACTGGTAAATCTACATTGACACATCAGTATCACCCAAAGTCCATAGTTCACATCAGGGTTCACTCTTGGTGTTGTATATTCTATGGGTTTGGACAAATTTATAGTGACATGTATCTACCACTATAGTACCATACAGAGTACTTTCACTGCCCTAAAAATCATGTATGCCCTGCCTACTCATCCCTCCCTCCTCCCTAGCCTATAGCAACCGCTGATCTTTTTCCTGTCTCCACAGTTTTGCGTTTTACAGAATGACATGTAGTTAGAATAATGCAATATGTAGTCTTTTCAGACTGGCTTTTTTCACTTAGTAATATACATTTATGTTGATAGTGTGTTCCTTTTTAGCACTGAATAATGTCCCATTGTCTGGGTGTACCATGGTTTATTCATTCACCTGGTGAAGGACATCTTGGTTACTCTCAAGTTTCGGCAATTATGAATAGACCTGTTATAAACATCTGTGTGCAGGTTTCTGAGTAGACATAAGTTTTCAACTCATTTGGGTAAATACTAAGGAGAATAGTTTCTGGATCATGTGGAAGAGTATGTTTAATTTTGTAAGAAATGGTTAAACTGTCTTCCAAAGAGGCTACACAATTTTACATTCCCATCAGCAGTAAATGAGAGTTCCTATTGCTCCATATCCTCACCAGTATTTCATATGGGGTTGTCGTTATTTTGGATGTTGGCCATTCTAATTGGTGTGTAATTTGCACTTTCTTGATGATATATGACATGGAGCATCTTCTTATATGCTTGTTTACCATCTATATATCTTCTTTGGTGAGGCGTCTGTTAAGGTCTTTAGCCCGTTTTCTAATTAGACTGTTGTTTCCTATTGTTGAGTTTTAAGAGTTCTTTGTATGTTTTGGATAACAGTCCTTTATCAGATATTTCGTTTGCAAATATTTTCTCCTAGTCTGTGGCTTGTCTGTTAATTCTCTTGACTATGTCTTTGGCACAGCAGAAAATTTTAATTTTTATGAAATCTAGTTTATCAATTCTTTCATTCATGGACCATGCTTTTGGGGTTATAGCTAAAAAGTCATCGCCAAACCCAAGGCCATCTAGATTTTCTCCTATGTTGTTATCTAGGAGTTTTACAGTTTTATGTTTTACATTTAGGTCTGTGACACATTTTGAGTTAACTTTTGTGATGGGTGTAAGGAGGTTTATGCCTAGATTCATTTTTTTATATTGGATGTCCAGTTGTTCCACCAACATTTGTTTAAAAGACTATCTTTCCTCTATCACATGTCCTTTCCTTCTTTTTCAAAGATCAGTTGACTTTTTATGCAGGTATATTTCTGGGCTTTTTATTCTGTTCCAGTGATCTATTTGTCTATCTTTTTACCCAATACTTTACTGTCTCAATTGCTGTGGCTTTAAGGTAAGTCTTGACGTTGGCTAGTACCTGTCCTTCAGCTCTTTTCTTCTCTTTCAATATTATGTTAGCTATTCTTGGTCTTTGGCATCTTCATATAAACTTTAGAATCAGTTTGTCAATAAACACAAAATGACCTGCTAGGCTTTTGATTGAGACTACACTGAATCTATAAATCATGTTGGGAAGAACTGACATCTTAACAATATTGAGTCTTTGTATCCATGAACATGAAATATCTCTCCATTTATTTGGATCTTCTTTGATCTTCCATCAAAGTTTTGTGGTTTTCCTCATCTAGATCCTGTACATATTTTGTTAATTTTATACCTAGGTATTTCATTTTGAGGAATTCTCATTTAAATATTATTCTGTTTTTAATTTCAAATTCCACTTGTTCATTGCTGGTATATAGGAGAGTGATTGAGTTTTGTATATTAAGCTTGTATCCTGCAACCTTGCTATAATCACTTATTAGTTCCAGGAGGGCTTTTTGTTGATTTTTTTCAGATTTCCTACATAGACGATATCATCTGTGAAAAAATCTTATGATATAAGGCAAAGTAATAATACTTTAAAGCTAAGTGCTTTAAATGCACAATTTTGCATTGTCTATCTTAATGTATAACACTCATATCAGGAGAGATTATTCACACTTAGTATCTTACTCATCTTTAGGAAATAATTATAACTAGAAGTGACTACATCAGGGTTAGCAGTATTATAGGAGTATGAAGAAAAGATGTAAGAAGCTCTGAGAAACAATCAGAGATGTGAAAAAAAGAGTTCATCATTGAGTTATGTATAATAGGGAAAATTTTTAAATAACCTAAATGTCCAACAATGTATTAAATAAAATACAATTAAATATTTAACTTTATTAAATAAAATATGGTATGTCTGTACAATAATACATTGTGCAGCCATGTTGTGAAGTGATACTTAAAGGTATGGAAAGTATATACAATATATTGATATGTGATTTTTTCATTTTTATTTTTTTAAGAATGTGTACAATAGAGGGTCTTTTTATTTGAATAGTACTTTATAGTTTACAAATCACTGCTACCAAAGACTTTGATCTTTTTTAGGACATGATCCCTTTGAGAAGGCGAGAAAAACTACAGACCTTACTTTCAGAAAAAGAAACAGTACTTTATGTACACAAACACAATTTTACATACAATTCAGAGAAGATGGGAGTTCCCATACATTTTTTTTTCGATAGTTTTTGGGGAACAGGTGGCTTTTGGTTACATGAGTAAGTTCTTTAGCGGTGATTTCTGAGATTTTGGTGCACCCATTACCTGAGCTGTGTACACTGTACCCAATGTGATATGTGATTTTTTAAGAGGTTACAGATTAGTATAGATAGGAGATCACAATTTTATTTCAAAACCTACTAAAAGATTGCAACTTTTTAAAATAAAATATATACTCAAGTATAAATAATCTATAACAATAAAATATATCTTTATATTTGAAGATGTATAAAATAGATACATCGAAATTATAACCATGAATAGAGGTATTAACAGTGACTTTTCTTTGTATTTTTTTGCAGTTTACAAATTTTATACGATGGGCACACATACCATTTGTAAGCAGAAAAAATAAGACGTGGTATAATATATAGAAAAGCACATTCTCAAGCTCAGTCTTCTACAGAGGTCAGAAGCAAGTCAAGTTCAAAACCTCAAATATGATGACTTGATTACAACAATACGGTTATGCTATGCTTCCCAAGAGTCTTTGTCCCTAATGAATTCCATGGCGCAATGCCCCTAGAGATCAATCTTTGGATTCCTTTGCCCTTGATAACAGTGCTTCTCCCCAGCTCTACAGCTTTCCCCATATAGGATAAGCCCAGAGATTCCCTGGACCACTGTTGTCCCTGAGTACACCTCCCTCCCATGCACAAAAACATCCATCGCCCGTGCTCCACCAAAAAGGGTTCAGGGACTTCACTATCCTATAGAGCATCCTTATGAAAATTACAAAAAGGAGGATGTTATTGGAAGACAAACTTTAAACACAGACACACACACAAACACACACACACACACACAAAGAATGCAACCCCTCTGGGTGAACACAGCCCCACAGACCCTTACCTTGGCAAGCAAAGTGCAGGGTACATACATTTCAGCTCCCACTAGCCCCCTTCACCAGATGCCTTTGTATAGCACAAAAACTGTGCAATGAACATAGCAGCATGAAGGGATTCTACGGTCAAAGAATTTTAGAAAATAATGCACACTGTGCCTGGTCTATTGGAGTTTTAGGGTGCACACTGGAATATTAAAGCCTCTGAGAAGGCCTGTAAACTGCATCTATTTAACATCCTTTGACATAGTATTTCTGACTTGTCAATGGAAACCCACTCCTTTTTTTTAATTGGTTTACATTTCACCTAGCTTTCCCCATATTTTCTTTTTTAATATCAAAATTTTATTTTATTGTTTAATAATTTCAACTTTTATTTTAGATTCAGGGGTTCATGTGCATATTTGTTGCATGAAAGTATTGTGAGATGAGGAGGCTTGGGATACAATGGATCCCATCACCCAGGTAGTAAGCATAGTACCCAAAAGTTAGTTTTTCAACCCTTGCCCCCTACTCCCTTCCTGTCCTCTCTAGTAGTCCCCAGCGTCTATTGTTGCCATCTTTATGTCTATGTATACCCAATGCCCAAACGTATTTTTCTTTTTCTTTTTCTTTTTTTTAATTTTTTTATTTTTGAGAGGGAGTTTCGCTCTTGTTGCCCAGGCTGGAGTACAATGGCACAACCTCAGCTTACTGCAACCTCCACCTCCCAGGTTCAAGCAATTCTCCTGACTCAGGCTCCCGAGTAGCCAGGATTACAGGCACGTGTCACCACACCTGGCTAATTTTTGTATTTTTGGTAGAGACGGGGTTTCACCGTGTTGGCCAGGCTGGTCTCCAACTCCTGACCTCAGGTCATCTGCCCACTTTGGCTTCCCAAAGTTCTGGGATTACAGGCGTGAGCCACCATGCCCAGCCTCCAAACATATTTTTCAAAAGAAGTCTTGCCCAGTTTCCTGGGACCCTACTGACTGGGGGAGGCAGCCTTCAACTCTCACCAACCTGATTCCAAGATAGGACCAGTCCAGAAGAAGCCATCACAGTACTCTCTACTCACTGCCTGTAGGCCAATCCTTTATTTCAGAATTGCTTATCAGAGAACCATTTGTCAAAATACTGATAGGAAATTGCAGTACCCCTCAGACAGCAGGGTCTCATAGATGCAACAGGGCTTTGACTGTCAACTGGGCATGCCTCAGTATTATCCTGCCCCAGTTGTAGGGCATCTCTACAGTATGACATGTTCAGATACTGCCTGCACCATTCCTTAATATTTACTGTAGTTCTTGCTTTATTTCTGGCCTGCCCAACCACAGCCCTAGAGGCAAGAATGTGAACTCTCATCAAGCAGCATGGGTTGAGTGCCTGTCATGCTAGTACTTATTGATGGTGATTGACAGTACAATCTGTTAATAACATGGCGTGTTAGAAACAATCACAACAGCATAGGTCTGTATGCTGTTTCTGTGAATTTTGGTTGCCATAAGGAGAAGCAAAAACCACATCCAAGAACCTAAATGTCCATTGACAGAAGAATGGACAAACAAAATGTGATCTATCCATACAGTGGAATATTATTCAGCTATTTAAAATATGAAGTTCTGATACATGCTTCAATACGAATGAACCTTGAAGACATTAGGTTAAGTAAAAGACCAGACACAAAGGGCTACATATTGTAGGATTCCATTTATGTGAAATATCTAGAATGGACAAATCCATAGATTCAGAGAGTTGATTTGTGGTGGCCAGAAGCTGGGGGAAGAGGAAATGGGAGAATGACTGCTGATAGGTATGGGGTTTCCACCTCGTTGATGAAAACATTCTGGAGTTAGATGGTGATGGTTGCACAACATTGTGGATGTACTTAATGACACTGAGTTATATGCTTAGAATGATTATAATGATAAATTTCATGTTGTATGTGTTTACTTTTTTATTTATTTATTTTTTGAGACAGGGTCTCGCTCTGTCACCCAGGCTGGAGGGCAGTGGCACAATATCAGCTCACTGCAACCTCCACCTCCCGGGTTCAAGCAATTCTACTGCCTCAGCCTCCTGAGTAGCTGGGACTACAGGTGCACACCACCACACCCAGCCAAGTTTTGTGTTTTTAGTAGAGACAGGGTTTTGCCATGTTGGCCAGGCTGGTCTCGAACTCTTGACCTCAAGTGATCTGCCTGCCTCGGCCTCCCAAAGTGATGGGATTACAGGCATGAGCCACCACACTTGACCTGTATTTATATTTTTTAAAAAATCAAACTAATTTTAAGAAAGCTCTGGCATTCTTAAGATGCTTAAAAGAGTTAATTGGGTCGTCCCTGCAGCCAGCTCAGCACTATTCTGCATAATCCTGTGTTTCCTTATCCAAGAAGTTTCATTGGACAGACTAATCATCGCATCTCTGTTATGAGATTTTAAGACTACAATTTCTTTTAATCATTCAGGCCAAACTGAACCTGAATGAAAAAAGGAGTTTCCTTTTTCTTATTTAGGCATGGTTGTGACACACTACACAATTTTTCTGATGTGCTGTCTCTAGCCTCCTAATGTCAATAAATATCGATAAGGCCATACCATGTACTGGGCTCCATTCTGCAGGATGGGCGGTTCCACAGTACACTAAATATGGAATCACTGAAGGCCCGTTAGGTTTGGAGGGAGAGGATGGAGTGACAAAAAGCTTTTACTCTCAGAATAAAACTGGAAGACACCAGAGCTTCTATACTCTAGAAATGACTTATGGACCATATCAATCCCTAATAAATATTGTTTAGTTTTGGCTTTTTTCAATCCTGGTGTCTGCAGGTTAAAAGAGTTTAATTTTTTTTTTTTAGGTTAACTACAAAGCCACCAGCAGGGGGAAGTGTGCAAAGAGAAGTCTGGACCGCCTTGGAGCCCCAAAATGTCCTGGGCTCCTCTGTAAACAGGGAGGCTTCTTTTGTGCCTTGGGTAGAAAAAAATAAATAGCCCTATTGTGAGGCTGTGAGAGAAACAACCTTTAATCCTTGCAAAGCCCAATAATATTATGTATATTGACTGAAACCCCGTGGAGTGGGCCTGACGGGGTTTTTTCATTACCAGGGTACATTGTAACCTAGCTACCTTTGAAAAGTAACCAACATCGAGAGGCACTTGACATTTGCAAAGTATTATGGGTGTCCTCTCTATGTCTTCTCAAGTTCCCAAATTTACAATGGTCTTAATTTAAAAGTTAAGCCAGGGGATCAATTGCTTAGTGTAGGGCCAGGCTGCCCTTTTTAAAACAAAACAAAAAATACCAAACCCCTGTGGGCCAGTGTGACCTGACTTCCTTATTTGACTCAGATTTTGGTGGGTTGCATGTTGCCTTGTGTTGAATTTCAAAGGAAGGTGTCTGAACTCAAATCGGACGGTCATGTTCCACTTCTCCAGGTGTTGCTGAGGCATACGAAGGCTGCAGCAGCTGGTAATGAGTTGGTGAAAATGAAAAAGGAACATAAGTAGCTTCTTTAGCAAATCCCCTGGAAATGACATGGAGCCTTGAGGATCGATAACATCGACCCATCTGAGGGCTACAGCCCTGCTCCCTCTGACTCATCTGTAACAGTCACAGCCCAGGGAAAACAGCAACATTATTACGGGCAAAACTATGACCAAATCAACTGGGAAAATCAAACTTCAGCCTGCTTTCAGCTCACTCTATTTGGGCAATGGCAGTGGGTCAACATTAGAGCAAGGATCAGGCTGAAATCCTAAGGGAGAACTTAAGTGGACCACGGCCATGCTTTCGGAACATGTCTTTACGACCTTCAGGGATATTTGCACCACTATCTGTCTCCTACTGAAACCCAGACCGTTGTTCAGGAAGCTGAACTCCTGAATTAGAAAATTAGAGGAAGGGGAGACAGAGTCCTAGTTACTTTTTTGAAAGTGTTCAGATAATATTTGAGTCCTTTTTTTTTTTCTTTTTCTTTTTTGCGATGGACTCTTGCTCGGTCACCCAGGCTGGAGTGCAGTGGCGCGATCTCAGCTCACCGCAAGCTCAGCCTCCTGAGTTCAGGCCATTCTCTCGCCTCAGCCTCCTGAGTAGCTGGGACAATATTTGTGTCTTTTGTAGTCAAATGATCTATCAGTGTTTCCTATCAAAATCAGGCAGGCTGTAATCATTGCTAAGTAAATTCAGTTTGTTTACCATAGGTTCATGCTGAGACTACAAAGATGAATGAGTTGACTCTTGACTTTGGAGTTCACAGTCTTTTGAGGGAGATGGATATAATACTAGCGATATCCAGTTTGACAAGTACTGTTGCAGCAGATCACTGGTGGACTCTGGAAACCCAGAGGACGGGAACCAATTCAGTTGGGGAAGGATTTGCAGAGAAACTGATGCTTAAACTAGAGCTGGATTGCTGGGGACCTTGAATGACATGGCACAGAGTTTGGACTTGACCTGTAAGCAGCAAGAAGCCACAAATCAAGGGACTAACATAATCCCATGGCAGTTTTGGAAAGATAACTTAGGTGGCAAGTGTATCTGTCAGCGACTGCCACAATAATGCTGTGTAACAAAGCTTCCCGAAACTTAGCATCTTAAAACAGTAAGCATTTATTTTTCCCTTGTGTATCTATAGGCCTGCTTTGGTTCTTCTGTGCTTGACTGGAATCAGCTGAGCTTGACTCCACATTGCAAGATGGGTTCAAGTTAGTTGTGCTTTCTCATTCTTCTCAGATCAATCACTATCTAGATCATATCATTCTCATGTGAGATCATCTGAGTATAAAAGCATGAACAGAAATATGCAGTGTTTCTTGAGGTCTCCATGTAGACCCAGCATACACATACACACGCACACACACACACGTCCATGCACACACACACACCTCTCTCTCCCCATTAGCCAAGTCAAGTCATGTGATTGAGCAACAGACCAACACAATGAGGAAATAAGTTCCACCTTTAATGCAAAGAACCACAAAGTCACAGGCAAAATGTGTAATGAATAATTCTTATACACAGAGGACATGATCAGTTGTGAACAGTGATTCATTCAGCATCGGGGGGAGGACAAGCTAGGGGTGGAGAAAACACAGCAGTTTGTGATACGTTGAGTATGGGGCCATGTCAAACAGAAGGAAACAATCCATTGAGCAACACAGAGAACTCTTCTGAAACTGCAGGGTCCTACCAAGTTGGCCTCACTCATATATTTAGAACAGGGAGAAAACTCCAGATAGAACATTATTAAATGGCTGGTTGAAACATTTAGGAACTCCCAGTTGAATTATAGTCTTGGCAGCAGCTGCCTTTCAGACCCATCTGGTTTGAATTGGCAAAACTGCAGCTGTGCTTTTTGGTATGGGTGAGCCTTTCTTTTGAGTAATGGGCCTGCATGGAAGGGGTGGAGAAAGGATGAAGCCATTGTCATGAAAAATGGGTAGAGAGAACAACATAGCTACTACTGTTTTGCTTTGTAACATGGAAGTAGGCCTGTGGTTCTGGGCTGGAGGACAGATTCTTGCAGGATTACTGGGTCTCCTCGGCTTCTCTAGAGCTGTCATACCCAGTAGATGCTGTCACATCACATACTTTGGTTATGAATTGGTTGTTTTGCTTTTATGGGACTGGTATAATTAGTTTCACATTTTTAATTTATAGCATCAGCTAAGCTTTTTAATCCGTTATTTATGGCAAAGAACTAAGAACTAAATTGCCCCCTGCCCCCTCTACAGAAAGCATTGCAGTTCCATACTTTGTAATCAGTTGTTTGGCTAAGCCTTGTGGCCTTCTTAAAGGAAAAGTTTTCCCACAGAGGAGTTGGTGTGGTTTCTTTGGATTTCTTCACCCTGAATCCTGGAAACCCTGAACAACAGAAAAAAAAAAAAAAAAAAAAAAAAAGGCCTTCAGCATTTCAATGGAGTAATGTTTCTCCAAAGCCCTGCTTTAGAAGAAAGTGAAGCTGGCAGGGATGAGAAACTCATGCCAGAAAATTTCCATTTGAAGAAAGGCTCTTGTGTTGAGTTGTATTTTCTGTCTTGAGCTTCCCCCCATGTAGTACTCAGGTGTATCATAACTGAAACCACTAAGAGATCTCGAGCACATGGGAAGTGAACTCAGATGTCTGGGATATGTGTGAAGAGGTCAACACCATGAATCAAGGGTCATGAAGATTAGACAAGTGAAGAACGAAGCAGAGGGATAGACTCAGAGAGCATCCTGGTCTATATCTAGTTTATTTAACAGGGCTCTGATGCATCTAGTCTGGTTTGAAAGAACAGCTGGGAGATTTTGGAATCTTCCTCCTTTTTTTTGCAATGAATTGTATTGAAGGCCACACCGTAAGTCACCGAAAAAAAAAATTCACAGTCACACTGTAGGGCTGGAAATACAGGGCACCCCATAGCTCACACTTGGCTCTGTTGCTGAGATGGCATGAGGAGAACGTGGACTGCATCCAGCCTGGTAGCCCCAGTGGGAGCCTGAACTGTGTGTAAGCTACAGTTTAGGCTTTCATCCCGACTTTGACTCTTGGCCCAAGCCCATTTGAGCTGGAGTGTTGAAGGGTTAAAGATGAAGCACTGGGCTGTGCGGAGCAGTTTCTATAGGACAAAGGGGCACACTGACACTGAGCTGGGGTCCTCCCCCTTCCCCCTATCTAGGCTGAGGGGTCTCCGTGTTTACTGGATGTTAAATAAATACCGATTGAATCATATGTTTAATGAGGTGTATCAAACATGTAATAAGATACGTATCTATTAAACAGTTGTGAAATCTTGGTAAATATGTTCTTAATAATAAAGGGTGCAGATGGCTTACAGATTGGAGCGGGGAACAAAGACCAAAGCAGCTTATGGAAGGAATAGGAGAGCCATCTTCTGAAAACTGAGAGGACAGCTGATGTTCAGCCAGAATTTGAGACATGTATCTGCACTCAACTGGAGCAAAAATGGGACCCGGGCCCATAAAGGAGAAAGCCAGAAACTTCAAAACCTCAAGACTAGGAGAAACAGCAACTAAAATTAAAGACAGAAAACATGGCTATTCACAAAAGCATCACCCGTGTTTTAAATACACCTTCAAGTTTCAGCAGTAAGTAGTTCTTATTATCATGCACTTACCCCCTGAATGTCCCCAAACTGCGGGGACCAGCCAAGTATTAGAAAACAAAAGAGTTACATGAGATGTAGGTAAAGGATTATTAACGTGTTTTTCTTTCCCTAAAAAGTGGTAATTATCATATTATATTGCAAAATGCTATTGAAGTTACCTCAGCAAACTACTATTGAAAACCGATCTCTTTCTCCTTGCACATGTGGGTCGAGCTAAGTTCTGGTTAGTTGTGATTGTTTGCCAAATAATTGGTGCTTACAGTTGAGAGAAAAGAGAAGGAAAGGAAAACTTGGTGAGGCAGGGTGTCAAAGTAAAATCTGAAATAAACACAAAGCCCATGACCCCGTTTCCCAACCTTTCTCAAGTCATTGCACACAATAAAAGTGATTCTGTTTGTTTGGCACACTGGAGTAATCAAAGGCTGGGTGCTATCAGCCCAGGGGCTCTGATCCCTCAGGCCTTTCCAGATGATCTTCAGGGCTAAAGAATCCCTCTCTCATCATACCTTTTGGGAAGCTATGTCCTACGCCATATGGAGAGACACAGATCTTCAGGGACAAAGGTCACATTCTGTCTTTCAGATCAGAAACCATCCCAGCTCGGAAATAGTCAAAAAGAGTCAAGGACACTAATAATTAACATCTTGATTACTTCCTGCGTTTCTGACGTTGTTCGAAGGGTTTACACGCATGCACTTTTTAAACAATACAATTACTAGAAGGCAGATATTATAATTACTTCCACTTAAGAAATGAGGAAATTGAGGGACACACACAAAAAAGTCACTTACCCAAGATCCCCCAGCTGATAGAGGGTGACCCTGAGACTCAAAGTCTGCTGGGCTGGCTGCAGAGGGCATATTTGTAATGCCAACTCCGTATCAATACTCTGCAAGAATTTTAGAGTCACGAGTCACATAGACAAGCACATGTGTGGAGTATATTGAGGTAAACACTAGGGACAGCTCACAGCTCCAGGTGACGGTCATGAGCTGGGGGCAGATCAGCAAATGATCCAGGTGGCTCCATATCTCCACACACGTGTGACCATTTGCAACATATCAGTATGCCAGAGCACAGCAGTTAGAAGCTCTGCTCTGTATAGCAATCTAGAATGTTCACAGCAGGATTGTTTATGATAGCAGAATAAATATCTTACCAGAATGCAATGGATAAACTGGATGTATGATAGAAATGGATCAAGTCTACATGCTAACATACTACACAGCCTTTATAAAGTATGAAGTCGAGGTATATTCATTGACATGGAAATATGTTCATAATATACATTTAAAAAATCAAGTGACAAACAGTGTGCTAGAGTATGTAGAGTTTTTAATCTCTTTTTTATTTAAAAAAGGGTGTATAGATATATATGCACAGAAAGAAAACAGGCTAATAAGTTGTCACCAAAGTTTATAGCTGTGATCTCAGGGTAGTAGGATTAGGATGGGTGCTTTTTTTTTTTTCTTTTTGCTTATCTGTTTTCTCTGTACTTTTTAAAATAATGAATATGGATAACTTGAAACTTCTTTAAAAAGAGAGAGAGAGAAGTCACCAGCTGATTTCCTACAGAAGAATTATTAATGTTCAGGGTCAATTTCAGTCTAAACATAGTTTCCCCAGATCAGTGACTTTCAACCTCTCGTTGTCATTGTTTTTAGCAGCAAAATTCTTTTTCTAATAAAATCTTACTCCTATCCTCAATATATAAAAACAGATCAAATAGAACTGCGCTGATTGAAGCCAGGTGTGAGGCCGAGGCCCACTACTCACTTGCCACCCCCCTCCCTGCCATTCCATCCCCAAGACTCCTGGTTCACAAAACACCACTCAACCACTGCAGGAGAATCATGCTAGCCCCCAAAAAATGTGCTTTGCAGGAATAAATCTATTTAAATAATCAAAATCATAATAACCAAGAGAAAGAACAGAAAACTTGATTGGTTAAAAAAAAAAAAACATAGATTCTTTGGGATTTAAATACAAATGCATGGAATTTTGCCAGTTCCTGCACTGTGGACACTAAATAGGCTCCACCAGGGGTTTTCTCCATCTAGCAGCCTCACTGGTATCTAGCAGGATGCCTTCATTAGTGATACAGGTATATTTCCCCGTGCTTTGTATTTTTACTTCTCTTGGATTTCTGCTCATTTCTATATTACCCTGTGCTTTGCCTCTTTTTTTAAAAAATGGATAAATTTATCTGAATTGATACATTTAAGTGATAAAATTTGAGTGACAAAACTAAGCATATAACCTCTTAATAATCACTCTCAAGTGTCATTGGGCATTGACTTCAAGAAAAGTCCAGAAAGAAGCCCAGTGCCCAGAAACCCTATTTTTCCACACTTTGCTCAAGCTTGCTTTCATGATATTCACCTGCTTCTTAAAGAAGCAAGTCAATTGCCATTGGTAAAAAATGATTGTGAAGAAAGTTGGGGGGCTTTAAGGCAATATGGTCCTCATCAACCAACCATTTGTGGCTGGTAAGTAATGGCAAAGTGAGAAAGATCAGAACCAACCCACGACATTGTCCTGATGTGGACTTTGAATGTAAAGCCAGGGGTCATGGGCCTCATCCTCTATTTCTATAGAATGGACCCAAGAGTCAACTAAAGAGATATCTTCCTGCTTATCTGTACCATTCAGTCTTAATGGGAAAGTTGAGTAGAGACATAATTTACAAGACTATGATGAGTCATCATTCAATCATTGGAAGGCTATGGTTTTGCTATCTGTGCATCCCACCTGCTCAGGAAACCAAAATGACATTTGAAAAAATCTTTTGGGAAAAAAAAAAGAAGCTAAGATGCTTCTGCCTCTTTCCTCTTTCTGTGGTTTTCTTGTCTGCCATCTCTCTTGTTCCCCCACGTTAGAGGAGCCTCATGACTCTGAGAGAGGATTAATTGTGACACTATAAGCTCACCTCTGCAGAGCTGACTTGAAACCTTGTTCTGTATGCTACAGGTTATTAGGGTTAGCTGAAAGAATGTGCATTTATTTACTGAAGGTACTTTATAAATCAATACCTTGTTTTTGAATTCAGGTCAATAGGAATAACTCTGAAACACAACCAACAACTACAGCAACCCTAAAACAGCACTTTCAACGTATTGATTTTTAGAAAAGTATCTTTTCCTGGCATTATTCACACACTCTTGATAAGCAACTCAATGCAATCAAAAAATTTAATGGATTTTTTTTACCCCCAAAATATATATTTATATTTTTTCAAACTGTCTTTGAATTGCAGCCAGTTAGTTTCTTTGAAAAAAGATGTTCGGGAGAGAAGTGAAAGATGGAGTTTGCCCTTATCCCTTGCCGTTTGTATGGGGAGGCATTTTGCTGACTCAGTGTTAGAGCACAGCTAACCCGATCCAGCAGTTATTTACCATTTAATTTTATTTAATCTTTTGGCGATTTTAGACATTTCTCTAATTTTGCTGAGAAATTTTTATTTCATTTTATGCTACAGTATTTATCAAGCACCTTAACTGAGCATGGTCTTGACCTGGGAACTTCAGCATGCAAACATAGCCAGAATAATTCTTACCTTCCTTCCAGGCCAAGTTCTTAATCTGGGGTATCCATAAACTTCAGGGTATTAGTGAACCCCCAAAGTTATTTACAAATGTGTGTACATATGTGTGCATGCTCATTTCTTAGAGAAGGAAGAACATGTATAGCTTTTTGGGGACCCATGACCCTGAAAAAGTCATGAACATTGATTGGCTCTCAACGTGTGGTCTGGGGACCCTGGGTTTCTGTGGTCTCTGAAGTCAATACAATTTCCATATTAACATAAAGGTATTATATGCTTTTTTCACTTTCATTCTCTCACAAGTGTACAATGGAGTTTTCCAGAAGCTACATGATGTATAATATTGCAAAAGATTGAATGTCAAAGCAGATCAAAGAATCTAGCATCCTTCTGTTAAACCAAAGATTTACAAAAATGCAAAACAATACCAGCTATAGTTTGAATGTTTGTCCCCTCCAAAACCCATGTTGAAATTTAACTCCCAACACAACAATGTTGGGAGATGGGACCTAATGGGAAGTGCTTCATGGATTAATGTTGCTATAAAAAGGGCTTGTGGAAGTGGGTTTGCTTTCTTTTGCTCTTCTACCATGTGAGGAACAGCATTCCTCTCCTCTATAAAAGGATGCGGCATTCAAGGCAACATCTTGTAAGCAGTGACCAGGCTCTCACCAGACACCAGACCTGCAGGCGCCTTGACCTTGGACTTCCCACCCTCCAGACCCATGGGGGAAAAATTCTATTGTTCATAAATTACCCAGGCTATGGTATTCTGTTCTAGCAGCACAAACAGACTAAGACAATGCTATTCCTCTCCTAAATTATTTTTATTTGGGAAATACAATCATTTTCACTGAAATATATTACTTATATTAACATGCAATGGGCTTAGTTTTAAATGAATTTTTAAAATATTTCTCCATTTCAATCTCTAATATATTAGTAGATATAACTCACGCAAACAAAAACTCTTGTTTTTGTGTTGTTTGGCCTTGGCTTTGAGGCTATAAAAGTAGAGAGTATGATAATTAATTTTATAAGTGGCCATTTCTTCCTCATATATTGGGTTGAACTGTATGAAATTGCCATTATTTGACCATGATTTGCTTACAAAAAAAATGGCAATTGCATTGGCAAAACCCAATAAAAGGATGATACATATTATTAATCTACCAGATGAGTTACTGCCACGTGGCATTTCAAAGTTGTTTGGGGCAGTACTGATAAAAAGACTTTCACTGTTTTATCTGCACACTCTCACTAGATTCATTTTGCAAAATAACATTTTCTTTCCCAAGTATTTTATTCATTATTTCCTATTATAAAAGTAATACATGGCTTGGGGGAAGTACAGAAAAGTAGGCATCTCTAATCCTACCAACCAAAGATAGCTACCTATGTAGCATTCTTAGCAGTGTATTACTTTCAGTCTGTTTTACAGGCATATTTGCCTGGATAAGAGCATATTGTGCCTTTCCATCTTGACTCCTACTTTTGTCACTTAATGCTATTTTATAAACATTTCTCATTTTGTTTAAATTTCCTTATTTTTAAAGATGTAAATATGTTTCCAACTATGAAAATTAACATGTTATTTTCATTTAAATCTTTGAAAATTTAGAAAACTGTGAAGAATTCAGTCACTCTTCCTGTCACCATCTGGTATAATCCTGCCTATGACGTTGGTATATTTTTCTCCATCTACACATGTTGTTTGGCACCCATGATATATTGTGTACATGGTTTTATGTTCTGTTTTTCATATGAGAAACATGTATTGTGTCAGTGGAAAACTTGTCACAAACATCAGTTTCTTACAGAATAATATTTTATCATATGGATGTAACATAATTTGCTAACTATCCCACTGTTATTATATTGCTTATACTTTTTCAAAAACAAATAATGTTGCTAGGAACGTTTTGGGGCAGACATAAATCTTTTTTTCTTTACTAGAGGCTTTTTGTGTGTTGTTTGCTTGCTTGTTTGAACCTTGTTTCTCAAAAATGGAACCATCCAGCTTGCTCTTGGAGGCTTTTGTCATCCAAACGCCACTCCTAATGTTAAAGTCTAGGAGATAGTGCAGAGAATGTTCTGGAGGAAAATGACAGCTTCCACAAGTCTGTAGGATAGATTCCTCAGAAGTAGAAAAGCTGAGACAAAGGGCACGGACATACATTTGGCTCTTCTGTTGCCAATTTTTTTCTTCCAAAACGTTGGCGCAATTTACACCTGCCATGTTAGAGTGGCTATTTCACTTCTCCAGGCCAGTACTGGGTTTTCTCTCTGTCTCTTACTTATTGTTACTTATTACTGACTGTTTCCTCTCCTCTCTGCCCTCACCTTCTCTTTTCCCAAGTAACTTAATGGACAAAATGTTCCCTTATTTTAATTTGCATGATTCTGATTTTTACTGATGTCAAAATTATTTTCCCAAATATTATTTGCTGGCCACTGATATCGCCTCTCTAGTGAGCCACTTATTTTCTAGATGGCTAACTTGTGCTGGAGTCAAACCTTAATGTCTACTCTAGTTATTAAATGAGTGAAGCCAACTGGCCCAAGGGGTACTGCTGTCGTTCTTTTGGCTTTATTATTACCTATTTACTAACCAAATGAACCAACTGGTCACTGTTAAAAATATTTCTGGCTAGAAATACAGAATGTTGAAACCACAGGTAGCCTTCTCATTATATCCTACATTGGTAAACACCCCGCCACAGTCTAATTTTGTGCCCTGTAATTTAAGAGGAAAGTGAACAACGTTTACTTCATAAAAGAGCAGTAACAGAAGAATGAACTTGAAACTGCCCTTATTTAATTGGTCAAGAAGCTCTAGAACCGTGTGTCGTCTAGTGCTTGCTGGCTCTTTCCTCTGGGTTTAAGTTTCATGAATGTTCTTGACAGCCTTTATAAATGATCATCAATATATTTGAGATAGTAAACCTTGGAGTACAGGGACTGAGTCAATTCCCTTGTTACCATTCTGCATAAATAGGTACTTTTTTTTATTTTTTATTTTATTTTAGTTCTATTTATTTATTTATTTATTTATTTATTTATTTATTTTTGAGATGGATTCTCGCTCTGTCACCCAGGCTGGAGTGCAGTGGCGTGATCTCAGCTCACTGCAACCTCCACCTCTCAGGTTCAAGTGATTCTCCCACCTCAGCCTCCCAAGTAGCTGCAACTACAGGTACCCGCCATCACACCCGGATAATTTTAATATTTTTATTAGAAATGGGGTTTCACCATGTTGGCCAGGCTGGTCTTGAAATCCTGACCCCAAGTGATCCACCCGCCTCGGCCTCTCAAAGTGCTGGGATTACAGGCATGAGCCACCATGCCCGGCCTACAAATAGATATTTTCTGAGCATTCTGTTTAATTGTATATCGAGATGGTGGCCATGTGTAGTGGGGAAAAAGAAAAATGGGTGGGAGAATTTTTGTAAATGTATTTAATTGGAAAAAAAATACTGAATACATGTTGATAAAGGAGAAGACTACAGATGCCAGTATGAATCTCTGAATGAGAAAATATTGAGAAATCTTACTATGATGTAACCAAGCTCTGGCCTAGATAAGAAAGGCAGTAGCGAACTCTAAGCTTCCCTAGGGATATAAAGAGATCAAAATTGAAAGGGAGACACCCTGACATAAATGTCTAAAACAGCAGACTCCCTGTTTTCCTGTGTTGTGTTGGCCAGATCTCTTCATTAACTATCTCCCATGCCTCCCCAGTATCAATAGTGGTTCATAATGATGACCTGGGGGCACAGCAAGATCTTGAAGTGCCCTCTGACTCATCAAAGAAATATTAAATTAAATGTATTTTCTGGTGGCCTAATTCTTTTAAAATTGGTAATCCATGTGTGGTATATATGATAATTCCCTATTAATTCAATCTTTGATTCAACCAGAGCAATATTTGAGTTATCCATTTCCCAACCACAGGAAAGAGTTGACGGTAGTTTTTAAAATGTAGTCAATCGCATCTCTATTGTATGTTGCCCAAAGAATTTACATAAGCACGGCAGAATATCCGTTGTTTTCTTGCTCTGTGATAAAAGTTCATTTTTAAAACCTCAAATTGCGATTTGTCAAAGTCCATTTGCCAGTTCTTTAACAATTTCAGCCAAATTGTAAATTGTATAACTGTCTGCATCATTTGCATACATAATCATGTTAGAGTGATGGTATAATCTGGGCACATCATTTATGAGAAGAAGGAACAATAGAAGCCAGCTTTCCATTCTTGGGATACTCAGAGTAATTTATTACAAGGCTGATGTTTTCTTTCTAATTTCCACCAAATGATCTCTTTTAGAATGATGAGCGCTAAGGACTGCTGTCCCTTGTGTATTATTTTTACTGCTTTCCTAATCTTGAATTGAAAGCCAAAATGAGCACCATGTTACAAAGCTGCTTCATTCACGCACACACACACACTCACAGCCACACGCGGTCATTTCAGTCCAAATAATATCACAAGAGTTCAATGAAACATCCTCCTCAAATGGTGCCCCATGTTAAATTAATTTAATCTCTGGATCTCGTTATTGAGGATTCTTTTTTCTGTGCATTGACAATTTGCCAATTGCTCGCTTCCTATTTTTAATCAATCTTGCAGATAATTTACCAGCTAACTAAATCGTTTTACTGGCCTATCATACTTCTGAACCCAACAGAGAGCAAAAGTAAATACAATCAGTCTTGTGTTGCGCCATCAGAAATTTATGATGACCCCAGGCAAGTAGCTTTCTGCAAGACTAATTTATGTATAGTCATATCTGTCACTGTGGCACTTGGACATGTCCTAGGCTTTTTTATTAGTTATTTCTAGTAACAACCCTGTGAGATCTCAAGGTGGGTTAGATATACCCTTTCTCGAGAGGCCTCTGAAATTGCATTAGATACCTACATTTTGGGACTCAGCCCTTCACTCAAGAGTATGGTCCAGACCATCAATCAGGGTCACTTGGAGTCCTAGGACTCTGAATCTCTGAGCAGCCCACACTCGTTATTCCACTTGCTAGTGTCTTACCCCACAATAAACACTGCAGCCCAGAGAGGAAATCACCTTCCTGGGGTCATAAAACAATTTAGTAGTAGTAAGATTAGGCTCCCTTGTAAGTTAATGGTTAATACAGACTCAGATAAGCATGGATTGAAATCCAAACTCAGCAGTCTACTCATGCAACGACTATGGGCAAGTTGCCTAACTCCTTTTGTAGCACTTTCAACCTCTTTAAAATGAGGAAAGCCGTGACTACCCTGCTGAGGTTATTGTGAAGGTTCAACTAGCAACAGCTCCCCATCCAAGTGTTGTGCTAGGCTATTTATGCTCTTTGCTGTGTTTAATCTGCACTATATCCTTGCAAGGTGGAAGGTTCCTGATACAAGGGGTATAGAGCTCCCAAGACAGCAGGGTTCCCTCAGGGACTGGTACCAGTCCATGGCCTGTTAGGAACCAGGTCACACAGCAGGAGGTGAGTGGCAGGTGAGCAAGCAAAGCTTCATCTGTATTTACAGCCATTCCCCGTCACTCGCATTACCACTGGGCTCCGCCTCCTGTCACAAGAGCAGTGACATTAGATTCTCACAGGAGCACAAACCCTATTGTGAACTGCACTTGCGAGGGATCTAGGTTGGGCACTTCTTGTGAGAATCTAATGCCTGATGATCTGTCACTGTCTCCCATTACCCGCTAGTTGCAGGAAAACAAGCTCAGAGCTCCCATTGAACCTACATTTTGGTGAGTTGTATAATTATTTCATTATATATTATAATGAATATAATAATAATAGAAATAATAATTTCTATAATAATAATAGAAATAAAGTGCACAGTAAATGTAATGCGCTTGATTCATCCCCAAACCATTCCCCCTACCCCCGACCCATAGTCCGTGGAAAAACTGTCTTTCATGAAACCAGTCCCTGATGCCAAAAAAGTTGGGGACCACTGCAGTGGAGAAAACCACCTCAATTGTCTTTCTTTCCTGTCTAAAAACCAACTGTTTATTTACTAAAAAAAAAATCTTGAAATTCGGAGAGGAATCTTTTCCATTCAAGTTGTAAAATCATAGGTTAACAGAGTTCAAAGTAATTTTGGCTTAACATACTCAAGTGCAGGCAGACAGCAATTGATGAAGCTCTCTGCTAATTCTTAGAACAATTCCAGCTTTCATATACCAGTCTGAAACTCACCAGACCCAACTCTCTCCCCTGAGGTATAGATGGACAATTGTCACTGGCTCAAATGGGAGTCATGCCCAGGTACCACTGAGCATTTGTAAATTAGTGATTTGATACACATAAGTCTCTTAGTACAGCCTATATACTGCAGTAAGTGCTCAGTAAGTGTTAGCTAGTATTATTACTATGAGCATTCACCTATCCCCAGCCCACCCAGCTCAGGTTAGATGGACCAGCTTTTTAAATATCCAAAGCTAGGAAGAGTCTCCTGTCCAGCTCAGAATTTGTTTGAATGGTTTTCACATGTTTTCTGGCCTAATGGTACCAAATAATTTTCCATAAATGTTTATGGAACAGAAACAAATATGCACCCACTAGGAACAAGGCATCATTAGGGATATAAAGATGGAGATTGAATTCTGACCTCAGAGAGCTTACGCTCTATTGAAAGAGAGAAGCAGGGCCTATCCATAATGCAAGTCAAATTGTGGGAATTTTAAAAAATAATGTCTGTATGTAAAGTACAAGAGGACTGGATGGGCCATGGAACTTTCTAGAGGAAGTGACATGAAAGCAGGGCCTTGAAGGATTAAGTCATCCTTCCTTCCTTCCAGCCATTTATCTCTCCACCCACCCTTCCTACTGAGTGCCTGGCAGTAAGCAAAAGGAATGCAAAGTCAGTTGATGCATAGTCTCGACCCTCAAGGCCATTCCAGGCATATGGAAGAGATACACGTGTGGGTCAGTGACTCCTGGACGACGGAGTAGATGCTGATAAAATAGGCACCAAGAGGCTGTGTGAGCATGGGGGAGGGTCTCCTAAATTAAAAGGAGAGATCAGGGAAGGCTTCCAGGAGGAGGTGATGCTTCAGCTAAATTTAGAAGACTAGGCTGGGAAGATCAAGAAGAGGGTAGAAGATAGGAACGAAAAAGAAAAAAAAAAGTTATGTCAAGGCGTGGAGGCAAAAAAAAAAAAAAAAAAAAGAAAGAAAGAAAGATGAAGCCTTGTGGCACCCCAGGTAGTTCAGAGTGTGCAGGAGGGCTGGGGATAAAAGCACAGTAAGGTGGGTGGGATGGTCATGACTTTGATGGGGGTGGAGGAGAGCAAAGGAGGTGGTCGTTCCAGAGAGAAGGACCTGCAAAATCAAAGGCAAAGAGATGTGAAAAGTGCATCACATGAAAGAAGGCCAACGAGCAGTGGAGTGTGGCTGGAGCAGAGGGTAGCAGAGAGGTGAGCCTGGAAAGCTAGACTGGGGCCGAAGTCCATCTTCCTGCTGTGGAATTCCTGTCTGGTTCCCTCAGCACCATCTGGTTGGCCCAGTCTCAGCATTACAGTGTAGTCATTTCGACTCCAGCAGCCCGAACATCTTCCCCTGCCATAGCGATGGTTTTACAACTTTGATTTTGATTCTGGGCCAAACTGGCCATATGGCTGGGCTGCCTTAGTACAGAAACTCTTTGAGCTATTCACCCTGGGTGAGGTTCATATTTTCTTCTCAGGCTTCATATTTCTCTTCCATGTGGCTTTTGATTGGTATTCTATTTTGGCCAACAGTTAATTTCAGAAAGAGATGGTTAGGAAATAACTAAGAGATGGGTGATTCAAAATGAACACATTCTTTTAATGGTGTTCATTCTAGAGAGTTTCAAGGGCTCAGAAATATTGAGTCTAGCCCAGGTTTTGGCCACATTTATGAATTCTAACAAGGGCAGTACTCTTACACATCACCCAGGGACAAAGAATGGGTGGTTGGCTACACAGACTTATAGTGAATAATATTGAGCTGAGATCTTTACATTTAAATGCCTTTTTTAAGAAAATGATTGTGAGTCACAGTTAAAAAAAAATGTTCTTCCCACTGATTTATGTTCTTGGTGTTTTCTGGGAATTTTGTCAATCTTCAGAGAAGTCTGATCATTTGTGGATTGTGTTAAATTCCTGAGAAACACTACCACGCCGTAAGTGGCTTTCATTCATCAATATGTAGGAAGCATGAAGGACAGGCAGCAATTCTTTCTAATAAGTTTAGTCCAGTAAATGCCTACTGTGCTTCTAGCTCTTTGTTTGGTATTGCAGATGCTAAGAAAATACAGTGACTATTCTTAAGGAGATTTCATGTAATTCAGCATTACCTGAACCAAAACGAAACAAAAATAGTGAATCTTCATCTTCATTATTATTTTTAAGGATTTTTCAGCTTCTCTCTTCTTGCTCTAGTAGAGCGTTTCTCATACCAAAGCAGTTGCACAGCCAAGTCTAAGATGCTTTTGCAGCATTTTCCTCTCACATGGACAACAAAATTGTTGAAGCCCTTTTAATTTAGTGAACCTGCCTAAGCATTCCAAATTTATTTCAGAATAAGTTTGAAACATGCAGATTGTTCACAGATAAAATTGTCCTAATTAATCAAGCCTCTTTGGGTTGAAACTAACTGTAACCAGATTCACATTAGCTTAAGTAAAAATGGCAGTGTTTTAATTCATAGACTAAAATGCATGGGGTTGGCTGCTTTAGGCTTAGCTGGATTCAACAGCTCAAACAGTAATATCTGACTCCCCTACTCTCCCCACACCTACTTTGGTTCTGTTTTCCTCTGTGTTTGCCTCATTTCCAGGTGGGCTATTGGCATGTGGTAGCCCCTGGCAGCCCAAACTCACATCCACCAGCATAAATACCCCAAGGGGACAGAGCCCCCCCATTGCCAATGGTTTCAGCAAAAGATCTTGCTTTGGCTCTCACTGTCTCAGCTCATGTCCATCACTGTAGACAAGGTGGTGTAGTGTCCAGCTGGCCTGGCTTGGATCAACCTAGAGCCAGGGAGTAGGGTCTGCCCTGCCCAAACCAAATGAACTGAGAGCAGGGAAAGGTGCTTCCCCATAAAAGAAATTTAGAGTGCACATTTCAAAAGAAAGGGAAGCAATACAGAGCAAGCAAGCACCATGTTCATTACAATTATCTCAGTACGTCCCAAGGCATTGGAAAATTGGGTGGTTTACATCAGGTGAAGGATGAATAATCATGAGCGTAACAGGTAATACATAATTAAAAAGTAAAGTATGTCATCAAAAAATTGGCTTTTAAAAAATATTCAAATGCTAAATAGCTCCTTTGATAGGATTATTTTCCCTGATTTCAACAAATTAACTATAATTGGTCCAGATGCTTTCTAAATTCACTTTAAGCTTAAAAAAAAAGTCTGTGATTTGTGAATTGGTTAGGTTCATTGTTTTGGAAGCATCCAGAAATGGTTTTCAGGTCATAGAGTTAGGTAAGCTACATGATACTGTGTAAACAGTCTGACATTTATCGGTTTTTTCAGACTATGGCTTCCTCACAGGGCCAATCTAAAATACACTTCTTCAAGGGATCTTTTATTTAATATCATTTTGTAGTGGAAGCATCAAGAGAATTCAATCCTATCTTTGGTTGAAAAGATATCATTTTTCATATGATTATTCGATAATATTAAATTTTCCTTCAAATGTATAAATCACATTCTCACCATAATTCTAAATATATAAAATAAAAATTCATGAAGGGGTTTTATGGCTGAAACAAAAAATATTTCCTAGTAATATATAGCAAAATAGCTGAGTAATTTTTTTAATTATAAACTTTTGAAGGCCAAATAATGAAGTCTGGATAGGAGACTTTAGAAATTCCACCAATTTAATACGATTTACTACTATTAATCAGAATTATACCTTTCTGCATAAGATATTCATTTTTTAGTTTTTATTCTTCTTCATAACACTGGTATGTTTTACTCAAAAACTCTCCAGAAGACACTTATTTTCTTCTATGTTTTTTCATCATGCTGACATTTTCCTTTACTTCCATTTCTTTTTTCCATGTGGAACCTTGATTACAACAAAGGCAAACACATATTTTACAAATTGACTAGTGTGGTGATTAATTTTTTAAAAGATCATAATAAATCCAATGTTACCAGCTTTCAGGTTACTTCATAGGCTTTCTTTTTTTTCACTAAGAACTGCCAATCTATAAAACTCTGTATTTCATTCTGGAAATAAAAGTTGCATAGACTTCAGTAGCATAACAAGAATGTGACAACATCCATTTTGGAGTTGGCCTCGTTCACCCTCTCACTGTAGCACCTGGAGGACTGTGATGTTACTTTCCATCCACCATGGCCTCCCAAAGGAGCCTGTGTTAGCAAGGAGACTCACCAATTTTTCATCATTCCAGAAAAGAATGTCTCTCTCTAGTGGACTCAGTGATCTTACCTTGAGGTGTTAAGAATCGCTAAGGGCTGTAAGGACTTGTGTAAATTACAGCCATGCAGAGAGGCGTTGAAAAATCAATAAGTAATGAAATAGTACTGGAGTGAAGTAGCCAAGAGAGCAATGGGTGGGAAACTCCCAAGGACGCAGTTTCATTTTGTCAAAAGGTAAAAGAAGATGTTCTGATGCATTCCTATAAAACCGGCTTCCTTGGAAACAAGAGGCTTTGGGCATAGATGGCAGCAGAGTCACTTTCATGGGCCATGGACTTGGTGCTACCGTTTCATTTTAGACAACCATGCATTTTATCCCACTAAAGCAATAAATATGGCAATTTCTTTGTCACCTTAGGTGTCTACCTGTCAGCAGGTTTTCTGTACTCTGGATACCTAAGTGTACCCCGTTACGCCCCATTCTACGAGGGACCAGCCACGTTGTCTACACAAACCGTCTTCTTCCTTTCTGATCATACGTTAGCAATCTTCTCCAGAATTTGATGGTATAGTTGAACCTGGACATCAGTTTCCAAAGTTTCCCCCCAATTCACAGATGACTCTAGAAATATACACCTGGAAGGTAAAACTCTCTGGTCTCAGCCTAATAGTCAAAGAGCTTTGTTTTGAACGGGACGTTCACAAAGTCGAGAGTCCCCGAGCTCACATTTGAATCTGTTTATTTCTTTTTCTTTTTCATTTAAAATGACATCCAATGTCATTGTTTTTGATGTTGATGGTTTGCTTTGAGAAGGCAGAACTGATTTTTTATAAAAAGGAGAGTCTGAAGTATTTGAATATAACAAGTAGGTTGGGGGAAAGAATCCAGTGCCGTTGGCTTTGCCTGGGAGAACTTGCTTCCCTCCTGCATCTGAGTGAAAGTCCCCTTTTGTTTCTGCCCTTCCCAATGATGACAGAAGCCCTTCGCTTCCAACATGTCCCTCTGGCATATTAAGGAAGTTTCTGTAGCGAGGATGAGCCACCAACTGAATCTGGAGGTCTAGATATAGGAAAAGGAAACCACAAAGATGTCACCCAAGAACTCATCTAAATGATGGGATTACATTTGCCTTTTGTGCCTCTTTGTTTTACATGCAGTTTCTGGCCTTTGTTTCTCGATAATCAACGAAAGCTAGAGAAGAACCCCAAGCTCTCACTTGAGTCTTAGAAATTCTACCGATTTATTTTGATTTATTACTATTAATCAGAATTATACCTTTCTGCATAAAATAAGCATTTTTTAGTTTATTTTCTTCTTCATAACACTGGTATGTCCAGCAATGGGGTTAAACTTCAAAAAAAAAAAAAAAAAGATACCAGCATGGAAGAGAATAAAGTAACCAATGGTATTCATGCAGTTAAAAGACTTACAGTCTTTGTGATAACGGTGACATGATTCTTCAAACACCAAATAAGGGGCTGGGCATGGTGGCTCACACCTGTAATCTTAACACTTTGGGAGCCTGAGGCGGGCGGATCACTAGGTCAGAAGATGGAGACCATCCTGGCTAACACAGTGAAACCCCACCTCTACTAAAAATACAAAAAATTAGCCGGTCATGGCAGCACGCGCCTGTAGTCCCAGCTACTCAGGAGGCTGAGGCAGGAGAATCACTTGAACCTGGGAGGCAGAGGTTGCAGTGAGCCGAGATCGTGCCACTGCACTCCAGCCTTGGCGACAGAGCAATACTCCATCTCAAAAAAAAAAAAAAAAAAAAAAAAAAAAAAACCACCAAATCAGATACTCTACTTATCTTCTTTTTCTTTACCGACACCCAAGTACATTTGGAACACTGACAAGAAGCATCTTTTATACCTGAAATAAAACAGGGTAATAACCATAAACTGAAAAGCACTGGGATTTGAACCAACGGCCAGCCCATTCCCAGCCCACTTAGTCTATGTCAAGTAAGGTTTGTGATAATGAATGAATGAGTTGTAATCATTGTTTTTTACCCTCAGGCTGTGTCTGCCTATAGTATGTAACATTAGAAATGAAGACATCTATCATGTTTAGTAGAAATACACATGATCAAATCCCAAAAAGAAAATACTTTTCTCTGAAATATCCAGATAAGTCATGGGGAAGTGGTTTAGGTGGTTTGAATTATCCGCTTAGTTGACTTTCCTCACCTCCTTGCATGAGCATATACAATCCAATTGCTTTATGTTTACTCATCATTTGCTACAATGTCTGGAGCAGGGTACTGAGATGAAAAATACAACAGACAACAGACATGGTACTTGGACCAATCACCATATCCACCTTGCTAGCTTGTCCTCTACTTCATGTGCTCATAGTAAATCCTTCCTAGTCACGCTCTCATGCCGTGGATATAGCAATACCCACCTCCTCCAACAATTCATCCATTGATGCCATTATCCATTGTTTATGACATTGTAACCACAGTAATGAATTGATATATCTTGATCTTTGAAATGCTTAGACAGGAGGCCACACATTATAAGAAAACAACAGTGTCAAGACTCAGTTCTATTCAGCAGGGGTTAGAAGTGGATATTGTGCAGAAAAATGCATTAAAGTTGAAGGGGGGGATTGTTTAACATGATGGTTTTAAAGACATAAACAATTATGGTGGGCAATAACTCCTTCCATCAGAAGATGGTAAAGACGCCCTACTTAGGCCAGGGTTGCTGGTGGTGTTCCAAGTCGTGCTACCAACAGGAAACACTAGGGGTCACCATGTCAATACCAGTGTCCCAGCTCCATGGCCCTCCAGAACGCCTACCATCAAGAGTCCTGGGCTCCCTGCTCATCCAAGGAATGCCACTTAGTGCCTTTCATGTGGCATGGGACCATTTGCAGTTATTTCAAGCATGGCTGAAATAGTGAGGTAGAGTCCTCTCAAAACCTCCTTCTGGTGAATGGTATTTTTTAAGTGCCACCTACACGTATGGGTCTATTATTTGGGCTAGATGTCATTATAAGGAGTGGACAGACCAGTCATTCAAATATGGCACATTTTCATTCCATAGCTACATGGGATTCCAACTCAGATGTTCTGCTAAAGCCAGATTCTCTCAAACCAGGAGAACACTTTTTTTTTTTTTCTGGCCAGGATGGACACTACTGTTGAGTGTTAAGCACAAAATTAATGTTTCCCTTGTCCTTTGTTTCTCAACTCTATGTTTTCAAGCCCCAGTTCAGAATTATTTTTCAGAGAAGAAATGTAAGCAGTTGTCTATGATCTACAAATATGGCGTCACTAGGCTGTATCGAAGTCCGTAGCCATCAGGATGGGAAATTGCTAACCCAAGTCCACAGGGAGCTCCCAAGCTCACTGTGATATGATTTCTGCGCACTCCTATTGCAGTCTTGAGGAAAATCTGGCCCTCCCCACCACCCCAAGGAGGAAGCTCTAGATATCCCATTCGGGGTAGAGCTTCTGAAGCTTGGGATTAATTAAAGCAGTTGAAGACCTGTGAAGAGCAATTAAACTGCACCAACCCCCACCCATCCCCCCTCCAAAAAAAAAAAAAAACTATTTCAAGAGAAACAGATGGCACTTGATAATAATGGTAAGATCACAGCCTAGATAAAGTACACTTCTAAGTCAAAATTAATTTTACAGCTTCTGGTGTTTTACACATTCTCTTTGTTTCTGTTTCATTAACTTACTGAGTACCTAATATGTACACGGCATGTGTGTTAGGCAATGAGGGAGATACAAAGATATACACGTATAAAGATGGTAACTAGTGGTTGCTACATTATCTTTCCTCTCTGCACCATTGGTGTAACTGCCTGACCCAAATCCATCTCTTCTGCAACCACCGCTTCTCTCCCACCTGTTCAGTCAGGCCCCTCACTCTCTCTAGCACTTCCTGCCGTTCCTGATTCCCCTTCACCAACCTTTACCTGTCCTATTTTTTTTGCTTTCTAGCCACTTAAATTGGATATAATAGTAAAGACACAGGCCAGGCGTGGTGGCTCACGCCTGTAATCCCAGCACTTTGAAAGGCCAAGGCAGATGGATCACAAGGTCAGGAATTCAGGACCAGCCTGGCCAATATGGTGAAACCCCGTCTCTACTAAAAATACAAAAACTAGCTGGGTGTGGTGGTGCATGCCTGTAGTCCCAGCTGCTCGGGAGGCTGAGGCAGAAGAATCACTTGAACCCAGGTGGCGGAGGTTGTAGTGAGCCCAGATCACACCACTGCAGTCCAGCCTGGGTGACAGAGCAAGACTCCATCTCAAAAAAAAAAAAAAAAAAAAAAATAGTAAAGACACAACCATATTTTGTAGTATTTCTGTATCTTCTCTGTACTTAATTTTCCAAACAGGTATTTGTTTCCCTAAGAAAAGAAAATGCAGATATTTGATTTTTTCGGAAAAAATCAGTTTTTCCTGTGGGTTATCAGCCCTTAATAGAAAAAACAAAGGGTCCTCCCCTTCTCCCTTTTCCAAACCATATTCATGGTTTGGTGAGAAAGTGATTTAAGAAATTTCCATGTGGCAAATTAATTTTGCAAAGCCAATGGTATAGAAGTAGAGAAATAAATCAAGAACATGCAAAAGGTGGTATTTGTTAAGTAGGTATTTGGAGAGACTTGAAATATGCTTCTGTCTAACCTGAAAATGAAACTCTTGTGGGTCTAACCCTTAATTCCTACCAAATTATAATGAGGTCATCCAGGTAGAATCCTAGCGAAGGGTATGTTTGCTATTATTTGTTTTTTGATTCAGGTTCTTGCAAACCCTAGCCTATAAACACCATACTTAAGAGAGTTCTTCATAAAACTTAAAATAAGGAAACTTCCACTATTAACTGAGAGGTTCATGACTTTGACCTTCCATTTCTCCAGAATTAGGAATTCTTAACAAAGTGACTCTTGGCTATTCACAATTGCCATGGAAATAGAGGCAAAGAGAAAGTTTCTCCAGGATTCTCTCAGAGCAGTGTGAATTGGGTGTGGACAAAAATTGCAATGACATGCATCAAAGGCATACCACTCAAGAAAAAGATTTATGAAGCCTAGCTTGGGTTCAATTATATCATACATTTTCTTTCTTTTTTGGACCTCTAGTTGACGTAACCATAATATAATTTTATTATACCAGATACTTTTCCTTACTATATCCAAAACTGTACTTGGATGATCCTGGTGACCTAGCAAGTAAGAAGGCAATAAGGTTGGATGCAGTGGCTCATGCCTGTAATCCCAGCACTTTGGGAGGCCAAGGTGGGAGGATCACTTGAGCCCAGGAGTTTGAGACCAGCCTGGATAACATGGTGAAACCCCATCTGTACTGAAAATACAAAAATTAGCTGGGGGTGGTGGTGCACGCCTATAGTGCCAGCTACTCTGGAGGCTGTGGTGGGAGGATTGCTTGAGCCTGGGAGGTCGAGGCTGCAGTGAGCCATGATCGCACCACTGCACTCCAGCCTGGGTGACAAAATGAGACCCTGTCTCAAAATAAATAAACAAAATAAAGGAAGGCAATAAAATAAAATAAAAAAGAAGTTCCTAAACCGGGGTCTATGAACCCCAGCAATTCCATGGATGGGTTGGAACACCCTGAAGATATATGTGAAGTTTAGGGGCATATGTTAACTCTTCAGCAGAGAAAGTTCATAACATTTGTCATACAAGCCGTGGCCCTCAGAAGCTTAAGAACCCACTGGACTAGAGGGTCCTAGCGAGGTCTTTCAGAAACGAATCAGGCTTCATCACTGCATGGACCACAAACATTTGACTCATGACGATTATACTGTCACTACATCTTGAGTGTATACCATGTGCCAGGGCATGGTTTAAGCATGTGGTGCATACTTACACAATCCTTATCAGATGGGAATTCCTATTATCCCCACTGTACAGCTGAGGATGCTGAAACACAGAGAGGCAGGCGGCTTCCCAAGGACATAGGAGGGAAAGTGGCAGAGTTAGAATATGACCAGGGTCTGGCCCCATAGTCTGTGGGGTTTAACAAACTGCTTCACCACTATGCAGTACTGCCTCTTGACTAAAGGCTCCTCCCAGACAGGGGTTGTCCCCTTTCAAAACAAACCAGAACTGAGGGTCTAAGGAACTGTGAACCCTACAAAGTGAGTCAGATAATATATACCTTAACTTGCTTCACTCCAGTCCTTACCCCCAGGATACTGGAAATTCAGGGGGATCCCAGCAAACTGTCAACATGTTCCTTGGTGCCAGGGAAAATGCCAGGGGCAGCAGCAGAGCTGGTTGAGCATCGACCTTCAGGACTCTTCACACCTGACATTTGACTAGCACTTTCTGTTGGCAGTTCACCGCCCCCATCTCTCCTTTCCTCAGTTGCTCCCCAACTCCCCTGCAAAGCAGACAGGGTGGAGATTATGTTACAGGCTAGAAAACTGAGGCCCAGAGAGGTGGTGCCTTCCTGAGTGAGGGTCACAAGACTAGGTTATAGCAGAGCTGTGAATAGGACCCACATCTTCAGGCCCCCAGTAACAATTCTCTTTCCACTGCTCTTTGCTGTCTCATCCACCAATATCACTTGGCACTGAAGAACAGGGTACCCCGAAAAGCAGGAATTCCACGTGCATCCACCTTTCCTGCAGAGGGCACATTTTTGTTTGTGAGCCTGTAGGAGGCATCACCCTGAACCCACGCAAAGCACTTTCCTTCCATTATTTCATTTAATCCTCAAAACAACCCAATGAGGTGGCTATTATTCCTCCAGTTTCACAGACAGGGAAACTGAGGCTTAGCAGCATAGTTAGGAAGTTGCAGACTTTAGACCCACTTGTGTCCAGCTCCCCACCATTTGCTCTTCCCTGTTGGGCCAGTCGATCGCCCAAGGAGACAAGAAAAAGGAGAGGGAAGGAAATGAATGACCCCATTTGTGCGATGAGCAATGCCTTCCACCTTCTCTGAGGACGGACAAATGGAAATCTGCTTAAAGCACCAGCGCATGAGGTTAAAATTAACGAGGACAATTACGAGCGATTAGTCACTGGAGTGGTGCTCCACGGGCTTCTTCAAAAACAGGATCAGCCCTCACTCACTTGGACCTAGCACAGAGGAGCCATCCAAGAAGTCTTTTTCTAGGCCTGTGATTCTGTGATTAACTCTTTTAAAGGAGCCAGACAGCTCAGACGCATTAGAAACAAAGACTCCATTTCTCAGGAGCTGTCGAGTCCAGCGGATCCTGAGTAACTTTCTTTGGCACCCGGTGATCATGAAATTAACACCAGGGCCGCTGGCACCGGATCACTCTCCTCTGTTGTGTCCCGGGGAGGGGAGAAGTCACTCAACCTTTTTTGTCCAGAAATCCCAGGAAGCCAGGGCGGCGGGTGGTTTGGGTTTCAGCACCTCTCAATGCCTCATTTCAAACAGTCACTCTTCCTAAATTTTCATTCATTCCAAGGTCCTAAGAGAAGCATCCTGAACAGACGCAGAGGGGCAGGGAGGGCTTTGCAACGGCGGTGGGATAGGGTGTTTGGGGAGGAGATCAGTGGACATCTGATCCCAGGGGCTGAGACTTCCAGAGCTGGAGGGAAGGTAGCAAGTGAGGCTCATGTGCTAGTGCCAGGGAGGAAGGCACCCCTCTGTCCCCAGATCCCCTCGGAATAAGAAGAAAAGCAACCTGAATAGTTTTGCGTGAACCCCCCACCACACAGCCAAGTAGGGCGACTGAGCTGCTGCCAGCAGCACTTCTAACGGGGGAGGCCCAGGGTGCTGCATGTTTGATGTGTTTGGTGGGTCAGATTCCTCTTTGTGGAACCTTCCCTCTGCTCCCAACATATGTCCACTAAAGCGTGTTTGCACAGCATGAGGAGGCCTGGCCCCACCGCGGCTACAAGCCAGAGAGGCCAGCTTTTCTCCTTCCCCTCTTTTAAGAGATTCCCAGGGCAGCCCAGTGCAGGTACCTGACCCCAGACCACAGGGAATTCAGGGTTGTCTTCCCGCAGAAAAAAAAAAGAAATACAGCTCTGTATTGTCTCTGAAAGAGCCGTGGGTGAGAGGGGACCAGAGAGAGATCAGACTTACTGCCACTGTAAAGAAAAGGTGAGAATCTGGGGGGAAAAATCGAGTAGGATGGAGGTGACCAAACGGGAGGGGTTTGGTTTGGTTTTTTGTTTTTCTGCAGCATTTCCTCTTTTGGAGATCTAAAATCTGCAAGCGTTACGTCAAAGCTTTCTCCAAATGACTTGATGAGGGTTTTTCTGTTGTTGGGTTGTTGTACCCCCGGGACTCATTGGGATGGCAGGATAAAAATTAATTAGAGGCAGTTTGGAAGGGGCTTTGCAAGACAGCCTGAGGCTACGCTTCAGTCTGGTTGTTAGAAGCAATATCATCACCGCCTCCTTGCCCAGCGAACAGACCTGTGCTGGGGCGGCCGGGGGGAGCCACGGAACGTTCAACACAGACATCAGAGCCAAGACTTCCTCCCAGAGAGATTACTTACCACAAACCAGTGGATCTACCTGCTGACAACCTCAGAAATATGTCTTGTTTCATTTTCAGATTTTTAAGAGGGGTTGCATAGAAAGCCCACAGAATCCTGATGAAACAGCTCCTGCAGGAGGGGCTCTGCCTCTCCCACGCCTCTGAATATGACATCAGGCTGGGCAGAGCCACCACACAGCCACCAGGAAAGCAGGATCCTTTTCAGCCATGGATTTGGTCCCATTTTTAGGGGGTAGCAAACTAAAAAGGGTTTTTAGTAAGCCAACACGTTTCCCCTAACCAATGATTATTTCAAATTCCGGCAATTTACAAAAAAAAAAAAATCCAGTCCCTCTTCACCCTGGTCTCTATCCTTCTCCCTTTTCTTCCTTCGCCCTGTAGTCCCTCATGTCCCCACTCTGCTCTCCCCCACACATAATCCTCCTCTACCTGAGACACTGGTTCGGTGAGTGACCTTGGAGTCTGATTAATTGGAAACTGGCTCCTTAAATCCGGATAAAACGGTTCAAAGCATGATATCAGTGCTGGCATTTCATCAGCCACAACAAGTAGCTTTTCCAGCTGTGTATCTCACCCTGGAAATGGAGACAGAAAAGTGAACAGATGCCTGGGTCCCCTTCTTACGCACACCTTCACTGTCATGAAAGATCCTCTTCACTTATGTAATAGAGTGTGTCTGCAGGCCAGTGTAAAAATGTAAGCTAGTTTGTCCTTATAACATTTTCTATGATGCAAGCAATCATTAAGTTCCCTGTTTTATGGCTGGAAAAACTGAAATTGTTCTTCTTTCCCATGTCCAGAAAAAGGCAATCTATGTGTGAGCTCAAAGAAAACTTGGAAACTCCTAGTGCCTGTCCCCATTCTCTCTAAACTTAGCTGTGTCTTTTTTATTCCTATAATTGTTTCCTTGCATCATAGTGGGGATGGGGGTGGGCGAAGCCAATGGGAACAATTACCAAAGGAAAAACAGCAACTTCTTCCCCCACACAGCCACTTCCAAAATGAATTCACCAGCTGTGTAATACGAAGTCACACCATTACACATGTCAGCAGCTTCCTGCTTCCAAAGGTGCGTTCCTTAAGGTGAGTCTTAGTCCCTTGGCCTCAGATAAGGAGTGGTCAAGATGCTCACTCTATCTTATGAAGAAACAAAAAGACTTCTTCCTAGGGAGGCTCACCACTGACGCTGAGCACTTGGCTTCTTTCAAGAGTGGATGTGAGATGTTGGTGAGCCCATAACATCACCTCCATTTCTCAATTGTGTGTCTTTAGACTTTTAGTTTTTAATTTTTTTTTTAATTTTTTTAGAGATGAGGGTCTCCCTATGTTGCCCAGGCTGGTCTTGAACTCCTGGGCTCAGGTGACCCTCCTGCCTCAGCCTCCTAAAGCACTAGGATTACAGGCATGAGCCACCATGCCTGCCCAGTCCTTACACTTTCACCATACAGACAAGGAGGAGTTCCCGGTACACGGAGATGCTCATACCTTGTTGGTGAGCTCAGGGGGAATGCCCAAGACAACTCCTTCCCCATTTGCTCCCTACCAAAGAGAGGTGAAAGGAGAGATGCCAGGGCTGCCCTCAGAAACCACATCCAGCCTAAAGTGGGCATCAAGGAACATGGCTGCAAAAAGCAAAATCCTCTCCACTCACTGCTTCCAAAACTAACCAGTCTGCCTCAGAATCAATCTTCTGCTTTATAAGCAGCCGGCATATTTAGAACCATGGAAATTAAAGACGGAAAAGACCTATTAAGTCTTCTAGATCATTCCCTAGGGTCCAGTGCCGGCTCGTTCCCTGTAGTACATTTGTTATTGCTATGTCAGGCCTAATTTCAAGTGTCTCAAGCAATAAACGTAAAGGAAGCAATGACAGTGGCATCTGCCGACCCCAGTGAACAATGATCACGTGATTAGAATTCTGCTAGCTGCTCACTGGCCTTTGGCATGCCCGGAAAGGGTTTGGAATCCCCGGGGTGTGGCCCAGCAGCTTCTAGAAGGTAGAGACGTTGGAGAATGTCTTCACCCTTTTATGTTAAGCAGGATAACATACTGCCTCTTAGAAATACCCAGATGTGGGCGGGCGCGGTGGCTCATGCCTGTAATCCCAGCACTTTGGGAGGCTGAACTGGGTGGATCACAAGGTCAAGAGATCGAGACCAGCCTGGCCAATATGGTGAAATCCTGTCTTTACTAAAAATACAAAAAGTAGCCAGGCGTGGTAGCTTGCGCCTGTAATCCCAGCTACTTGGGAGGCTGAGGCAGGAGAATCGCTTGAACCCAGGAGGCGGAGGTTGTAGTGAGCCAAGACCACGCCACTGCACTCCAGCCTGGGCAAAAGAGCAAGACTCCATCTCAAAAAAAAAAAAAAAGAAAAAGAAATATCCAGACGCTAGCCTCCCTGTAAATAGCCATAGGGGAAAAAGTGAGAACCTAAGTGTTTCAGGATTTGTTCTGAAACTAAACAAATCCTACCCCTGGGAATCTAACATTTTCTCTCTCAGGTTTTCTTCTGGTTTGGTCACCAGTCAACAAAGCCACCTTTCCAACAGTAGCAAAATAGCGGAAATATTTTCAGAGATGCCAGGGCTTTATTCTACAACATGCAGGACCAAGTGATAGGAAAATAAGGGCAGGTGACTTCACAATAGTTTAGTCAGGGTTTTCTGAAAAAACTATTTCTCTCTTTGTCCCTGTTTCCCCACTAGAGAGGAAGCAAGTCAAATTCACCATCTCAGGTGAGAGTGTCTTCACAGGAAGGTGGACCGAAGCTCATCAGCTCGAGAGGACAAAGGGGTCCAAACAGAGTATTGGCAAGGTTCTTTCTCCTTCTCTATTTTGAAATGGCTGCAAAAGTCCCTTTAGGGACCCCTTTTAAGGGCTAGGCCTGGTGACTCATGCCTGTAATCGCAGTGCTTTGGGAGGCCGAGGCCGGAGGATCGCTGCAGCCCAGGAGTTAGAGGCTGCAGTAAGGTAAGATTGTGTCACTGCACTCCAGCCTGGGTGACAGAGCCAGACCCTGTCTCTTAAAAGGAAAATAATAATAATAAAGATATCCCTGTTAAAAATTCCAAACCTGGCCGGGCACAGTGGCTCATGCCTGTAATCCCTGCACTTTGGGAGGCCGAGGCAGGCGGATCACAAGGTCAGGAGATCAAGACCATCCTGGCTAACAGAGTGAAACCCCGTCTCCACTAAAAATACAAAAAATTAGCCAGGCGTGGTGGCAGGCGCCTGTAGTCCCAGCTACTACTTGGGAAACTAAGGCAGGAGAATGGCATGAACCTGGGAGGCGGAGCTTGCAGTGAGCCGAGATCACGCCATTGCACTCCAGCCTGGGCGACAGAGCGAGACTCCGTCTCAAAAAAAAAAGTTCCAAACTTTTGCATTATAAAGCCCAGCTCTGTTATGCAACGTGGGTGACGTGAAAAGGAGTGCTTTGTCCAATGTAGAAACCACGCCAACAGTTTCTCTACACCAAGCATCATGAAAGTGTCACCACTTCACGTGAACAAAGCCAGGATCACCCAAAGAGGGCAAATCGCTGTCATCCAAAGAGACTCGCCTGCTCCATTTCTGGTCTAGAGGATGAGACCCGTTTTCTTTACCAGATACTTTAAGCAAAACTGAACTTTGAAAAGCCTGAAGTTTAACTCACAGGCCAGCAGCACATTCACTTCTGAAATGCCCCCATCTGCCACAGGAGTCTCACCACACTCCTTTTCTCTTTCCTCTAAAACATTATCTCATCTCGGCATTGCAGTTTTTTTAAGTTCAATGTCAATAGCTAGTTAGGAGAGGGCAGGGGGGTCAGGGATTAGGACTACAAACTGTCCTTGACGTTTCTCTGTAGGCTGATCTGCTGTTTGCATCAGCCCAATTTAAAAAAAAAAAAATCCCTCTTTACTATCTGAGAAAAGATCAGAACAGGAAAATGTCAGCTTGAGAGCTGACAGAATTCTGATAAGAATGAACTGGAAATAAGAGAAAGAAAGGAAGAAATGCTGTCACTCAAAGAAGTTGTTAATTTAATGTTTTTAGACAAACACATTTCCCACTGAGTGAGTGTGTGTGTGTGTGTGTGTGTGTGTGTGAGACATACAACTTGTCCATCCCCCCGCCTCTCTTCCAAACCCTCTTCTTGAGAGAAAGCCTGTCTATTTTGACTTGATTTGATTTGATTTCCACAGTCTTTCCACAACCTTTGAAAGATCTGGAAGGGTCAACCTTTCTGGCCTGAAAGCTGTGAGCACATTCACTCCTACAGAATTTCTTCTAAGCCCTGAAATAGTTTCCCGTTTCAGTAGTATCTGTACATATTTTTAGAGTTAGAGAGATAATTTAAATTCTTAGGCTTAATTGAACCAACAGAATGGAGAATGGAGTGCTACAGATGGAAACATTTTCCAAGAGTGATGACCTCTGAGGTCAAATTTAATACCTACATAATAAAGGCTTGACAATAATATAATGGGCATTGTTTCTGTTGCCCTATTTTTTTTAACTTGTGTAACAACTTTATCGTTAGGAGAAATGGCTGGTGTTTTTAAATATAGGATGGATGAAACATCGAAATGCGACCCCCATTAAAAGATATGTTTTTCATGAAGAAAAGGCCAAGTTCTTTGATGCATAAAACACTCAATAGGAGTTAAGTGTTTTGAGTGAAAAAAAAAAAAAAAACTTTTCCTGGAAACTAGGGAATTGGCTGGTATATCCACAAAGTGTTTCTTGAGTACCTACTATATACCTTGCACACTACTGGGTATTTTATGTCGTCTCAGTTCACCCTCTAATAACTCTACGAGGCAAATGCTATTGTCCATATTTTGCAGTTACAGAGAGTGAGCTAGGTGAGGGGGGTTCTATTCACGATCACACAGCCTAAGGTGTGACAGACCCAAGGTACACACCTGGTAGGGCAGCAGTCCCAAATCTTTTTGGCACCAGGGACCAGTTTCATGGAAGGCAGTTTTTCCACAGATGGTGAGGGGGCATGGCTTCGGGGTGATTCAAGCATGTTCCATTTATTGTGCACTTTATTTCTATTATAATTACATTGTAACATATAATGAATTATACAACTTACTATCATGTAGAATCAGTGGGAGCCCTGAGCTTGTTTTCTTGCAACTAGATGGTCCCATGTGGGGGTGATGGGAGACAGTGACAGATCATCAGGCATTAGATTCTCACAGGGAGTGCGCAACCTAGATCCCTCGCATATGCAGTTCCCAAAAGGGTTTGCGCTCCTATGAGAATCTCATGCCGCTGCTGATCTGACGGGAGGCAGAGCTAAGGTGGTAATGAGAGGGATAGGGAGCAGCTGTAAACACAGATGAAGCTTCACTTGCGTGCGCACCACTTACCTCCTGCTGTGTGATCCGGCTCCTGACAGGCCATGGACCAGTACTGGTCCGTGGCCCGGGGATTGGGGACCCCTGTGGCTGGGGATCTAGGGGGCCCATGTGTACAAGTCGTGTCCTGTCCTTAATAATTTCATCTCGTGTCATTATTCACTTTGTCAAAATGCCCAAATTGTCCTGCATTCAGCTATTTTTAATACATTACAAAAATTCATTAGAGCAATTCTTCAAATTTAACTGGGAGTCAGTTTTGCATTTTTATGTGCTAAAACTGACAGCCCCAACCTCTGAGTCTCACGCTCTCAAATCCAGAGGTTTGCCCATTCCACACAAAAGGAATAGCTTTTGGGGGATACTTGCTTACTCCTTGATAAAGCAAACACTGTATATATTAAGCTTGATCTATAGTAGTTAAGAGTGTGGGCTCTTGACTCAGTTAGACTTGGGTTCCGCCCTTTGCTCTGCCACTTGCAAGCTGTGCAACGTTGGACAAATGTCTCAACCTCCCTGAACCTCAGGTTGCCATTTGGTAAAATGAGGACAGGAATAATGCTTACCTCATACGGTTACATGGGGATTTTAAAAGAGACTGCATATAATAAGACAACCCACTTCCCGGCACATAGTAGGTGTTCAAGAAATATTAGCCATCACCTATGCCCTCAACATCATTCTAATATGGCTCTTATAAAGCACAGCTCTGCTCAGGTCGTCCCTTCTTTAAAATATTGACTGCCTATAAGAGATGGTACATGTAGTCCCAGCTACCAGGGAGGCTGAGGCAGGAGGATCACTTGAGCATAGGAAGTCAAGGCTGCAGTGAGCTATGATGATAGCACTACACTCCAGCCTGGGTGACTGAGACGCTGTCTCAGAAAAAAAAAAAAAAGAGATGGTGCATGTTCCTTAACTTTGCACACAATATCTGCTGTGCACCGGCCCTGCCGATCTCACCAGCCTGGTTCCTACTTTCACACACGGGAGATAATCAATGAATGTTTCTCAGGATAACCTGTTGAATTTCAGGTCAAAATTGAAATTCACTCTGAATTTCATTAAGGGAACAATTATGTTTTCAGGTTTACGTTTGACATTTTTTTTCTCCCAAATAGGGTTTCACTGACATTGAATCCTTGGGCCTCCTCATCCTTGCAAATGGATTTCACTTTTAATTAAAGATGCCAGGCAATCAAGGATGTTCTAGGACCCTGCAAGCAAGAACCCCACACTGGGGTGGCCGGAATGCTAGGGAGAGTGTCCCTAGGAAGGTTTTTCCCAGGAAGAGTCGAGATTTTGACTCTCCACCTGCCCCACAGGCTCACGACCTGCCTTTCCCTCTGGCTGAGCCCATTTGAAATAAATCCCCACTTGGGCAGTGGCAGAGCACCTCCTGGCTTAGAAGCAGCCAAGCCATAAACACAAAGAAGGAATTTTACTGGCTCATCCTCACCTCACTATTTTATTGTCTGTCTGGCATTTCCACTTCCACTGCCTTCTCCTGAAAACTGACAAAAATGTCTTCCATGAAACCCTCGCTTGGATTCACATTGGCTGCAAAGGTCTGCAGGTGGCTGCATTGCTGTCTCTTGATCACTCTGAAAGTAGAGGTGTGGGCCCCTGCCTGGACGCATCCATCACTGACTGGAGGAAACACTGGTGACACCACTGAGCCACGTGGCAAGCCCTAGCACCCCTGGAGGTGGGACAGGGTAGATGGTGAGGTCAGAAGGGAGGGTCTGGTCACAACCCGAAAGAGCCCATATACCTCTAGGAGAGAAAAGACGCAGTAGACCAAAAGCCTGGGGTGCTCAAAGCCAAGGACACAGACCAGGCCTCTTCTTTAGAGACACATGGTCCGCATCCCTGAGGCCCTGCTCTTTACAGATTCATGCGCTGGCAAAAGTTCTAAATTGCTGCCAGTTTCACAACTGTTTTTAATTTAAAGGGCTCCAGGCCATGATATTCCAGGGCAAAGAGAGATTTTTTCAGCAAGCAGAGCATAAGAACGAGATCAGAGCGCCCCCACGGTTCGCAGGAGCCGACCTCACCTTCCCAGCTCCCGAAATCGTCATTAATTTCTCCCCATCTCCAAAACGCACTTCCGCTCACAGATAAGGACGCACCCTGGAAACCATTCAGAGGAGGCTCACAGAGGGCAGAGCAGTCAGGCGCAGCAGCTATAAACATAACTTCCTTTAGGAAAAAAAGTAATAAAGGATAGCGCAGAGTTTTCCCAAACGTAAGACAGCGTGTGAAGTCTGGGCTGTAGCCCCAACCATCTCCAGAGGCTGATGGAGAGAGATGGGTTCAGTGACAGCCGTGAACAAGGAGTTCAGTCACTCAGACAGGGAACATTGGATGGACCCCTTCAGGGGGAAAACACAAAGAAACACCCACCTCACTTTACAGTAATCCAGTTGCAAAAGGACCAGAGAGCAAGCCAGGATCATTCTCCAGACATTTTATTATCCACTGCTGCCTTTTAAAAGGCAAAGGGTGAACGTCTATCTTTTTTTATTTTTATTTTTTGCATTTTTATATATTTAGAGGGTACACATGCAGGCTTCCTACATGCATATATCACACAGTGATGAAGTCTGGCTTTTAGTGTCCGCATCACCCAAATAGTGAACATTGTACCTAAGAGGTAATTTTTTTTGTTTTGTTTTAGACGGAGTCTTACTCTGTTGCCCAGGCTGGAGTGCAGTGGCACGATCTTGGCTCACTGCAACCTCTGCTTCCTGGGTTCAAGCAATTCTCCTGTCTCAGCCTCCCGAGTAGCTGGGACTACAGGCGCCCACCACCACACCCCGCTAAATTTTGTATTTTTAGTAGAGATGGGGTTTCACCATATTGGTCAGGCTGGTCTTGAACTCCTGACCTGAGGTGATCCACCCACCTCGGCCTTCCAAAGTGCTGGGATTACAGGCGTGAGCCACCACGCCCGGCCCCAAGAGGTAATTTTTCACCCCTCCCCCCTCCCGCCTTTTGCAGTCTCCAGTGTCTGTGATTGTAATCTGTATGTCCATGGGTACCCATTGTTTAGTTCTCACTTAGAAGTGAGAGCATGCAGTATTGGACTTTCTGTTTTTCAGCTATTTCAGTTAGGATAATGGCCTCTAGTTCTATTCATGTTGCTGCAAAAGACATGATTTCATTCTTCTGATGGCTGAATATTATTCCATGGTATATACACACATTTTCTTTATCCAGTTCTTCATTGGATAACACTTAAGTTGATTCCATGTCTTTGCTATTGTGGATAGTGCTGTGATTAATACATGAATGCACATGCCTTTCTGATGTAACGATTTCTTTCCCTTTGGGTAGATACCCAGTAGTGGGATTGCTAGATCGGATGGTAGTTCTATTTTTAGTTATTTGAGATCTCCATACTGTTTTTTTTGTTTTGTTTTGCGACAGAGTCTCTCTCTGCCACCTGGGCTGGAATGCAGTGGCACGATCTTGGCTCACTGCAACCTCTGCCTCCCAGGTTCAAGCGATTCTCATGCCTCAGCCTCCCGAGTAGCTGGGATTACAGGCATGCGCCACCACACTCAGCTAAGTTTTGTATTTTTAGTAGAGATGGGGTTTCACTGTGTCGGCCAGGGTGGTCTCGAACTCCCAACCTCAGGTGATCTGCCCGCCTTGGCCTCCCAAAGTGCTTGGATTACAGGCGTGAGCCACCTCACCCGGCCCTCCCTACTGTTTTAGAGGATGAGCTTCTGAATGCTCTAGTTGGGATTTTCTTCACCTGAACTTCCTCCCAGCTCTGAGGAAAAGGTCAGAAGATTCTGAGCCTTGTCTAGCCTATTCTGTACCCTTGTATCATATGAAACAAGCTGCCCTCCTCTGGAGGAACAATTAGAGAAGAGTGCTCCCACTCAGTAAACAAAACCCGAAGGACTGCTGGCTTGAATAACCAACTTCTCCTCAGTGTGAAGAAAAAGTTACCTGTCCCTCTTGGTGGATGCCACCCTGAGTCAGGGCTTGCATGGCAGATTGGCAGGTAGAACATCAGCTGCTTTCAGCCCACAATTGTGCCTTCAGCTGGTGCCTTTACATAGTTCACAGAACGCCCAACCACACACAGCAGCCCTAACGGGAACTATATCCCCAACAGACTTCTGTTATTTCTTGACATTGCATAGATGATCATCTCCCACCTCCCAATCATTAAAGCTCATTTGTCCCAGAACACGTTTGCTCAGTTCTCTTTAAGTGATGATTGTATATTCACAGTCAAGGGCACAAGAAGAGGGGATAGAACTTGGGTTACAAGGGCAAAATTTAACCCCGAGACTACTCATGAATAATGGAACCAGTGGTGACATTAAACAGCCTTTTGTGAGTTTCCCCCATTCATGAGACATAAACCTATACTGCCCTTTATCAGGATACAGTGGTTTGGGGTGATGGTCCTAATCCCACAGACAGAGCTGGCAAGAAGAAATCCATGGGGCTCTAAAAACTAGCTGCAGCTGGCTGGGCATGGTGGCTCATGCCTGTAATCCCAGTACTTTTGGAGGCTGAGGCAGGCAGATCAGTGGGTCAGGAGATGGAGACCAACATGGAGAAACCTTATCTCTACTAAAAATACAAAAATTAGCTGGGCATGCTGGCGTGTGCCTGTAATCCCAGCTACTCAGGAGGCTGAGGCAGGAGAATCGCTTGAAGCAGGGAGTCGGTGGTTGCAGTGAGCCGAGATTATACCACTGCACTCCAGCCTGGCAACAGAGCAAGACTCCATCTCAAAACAAAACAAAACAAAACAAAACAAAACAAAACAAACAAACAAAAAAACTAGCTGCAGCCTTGCTTCCAAAGCCCTGCCTACACAAATTACTCCAAGACATTCCCAAAAGGTATTTCTCTGACTCAAGGAGAATGCCATTTAAAGAAGCACAATGGGCCAGGCGCGGTGGCTCACGCCTGTAATCCCAGCACTTTGGGCGGCCAAGGCGGGTGGATCATTTGAGGCCATAAGTTTGAGACCAGCCTGACCAAAATGGTGAAACCCTGTCTCAACTAGAAATGCAAAAATTAGCTGGGTGTGGTGGTGCGCACCTGTAATCCCAGCTACTCAGGAGGCTGAGGCACGAGAATCGCTTGAACCCGGGAAGCGGAGGTTGCAGTGAGCTGAGATAGCACCACTGCACTCCAGCCTGGGCTATAGAGTGAGATTCTGTCTCAAAAAAAAAAAACAGCAGCAGAATGACAGTAAGCAAGTGATACACACTGAGGGACTAGGGTGGCAGAGCAGAGATTCATTTCCCCTGGGAACACCAACATGAGCACCCCAGAGAGGGTAAACACAGTGGATTGGCATAGAAAGTTGATTGGCTACACATGCAATTCTTGAACCTCTGATGGGCGTGGCTTCGTGCCCACTCACGTCTCCTATATCCGCCTCCCTTCTGTATTTGTAGCCTCAGCACCTCTGCTGGCAGGTAGAGTATACAGAGCAGCTTTCTGGGTCTTTCTAGTGAGTCTAGACCAAACTTCAGAGTAAAGGCAAAAAAATAATAATAAAATAAAGAGAAGAATGAAATAAGAGGATTCCTTGTGAATGGGTATGAGCCCTGAATCTCTTCCCAACATGCCTTTAAATTTTCCCTACAAATATTTGGATCTGTGTACAGCAAGCCTGCGTTTCGTGGAGCAACTTGCTCTCTCAGTGACCCCTGGGTCCAAGAGTTGGCTGGAAACAGGAACGACTGGCCAAAGCCTGGATGGATTCGGCTGGGCTCAGTCCCTGCAGGCTTTGTTCTTCAATCTGTTTATACAGTTTCCCGTAGGAGTCTGTAATTTTAATCAGTAAATATCTCCCTTGATTTATCACCTTCTATTGACATAGTGGTAATTCAAGCAGTGGAGCTAAAGCTGGGCCTGCTGTGTGTTTTTTCCCCTCATTGTGCCCGAGCTCTGTTTGATTTTTCTCAGTCCTCTTAGGTAATTGGACCGCCTCTGACACTCTCTGTATGACAAGGCTGTGGTCAGGGGTCAGTGGGTCCCCCTTCTGAAGGGCAAAATGCTCTAACCAGTCACGGCGCAACCCCATCTCGAGTTTGCTAAAAGCGGAGCAGACAAACCACAGACTGATAGGGCCCAGTGGATTTCATTTAAAAAGCAGAAATCCAAGATGCGTATAAAGGACCCTGTTATTCATTCCCTCTAGCCCCAGAGACAACTTGGAGACTTAATCTCCTGATTTAGTGTCTCTGAGTTGAGCAGGGAGACCCTCTTTCCCTAACCTTCTAGAGTTGCCAATTTCCACGTGAGCAGTTTGAGCCCTCTACAAAAATGGGGTTGGATAAGGCCTGGTACTTAGTTCTATTATTTTTTTTTATTAATGCACTTATTTATTTGGCACTTGTGCTAGTAAATTTGTAACATTCTTTGGGCACTCAGCATCTTGATTTCAATATAACCTTTGACCAAAACTGTTCATGAGCTCCTTGATGGTCAAAGAAATGAAAACTTGATAGTCATGGAGGGGAGTGGAGTCAAAGCTGTCTTGAAAGGCCCAAGGTTCTGGGCTAAGCTACTTGTGTTACTTGTAGGTGGCCCAGAAATAAAAGGAATGGTTTGATGTCAGAGGACAGGATCTAGATTCCCAAAAGATCTCAATGAAGTAAACAGTTGACTGAAACTTAAAATGGTAAAAATCAATGTATAGTGCTGAACTTTGGTTCCAGAAATCAAATGCCAAGCCACCAAACAAGGGCAATCTGTGTAAACATAAATTTGGTGAGAATATATTAGAAGTCCAGGTATCCACAAGGTCAGTAGATGCTAACTGTATGAGTTACGGCTGCCAAAAACACTAATAAAATCTTTGGTTATGTTGGTGTGAGCATGGTTCCCTCCAACCATTATCTCACTCAATTTGACTTTCATTTACAATTTTCATCATTGTATCCCCTGTAGTGACTAAACAGTGCTTCATATAACAAAAGCTTATTTACGTATCGTTGGGTGGGTAGGTGCATGGATGGATGGATGAATGGATAGATGGGAGGATGGATGGACGGATAATGGGATGGAACTGACTCACTAGTCAACACATATCTAAAATATTATATTGCTTCTGCCATGCTTCTGTGCCTGTAATCCCAGCTATTTGGAAGGTTAAGGTGAGAGGATCGCTTCAGGACAGAAGTTTGAAACCAGCCTGGGCAACATAGTGAGACCTGGTCTCAACAAAAATAAAAATAAAATAAACTATTGTGTTGAATTTTCAATGCCATGTTTAAGGATGAACATGAATAAAGTGGAATTTATCAAGAGAAGAATGCTAGAGAGTGAAGGACTGGGGAATCATGCCATAGACAAATGAGTTGAAGAAATTGGCACATTTAATCCAAAAGAGGAAAATGATGAAGGAGTCTTTGGGGTAGGGGCACTGGGGAGAAGGAAAGAAATGTCATCTATGGTCAGGCGCGGTGGCTCACGCCTGCGATCCCAGCACTTTGGGAGTACGAGGCAGGCGGATCACTTGAGGTCAGAAGTTTGAGACTAGCCTGGTCAACATGGTCAAACCCCATCTCTACTAAAAATTCAAAAAAATAGCTGGGTGTTGTGGCGGGTGCCTGTAATCCTAGCTACTCAGGAGGCTGAGGCAGGAAAATTGTTGGAACTGAGGAGGCAGAGGTTGCAGTGAGCCAGGATCACACCACTGTACTCCGGAGTGAGACCCTGTCTCAAAAAAAAAAGAAAAAGTCATCCACATTTAGAATTTTGAAGGATGGTGTGTGGGAGAGGGATTAAACTAATTTACATTGCTTCAGAGGACAAAGCTAGAAGCACCTGGTGGAAGCTACAGTTAGGTAGATCTCAGCTCAGAGTAAGGAAGCTAGAAGGATTCCCTGATGCCTGCAGAGAGGTAGCCCGCCCCGACTGATGGGTCTTTCTGTTTTTCACGTGAGGCTGACTGTCATAGCAGCCCCTGTTCGCAGCAGCTCTTTCCCTACCGCGCCTCCACAACTAATTGTCAGTGTCCCTTGCTCAATGCTTTATTTAACAGTGCTTTGCATTAAAGTGAGCTCATATGTCTGTCTCCTCCACTAAGCTATAAATTCCTTGAGAACAAGGCCTATCCCTTTCCTACTCTTTATATGTAGTAGAAACACAATCAACATTTACTTTCTTTGTTCAGTTAAATAGGAATTGGCTGCCTCTTCTATTCAAGTCCACTACCCAAAAAATTGTATTTGGTCTAGTCTGAGATCTGTGGAAACACAGAAACTCCTGAATGGTAATATAACCATATTGGCTGTATGCCAGTGTTCTGTGTATTTTGGGAAAGATCACATCTGTGAATCTGTTCTTCCCATCTTTAAAGTAGGGATACCTATGTTCTTGCGGCTCACAATGCTGTGCACATAATGTTTCATACGCTTCCAAAGAAAAGTAATCTCTAAATGTAAGGTGCCATTATGACGATATGTGTCACATTAAAGAAACATTTTCTCCTTCCCCTTTAACATTAGTATTCTCTTTTGTTCCGCAAGTTTTCACTATAAAATTCTAGAAAGTTCATTTCCAAAAACCCCATTTATCTGCTACCCATTCAAACAGCTACAAAGCACTGGAGCCTCTTTTGCATAGAATGGAAGATATTTTTATTTTCCCTCCAACCATTATCTCACTCAATTTGAATTTGACTTGGGTATTTGGTTGGTTGGTTGGTTGGTTGGCTGGTTGGTTGGTTGGTTTTGAGACGGAGTCTTGCTCTGTTGCCCAGGCTGGAGTGCAGATATTAATTTTAGGAATTAATCGTTATTTGGGCTTTTTCTAATAACTCACGTCATTGAGTATTTTGGTCTGAGGGATATACAAATGTCACCTTCAAGTCACATTAATTGGACCAAGTGCCTCCAATGTGCTGATGAAATCAGCTTGCTTCCATGACTTAGTCATGCTGATGCTGCAAATCTAGGTGGGGCCGAAGATGAAATGATGAAGGCACTTTCCTTTATGCTTATTCTGTGGATGAAAAAAATTGCTCTGATGCAAGCCTTGTGCTTGTTCTCATTATTACATCATTGCATTCCCAGCATATTAGATGGCAGGATAGGGCTGGACCAGCACATCAAGAAGAAGACTTTTTTCCACTCTTAGCTCTTGTCTAGCCTACATTTTATCACACTGCCACGTTCCTTCCCAAAGGTGGCAGCATTCTGGAGAATGGTAAAGGGAAATGATTTCCAGAGAAGTAATTAGCAAAGTGCATGGAGGTTTAAGGAAAAAAAAAAAAAAAAGGAGAAGAAGAAGAAGGCTATCAATCAATAAATAATAAAAAATTCAGCCGAGGGCATTTTCCATCTTGGTATTCTTGGCTAAGAGAGCAAGAAAGAGAGATGCATGAGGACAGGTCAAGTTACTCCTCCTTAGCTCATGTTACTCAGCTTCAATATAATACAGTGTACTCACATAAAGGGAGGTGATAAGGAACAAAAATGGGAACTATGCTTTCACCTGCACTTGACTTCCTATCATCACTTGAGACTTTCAGGTAGCACTGTAAGATACCTGATCTTGGATATTTATGGAGTAATTGCATTGACATTGATCTCTTAATGGTAGTTGATGAGTTAATTCATCCCCAAACCCTTCTGACTTGGCAGATGAGGAGTCATTAGTCATTGAACTTATTCTGGGCGTTACATATTCTATTATTTATCATTTACATATAAATGAAAGTGTGAGCCTCCTAGAGTGATGGGACGGTGCTAGATGGTTTAGAGGTTTTTCCATTGCCAAGAGACCAGAGAGTCAATAATGCCAAAGGATGAGAGAATAAGTAAATACAGGATTTGGAGAGGAGAATTGGCATAGCCGACGAGGTGGGTTGGGGATGGCTCTGGTATTAGCAGAAGAAAGGTAAGGAGTTACATTCATTCATTTATGCATTCATTCCACAAATATTCCTTGTGCTGGATAAGATTATTAGACATAGCCCTGCCCCCCAAGTAAAAAATCATTTGTCATCCCAAGTTGGAAAAAGTGCTTTGAAGGAAACAGACAGGGTGTTGTAGGAGAAAATAATGGGAATGGGGGTTCAAGCGTTGGGAATGTATTTGAATAGACTGGTTAGAGAAGATCTCTAAAGAGTTAACATGTAAACTTGAACCCAAAGGATAAAAAAGAGCCAGCCATATAAAGGGGAAATGATAAGTGACAGAGGCTTTTGTGAGGTCTTGAAGCGGGAAAAGTCCTTGGCAAATTCAAAGAAGTAAACTGTTAATGGCACTTCCCTTTATCGAGCACCTATCATGGCCAGACCCTGGTCTAGATGTTTTGTGTGTGTTAATGCACTTACTCCTCCCAGCCCTCTGAGCAGGCGTTGTTACATCCTCACTCTACTGGTGATGAAAATGAGGCTAGTGTGGCTGGAACATAAAAGGTGAAGGGGAGATGGCTCAAGACCAAGTTGGAGAAGCAGGCAGGGGCCACCAGTGGTTTTTTTGTTTGTTTGTTTGTTTGTTTTGGAGACATAGTCTCTCTCTGTTGCCTAGGCTAGAGTGCAGTGGTGCAATCTCAGCTCACTGCAGCCTCCACCTCCTGGGTTCAAGTGATTCTCCTGCCTCAGCATCTCAAGTAGCTGGGATTACAGGCATGAGCCACTATGCCCAGCTAATTTTTTTAGTTTTAGTAGAGACAGGGTTTCACCATGTTGGCCAGGCTGGTCTCGAACTCCTGACCTCAAGTAATCCGCCCGCCTCAGCCTTCCAAAGTGCTGGAATTAGAGGTGTAAGCCACCACACCAGGCCAAGTGGGGTTTTCAGCAGGGAAATGGGCTTAATCTGATTTGGGTATTTGGTTGGTTGGTTGGTTGGTTTTGAGAGGGGGTCTTGCTCTGTCACCCAGGCTGGAGTGCAGTGGCGCTATCTCGGTTCACTGCAGCCTCCACCTCCCAGGTTCAAGCGTTTCTCCTGCCTCCCGAGTAGCTGGGATTGCAAGCATGTGCCGCCATGCCTGGCTAATTTTTTTTTTTTTTTTTTTTTGTATTTTTAGTAGAGACGGGGTTTTGCCATGTTGCCCAGGCTGGTCTTGAACTCCTGACCTCAAGTGATCCACCCACCTCGGCCTCCCAGAATGCTAGGATTATAGGCATAAGCCACTGTGCTCGGCCCTGATTTGGGTTTTTAAAGGATCCCTCTGGGTCGCTCATTGATGAGCGGACTGCAATGGGGCAGGAGAAGAGTGTGGGGACCATTTAGAAGGCATTACAGGTTTCCAGCAAGAGGAGATGTGACTGGGCCAGGAGGGTTACAGTGGAGGAGATGACAGGAAATGGTGGGTTGGAGGCAGGTTTTGGCTGTGTGGAGATTTGAGAGGCAGCCCAAGCAGTGAGGATGCAAAAAGAAAACACGTGAACTCAAACCTAATACCAGCCCCCTTCTACCACTAAAGACAGGGAAGAGAGAGAGTCGCGGAATAGATTCCTTGAAATTGGAAGAGTTTCAGGTATCTGACCAGGATCCTGCCTCGCTGTCAATATAAAACTTAAATGCCCGTTGCCTGCATGTTGCGGTTTGGCAGCCCTTATTCCTCCTTTTGTTGTTGTTGTTGTTGTTGTTGTTGTTGTTGTTGTTGTTGTTTTGTGTGAACACACACACCACCCATTCCTGATCCACTGAGGCCTTAGAAGGCATCAGCAAGTGAGGTTTCCTCCTGTGACCAGGAAGGTCTCCATGCAGAGAAGAGAGATCTGCTACCCAGAAACTGAAGTTAAGGAAAAAAAGGTGGCTCGCCTGGGGGAAACACGTCCAGTGAACCTCAAGCCGGTCATTAACTCTGCCCAAAGCCTTGAGGACGCTCACACACTTGGGAATTTTGGGAGCCCGGAAACTAACTGCAAAGTTTATTTTCAGAACAAGGCACAGAGAAGGAAGCAAAAGATAAACAGGGACCGAATGTTTTAATTATTTTACATGGTTCCACCCCAACACCATTCCCTAAATCTTAAAGGAATGAAGGTCCGAAGGGGTTTATGGGAGAGCATTTTATTCCTTCCCCTTTCTGCCATACAGGCTTGCAACTGCCCTGCGCCCCCACTTCTATAGCGTTCCCTTCATGGGAATGGCAGGGTATATCCGTGGCTATCTTGTGACTTTGGCCAAACCTGGGTGTCGGAGCCTGGTGAGTTTCCTGGGCGGTTGTGGTCGTTTCAGAACAGTAGCCACATGGGATGCTCTCCAGGGACCGCCTCTGAGTTGCATGGATACAGTTCTTCATCTGGGTTTTATAGGGAACAGGGGTCCTGACCTTGGAGTGCAAGAGAGCAGAGCATTGTTAGTAAACTGTCCGGGGAAGACTTTAAGAAAAAAGAATGAGGTGGAGGAAAGGGAAACTGGGAAGGGCCAAAGGAATCCAGATCCTTCATCACGTTCAGGCACAAGCAGACTCCCTGGGTGTGGCCTTCGGACTCGCAAAATCGACTCCAGATATCTTGGGGAGAGCGAGAAGAGAGGACAAATATGCCGGGGCGGGAGGGGCGGGGGGAAAATACCTGCTAATGCAATTAACTGCAAGTGGAAACGACAAGCCGTCGCCCACGGAAGATCTCAGAAAACACAGCTCGAAAAAGTACAAAAGTCCTTCAGTGTGAGGTAATGAGGCGCATCTAATTATATTTAAGAAAGAAACAGCAAGAACTGCTTTAAAAGCCTCCCCTCAGTCTTCCCCTCTCAAACCAGTATGGATCCAAAACCCAGAGACATCGTTGCTTCAGAGAAAGTGAGGAATTGAAGAGTGCATCACAGGAAACAAGGTTATTTTCCCAGAACTGAGAAAAACTATCACATAAGCCCTTCCCTGACTGTTCTCTTTTCCCCTCCCAAAAAAAAAAAAAAAAAACAAAAAAAAAAACAAAAAAACAGTCCCATCAGGAAACAGCAGGGGGAGAAAGAAAGAAAGAAAAAAAAAAAAAAAAACCACAGGCAGCCCCACCATGAGAAATCAAGGCAGTCGAAATGACATTTGACACCGCCAGGCCACAGCTGAAGAACAAGGGAAAAGTTTTAGGGCGACTGTCAATGACCCATGGTCCTTCACTCCTAACCTTGCTCCTAGCATATGTTTCTCATTTCCTTGCTTATAGCTGGTCCAAGCTAATGATATGTGTTTTGGCCGGGATCCCGTGCTTGGCATACAGCCGGTCTTGTTCTCATTGTCCGGGCTACTTACAGAAACCTCTTTCTCTGTCTCTTTCTCTCTCTCAAAAAACCGGCTTTAAAGAACAGTAAATATGCAAAACAGCCCCCACGCTCTATAGAGCTACCATCTTGAACACGGCCTACGCCATCCTCACACACCCCATCAATAAAGGCCTGAAGAGACTGCCCACAGGAGAGGGGTAAGTTCAACACAAAAGCAGTGGAAATTCAAACAAATTGGCCCATTAGAGTCTCACACGGCTATAAATACAGCTCGGCTGGGGCTATTTTGAGGGACGGTGGCATGGGAAAGTTCGGCCTGGAATCTTGAGTCTGTCAAAGGAGACGGATCTCTCCCAAGACATGGGAAGAACACGAAGCGCCTGGCGGGCAGGAGGAAGGAGGGCGTCGGAGCTGGTCAGTTTCAGGGCCAGATTACACGTGGATGGCAGAGACAAGGCCGGGCCTCGCCCCTGCACCCCGGGGCTGCCGGACTTGCTGTTGGAGGCTTGGGCTCGGGTGTCACTCAGAGTGTCCATAACCTCTCAAAAGGCCGAACATGCTCTTTTCCTCCTCAGGGATCAATGGACCATTTCACTCTTCCTGAAGGACCCGGCAGGCGGGTGGAGGAGGGGTGGGAAATGGAGTGGCTGGCGAGTCTGGGCAGGACCCGGTCTGCAGTCAGCATCTCTGGCGGACCCAAAAGGGAATTTTTTCCCATTTTTTTATTGATACATAATCATTGTGCATATTGATGGGGTAGGTGTGATATTTTGATATAATGTGTAATGATCAAATTAGGGTATTTAGGGTAGCCATCATCTCAAGCATTTAGTATTTCTTTGTGTTGGGAACAGTTGAGGAGGGCATTTTTGCCCATTCAACCCCAAAGGTTGACACCGGGTACGTGTATGTTACAAAATCAGGGGCACAGTAGCATGGATTTGAGGAAATGGGTCCCATAAACAAGAGTTAGTAAAATATGTAGGCAGAGAATATATATGCAGATGTCGAGAACTGCTTAACATTCCCCCTCAGGGTGTGTCAACAGATGGCAATTAACTGCTAACAGTTAGGAATCAGTAAACACAGAATACACAGACGCTTATGCATCGTGTACCTGCCTGCGCTGCAGGAACACAGATTCCCCTTTGCGGCTGTGAAATTGCAAGGAACGTCTGGGTTCACTCTGCCCGCCCCCCACCCCGCCCCCCCCGCCATTTTCTGTTCAGAAGGCACACCCAGGACAACTGTGGATTTACACATTCACTGTAGACCAAGCACTATCCAAGGCACAAGAGTCACACAGACAGAGCTCCTTCTGCCTGAGGCTTTCAGCCCAGTGGATGCATTTGATCGGTGCCTGACCCTACAGTTTCCTTGAAGATACCTCGGCATTTCCCCGGAACAGCCCAGTTTGTATCTATTATCCCAGAGTAATTATTAATAGCACTTCTTTTCACTCTCAAAAGCGTCCCAGTTTGGATGATAAATTATATGGCTACTCTATCTAGAATCCCTTTTTAAAAAGGGCTTTTTTGGGGGGATGAAATCTAATACACAGAGAAAAAAAGTGCAAAAATACAGCATCCTCTATTTGAGAGGCTCTTTGGAACTTGCTGAAGTCAAGAGAGGGTTCCCAAATGATGGAGAAAATGGCTTTAGCAGATTAAATTTTAATTAGTTCATAACAGGTTCCACCGCATTCTGGACTTGAATCCCTGCCGCACGCTGTCGCCGGTTCTGTAGTCCCAGACATTGTCGGCTCTGGATTTTCCACGGTGCGTCGGAAAACTCAAACTGACTGCCCTCTTCCACAAGCCTGGGGACAGCTGGGGCACATGAGGGCACTTGTCCCCATACAGCCTGGAGGGGAAGAGCCAATTCAGGTTTCCATGACAACACCCTTTCCTGAAAATCTCTGACTGACACTTCCTGGGGAGACAGGAAGTACAGACAGGAAGATCCCGAGGTCATTCTTTTCCTTTGTCCAGCTTTTCCCACCTCCCAGACTCTCTGATGATTTGACCTTTCCTAGCTCAGCATATCTTCTGCCAGCCCCATCAGCAAAGCTGTCCTGGGGGCAAAAAGCAAGCAACTGTTTCTGTCCGCTTCTTCCCAGCTGGCCAGTGAACACCCAAACTATTTCAACAATAACCTGCATCAGAGTAACTAGTGAGGGCTGGGCACGGTGGCTCACTCCTGTAATCCCAGCACTTTGAGAGGCCGAGGCAGGCGGATCACCTGAGGTCAGGAGTTCGAGACCAGCCTAGCCTACATGTTGAAACCCTGTCTCTACCAAAATAAACAAATTAGCTGGGTCTGGTGACATGTGACTGTAGTCCCAGCTACTCAGGAGGCTGAGGCATGAGAATCGTTTGAACCCGGGAGGTGGAGGTTGCAGTGAGCCGAGATCGTGGCACTGCACTCCAACGTGGGTGACAAAGTGGAGCTATGTCTCAAAAAAAAAAAAAAAAAAAAAAAAACTAGTGAAAGGAAGATGCTTCAAAAAGTTACACAGCTGATTCCAAAGTAAATGAACAATTTATGGACTGTCTGCACTTTCGCAGTTAGCATCAGGACATTAATAATCATCCCACAAGTGTTACTGAGTGCCTACCATGTGCCAGGTGCTGTGCTGGAGATTGGGTATTGAGTATTGAACAGAATGGATATGGCCCCTGCCTCCATGGAGCTTACAGTGTCCTAAGGGAGACAGACATTCAATGGATAATCACACAATAAATATGCAACTACCAATTGTAATAAATGCAGCAAAGGAAGAGTACAGAGTAGGAGAGAACCTACAACAGGGGTACCTAATTTACAATTGGGTGGGTCAGAGAAAGCCCCCCTCAAGAAAAAACAGCTTTGATCTAAGACCTGAAGGATTACTAGAGGTAGGCAAAGAATGTCTGTCATCCATTAATATCAAGAATCCATGCGTCTCCACCATACTGGGCATAACCTTGATACTTTACTGAAATATTTCACTTCTATGCCAAAAGAAGATTTCCCTCACTAGTTACTTTTTTTTTTTTTTCCTTTTTTGAGACATCGTCTCACTCTGTCGCCCAGGCTGGAGTGCAGTGGCACAATCTTGGCTCACTGCAACCTCTGCCTCGCTGCAACCTCTGCCTCCCAGGTTCAAGTGATTCTCCTGACTCAGCCTCCTGAGTAGCTGGGATTACAGGCACACGCCACCACACCCAGCTAATTTTTTTGGATTTTAGTAGAGACGGGGTTTCACCATGTTGCCCAGATACTGCCCAGAAGTGAAAGTCATACCGTGAGGTCATACCATGAGATATGACTTTCAGGCCTACATATTTATAACCTGCATTAAAAATAATACAAGAGATTCATAATACCAACATTCTAGATTGTTGGTTAGCTCTGCTTGAAATGTAGGAAAAGTTCAGAGTATGCCCTTAGTCTATTTCAGCAAATCTCTCATATCTGAATCCCCACCACCTAGCATGACTCAAGGCATTGTTACCATGTAATCGTTTTATGTATTAGGCATTCAATATGCATTGAACAAATGAAGGTATCAATGAACAAATAAGTGAACTTTAGTAGGTGTCTTCTATGTACCAGGCATGTGCCAGGTACCCTCACAAATATCCTCCAATTTCAACACCCTAACCTTATTGCACCTTTCTCAAAGATAGGATTCTAATATGCTGAACCAAACAATAGTTCTAAAAATAATTCTGAAATATAAGCTGAATGAAGTTTGGAGTCGCAGATAAGGGAGAAAATGCATTTTCAGAAGCATTTTGAAGTAGCAAGGGAAGATGGCAGTCAGCAAAACTAAAGGGTGCCATGCTCTCAAGGGTCATAGATGTGGACAAGGAGGTGACTTGAAAGGGAGCAGAGGTGTAAAGCGGAGTGGACGGTCGGTATTGCTGAAACCCAGAGGGCAGCTAGCTGGAGATCCTGAGATGGTGCACAGAGTGTTTTGTGGATGGAGATGATACATTTGTATTCTGTTGCCCTTGGAACAAGTGCTGAATACATTCCCAACAGTCTGGGGACAGATTGGGGGAATTGCGGGGAGGGACAATGTGGGTTTGGAGAGAATGGAGAGAAGAGAATTTGGGCTCAGTAGAACATTTAGGTACAGAGAAGCTTCCAAAACAGTAATGCTGGACCAGGTACAGTGGCTCACACCTGCAATCCCAGCACTACGGGAGGCTGGGGTAGGAGACCTGCTTGAGGCCAGGAGTTCAAAACCAGCCTGGGCAAGACAGCAAGTCTGCATTTCTACAACAAAACAAGTTTTAACTTAGCCAGGCACTCCTGTAGTCCTAGCTACTCTGGATGCTGAGGCAGGAGAATCTCTTGAGTCCAGGAGTTCAAGTCTGCAGTGAACTATGATCACACCACTGCACTCCAGCGTGGATGACAGAGTGAGACTTTGTCTCGAAAGAAAGAAAGAAAGAAAGAAAGAAAGAAAGAAAGAAAGAAAGAAAGAAAGAAAGAAAGAAAGAAAACAAAAGAAACTATAGTGTTAAAAGGCTGGCATTTATGGGGCAGGTGATAATAGAGAAGTCTTTTGAAACAAAAGTAATGAAAAGAACTATGAATTCAGAAGTAGCTCTACATCTCACTAGTATAAGAAAGAGCATTAGAAAAGGAAGGAAAATAAGCAGATGATTTTATATTGTAAGAGGTTCTTCTAGAGCTAAAAGGAGCAGGTCTAACTGTGAACAATTTAGACAAAAGAACATTTAAACAGAGGTAGGAATTTATTTCAGCAAAGATGACAGTGGGAAGCATCGAGTCGTTTTAGGGTTGGAAATCTCTACATTTTAAAACCATTCACATTAGACTGGGGATGAATGGGAAACAGAAGTGTCTGAAAAGGTTCAAGCGGGTAGGTGAAAATCCGAAGGCAAAAATTGTTGCCCCTGGTGGGGACCTCTAATATTCAAGAGAATTTTCTGCAGAAAAGGATGTTAGTTTGAAGTTGCTATTCTTCTCTTGAATCTCTGCAGTTCCCTGAGCTGGTGACAAGTTCCATAATTGTTCTAGCTTTATTGTTTTTTTCTCCACAAAGCTATTTGTGAAAGAGCCATAAAATTGTCTTACCCAACGTTCTCAGTTTCAAGAAATATGATACACAGCAGATCGGAAGAAATTATTATTATTTTTTTTCTATTTCACAGCATCTTGGCACAAGTTCAGCACTGAAACAGTTAAAATATCAGCACATTTCACTAGTCTTGGGTTACTCATAAACATTCAGCAAAGCAATTTCACTCAATCGCACATATTAACTGCTTAAGTTCTTCTCTCTGAGGATGTGGACTGTTATTTTATGCCAAAAGTCCTGTAATTAAGTTTGACATAAGCACATGGATTAAACGTGTGGCTGGGAGGGAGGGGGGCTGGTCCAGAATGGAAGTTTCTCCCCTTGCCTTCTTGCCATATGGAAACTGTAACCAAATAATGTGCAAAAAATTTTAAGAGAATTTCCAATCCTATTACTCAGTGTTGTTTATCAGGTAAATCTCAAGGCCAATACAGTTACAAAGCCAGTTTTTCTTTTCCCCAATTTTGCAATAAGTACAAGAACAAAACATTAACCATCCAACAGCTGAGGAACCTCAGATTATCATCTTTGCAGGGCAGAGAACAGAACAGCTATTAGAAACTCTTCCAATGGGCAAGGGACTGTGGCTATAGTTTGGAGCTAATTTATCAAACTGATCTCATTCGGGGAAATCATGAGGAGGATGCTGTGTGTTGTGTTGTGTCGTGTTGTGTTGTCAATGACATTAAGGAATGCAACATTCTGATGCACTTTGTTCAGATGGCACTTTTATCTCATCAAGATTTTCCCTGTCTGGAGGGTCCTCAGGTGACTCTGAAAAGGCTCAAATCACTTAAGCAACGTAATAACAAATTTACTTTCAATTTCTGGCCATATTCATGAAGGTTTCTTGCGGTTTGAGAGAGGAATGCTCTTGTTCCTGCCTTCCTAAAAACAGCTAAAAATAGCTTTTCAAATGTTTGAAGGAGAAAACATCCTCCTTGAGTTTCCCCCAAATCAGAGGGAGCACACAGGAAATTAACCTGACAAGGGTAACCATGCAGCAGACCCCCTCCCTGCCTCTCTCCCAGTGAATGCTGCCCCGTGCTCTTGCCCAATCCGGCCCTTCCTTGCTTCTCTCTTTCCATTGGTTGAGCTGAGTTGACTGCTCTCTTGGTGGCTTCGTCTAGCCATAACTTCCTTAAAGCATCCAGAAATGTTATCCAAATGCCTGCCAGGTTCAAGTTCTTTATACTTGAGCCATCATTCTAAAAAATCTCATTGCAACTGTTCCCAGCTTCCTTCTTGATTTGTCTCTGTTTGTCCAAACCCGACTCGGAATCTCTTCCTTTTAGAGGGCCACAGACCAGGCAGTTCATAACACTGGTGTATGAAGCCCCATAAATCTCCATGTCACACCAATTTCTGGCATGGGTTTCTGACCATTTTCACATATCCATTTGTATTTTATAATAGGTGGCTCAAGCTGAACCCAGCTTTGAGATAAAGCCTTAAAAATCTGCTACACAGGAGTGAATAATTTACTTAGGTCCAATGCGACTCTCTATATTGCCCCTAATTTGGGGAGAATATCTGCCACATCTTTTAAAAGCCCATCCCAAGCCCTCCAGGAGTATTCTTGTTTCTCAGTTTATCCTCCTGGTTTTATAGTTCATATTTCTGCTCATTAAATTACATAAACCTGTTATTAGGCCCACAGTCGTAATGTATTCCAGGCATTCTGAATTGTCCTGTGCTCTTCTATATTATCCCCCAATTTGGTACAAAATATAATTACTACCTTCAACTCTACTATCCATGTCATTGTTGGGAATTGCCTGGTTCACTTACCCAGGGCTTCTTTTTCTTTGATATCCCAGGTAGTTATTTTTATTCCCCAAACTTATTCTTTAGAGGGGCCAGCTCGTAAGAGTAGCCCAAGAGACGTAATGGAACACGTACTCTACCCCACAGCTAGGCTCTTGCTTTGGTGGGGAGGGGTAGGGAGAAAAGACTCCAGCGATTTGCCATTTTCTGAGTCTAGTCCACTGACTTGAAGTTAATGGGATTGACTCAGGCCACGCTGACAAAGGTGGGCTCGGTCCACTTTCTGTGTCTGGTTACATTTTCCATAGACCAAGTTTGCCATTTTATTCTGCCAATATCTGATTCCTCCGCAACAACTCCAGAATGAAGCCACAGCAAAGACACATTGCCACAGGCGGGGCCCAGGCAGAGTGTGGATGGGGTTCCTTGCAGCTGATTGAAGTGGGGCAAAGTGTGGTATGTTAAGAACCCAGAGGCTTGAGCATAATCGTACAAGACCTCCTTGGAGTCCTGTTGAAACATTTTCTGCGCTTGAGCCTCTTCCACCTTTGTCCCCAAATATACTAACTTAGTCCAATTTTTCCTCCCAGCTGCCGGCGTGTTTTGCATCCGGGTTGGGGTAATTCCAGCTTGGACCTTGCATTCCTCCTGCCCTCCCTGTGTTCCCTCTGAGAAATCTGTAAGACTGAGAACCTGGTAGGATTTTTTGAGGTCCATGTTCACAGCTTTCTAAATCTGACCTCGTCATGTCAAAGAGCATGGACGTTTCCTGTGCAGTTTATGCATAGCATCTTTTGGTTCCAAACTTCTTGAGCATGATTCAAAATTATGCATCCCCATGCTTGTCAATGAGTGGCAGTATGGAAGAATGCAGTAAATAAGGATGCAAGTTCTGACCTGGATTCGAATCTTGACTCAGACATTCATTAGCTGTCTAACCTCAAGTGGGTGAACTCCTTGCAACTCATTTGCCTCATCTGTGTAATAGGTACATAATAGTACCTACTTCTTGAAGTCATTGTGAGGATTAAACACATAAAGCATTAATGAGAATGCTTGGTCCATGGCAAAGCCTTCAGGAAGTGTTGGCAATAGCCAAATAGATGGTGTGGGTTCCAAATTGTCTTTTTTTTTTTTTTTTTTCAACAGAGTCTCACTTTGTCACCCAGGCTGGAGTGCAGTGGTGCAATCTCAGGTCACTGCAGCCTCTGCCTCCCCGGTTCAAGCCATTCTCCTGCCTCAGCCTCCTGAGTAGCTGAGATTACAGGCATATGCCACTGCGCCTGGCTAGTTTTTGTACTTTTAGTGGAGACAGGATATCCCCATGTTGGTCAGGCTGGTCTTAAACTCCTGGCCTCAAGTGATCCACCCGCCTTGGCCTCCCAAAGTGCTGGGATTACAAGTGTGAGCCACCATGCCCGGCCCCACATTTCCTAAGGGCATCAGCCACATTGTTTTTGGGAGATGAGCTGGTCCTTGAAAGATCTGAGATGCTCAGGCTTTCAAGAGGATGAGTGACAAGCACATCCATGTCTTTGGGCTTCTCTTTGCTTTGCAGGATTTAAACATAGCCTTATATCCAGACCCACAGTCAACCCATGCATGACTCAGCTTCTCACAGCCTAGCATTATTGAAGGACAGAGAGATTCAGGAAATGGAAAAATTGGTATAAAAATTAATAAAAGGATTTAGTTTCAAATTTCTTATTGTTTCATCTGCTGCACATAGTCACAAATTGCCAAGTTCTCCTGTGGGCTCCCTATAAAAATCAGAACCTTGCGGCAGTTGCAGGATCGGCTCAGCAGCTCTACAAGGCTTTCCACCTACAGCCAGGCTTTTAACCAACCTCTCTGACGGTCATCTGCCAAACTGGGGTAATTTACTACCCTGCCTACCTCACAAGACTATGGCAAGCAAGAAAGAGAGTGAAAGTGTTTGGAAATATAATGTTATTATTAAACATACAGCTTCAGTTAAATAATCTACCTTAAAATTAACAGTAGTATTTTTATTTATTTATTTATGTAAAATATTGATATGGAAAGTTACCAAATACCCTTGGATTATTCCATCTCTCTCATCTCTTTGTCCAAGTTCTACTTTTCTCTAATTCCTCACTTCCTCTAAAAAGCTACCCCCTCACATACACACACAAACATTGCAGGAAACGTGCACTCTTCTGAACTGTTAGTCCACTTACTATTGTCCTTTCACTTGCTTTAGTATTTAATCATCCACTTCCAAGAGTCAGCAGACTTTTTCTATAAAGGTCGAGAGAGCAAATATTTTCGTTTTTGCAGGCCATACTGTCTCTGTTGCAACTACTCTCAACTGTGCTTTTGTAGCACAGAAGCATCATAGAGAATACATCAAAGAATGGACATGGCTGAGTTCCAATAAAACTTTATTTACAAAAACAAGTCACGGGCTGGATTTGGCCTGTGAGCCCCAGCTTGTAGCCCCTAATCTGCAGCCTGGTTTTGTTATTAAGTCCCTTTCCCAGTGCCTTTATATTTTGTCTACCTGATTAGACTGTCAGAACCTTGGAGACAGGACTCATTGTTAGGTCTTTAGAATACCCTATCCCCCAGGTCTCCGAATCCCTGCACCTGGCTCAGTATGTGCTTATTGCATTAAGCTGTCTCATGGGACAATTGTATATTTATTGTGAATAGATGGACTTAGGCAATCAAGCCAGGCAGAGTTAAACTAGAAAAAATACATGTGTTGTCCCGACTGAATGAAAGATGGCCATCTATGTGTCAAAGACATCAGTACAGGAAAAATGCTGCCTACCAATCACTATCAAATCCTGAGGGAAAAGCTACAGAAAACACCTGAAGACCACATGTTCCTGGAATCTGAGCTCCGTGGATGAATCATGCCATATAAGACCAGCAGCATGGGTAGCCTGACTCTTTTCTGAGGACGTAGTTAGAATTCTGAATTCACAGATGACCACCATTCTTTAGAGACAACTCTTTCATCATTATCCTTGAGTTTAGAAGAATTTCCCTTTTGTTTCTCATTTAGATTTACCTGAAAATAAATATTTTTATTTGTGGAAAATTCGACATTCCGGGGTTAAGAGTGGTTAAGCCTGTAATCCCAGCACTTTGGGAGGCCACGGTGGGCAGATTGCTTGAGCCCAGGAGTTCAAGACCAGCCTGGGCAACATGGTGAAACCTCATCTCTACAAAACAATACAAAAATTAGCCGGGTGTGGTGCATTACATTTACTGTGTGCTTTATTTCTATAATTATGACATTGGAATACATAATGAAATAATTCTACAGCTCACCATCACGTAGAATCATTTTATGCATTACATTACATTTATTGTGTGCTTTATTTCTATAATTATTACATTGGAATATATAATGAAATAATTCTACAACTCACCATCATGTAGAATCAGTGGGAGCTCTGAACTTGTTTTCCTGCAGCCAAAGAGTCCCATGTGGGGGTGATGGGAGACAGTGACAGATCATTGGGCATTAGATTCTCATGAAGAGTGTGCAACCTAGATCCCTCGCATGTGCAGTTCACAGTAGGGTTTGTGCTGCTATAACAATCCAATACCACTGCAGTCTGGCAGGAGGCAGAGCTCAGGCGGTAATGAAAGCGATGGGGAACAGCTGTAAATACAGACGAACCTTTGCTCACTGACCTGTTGCTCAACTCCTGCTGTGTGGCTTGGTTCCTAAGAGGCCATGAATTGATACTGGTCTGTGCCCCAGGGGCTGGGGACCCCTGCTCTATAAAGTCATTAAGCTAACCATTCAGCATTCTTTATGCATCACACCAACTGAGATTTGGTCATTCTCCACTTGCCTGTAGCTTGTATCATTATAACAATGGGCTGTTCCCAAGTATAAATCATATTATTATCTCAAATGATACCTTTCAAACCCTGTTTCTTAGAGACACACCCCTCTTCTTCTCAGTTGAAAGTCACAATTCTGAGTTCTAGAAGTTTCAGTAAGTCTAGGATCCCTAGGTTTTGCATAAAGAAGTAAGGGGTCCAACAGGCCACCTATGGATTAAATTTGCCCACTGCAGAAAAGAAGGATTCTCACATTTTTATGAACCTAAAAATGACCTGCACAGCTTGTTTACCGTGCAGATTCCTGGGCCTTCCTAGCAGAAAGGCAAACTCAGTAGGTCTTAGAAGGGGCCGAGAGGTGGTGAGACAGTGTTTAACAAGCACTTCTCATCATGCTAATGCAGGAATACACAAACCACACTTTGAGAAATGCTGCTAGCAAAGGTTGGAAACCAGTGCAGTGCCAAATGTCTACTGAGCACCAACCTTAAACAATGCCCTCTGCTAGGCACTTTGGAGGCACAAAGACATATAATCCCTTCCACAAATAGCACATAATCAAGTCTGAAGACAGTATGATAAATGAGCATGCACGTGGAATGTGATCAATAACCGTTGAGCGACTGAGACTCTAAGGCTGTAAGAATTCAGAAGAGCAAAGCAGCTCCATGATCCGAGGTGGTTGGAGACGACTTTATGAAGGAGAGGGGTCATTCAGGTCTAACTTTAGAAAGTGACTGTGGGCAGGGCGGTGGCTCACACCTGTGATCCTAGAAGTTTGGGAGGCTGAGACAGGATTGCTTGAGCCCAGGAGTTCAAGACCAACCTGGGCAATATAGGGAGACCCCATCTCTACAAAAAAATGTTTAAAAGATTAGCCAGGCATGGTGCCGGGCGCCTGTAGTCCCAGCTACTCGGGAGGCTGAGGCAGGAGAATCGCTTGAGCCTGGGATATGGAGGTTGCAGTGAGCTCAGATGGTACCACTGCACTCCAGCCTGGGTGACAGAGCCAGTACCTCTAAAGGCCTTGTGTCACCTTAGCTATCAACCCATTGGCCAAAGAAAGTTATAGCCAGACCAGAGTGTCTGTGAGAGGGCACCACCCAAGAATGTAGATTAAAAGGGGAGAAAAATGTGTGACCATTTTTACCACCACAGCAGTGTACATCTAATATATTATGTACCTCTAAAGGAAACGGTAATTATCTTGTAAATCCTGTCTAAAAAAAAAAAAAAAAAAAGAAGAGAAAAGAAAAGAATAAGCATGATAAGCATGCCGTGACAGGATTCCTATTTTGCTTGAAAGGGTAAAGCAATCCAAATATCTTTTCTTTCTTGCACTCATGGTAAGAAAGATGCTACCTTGAACCAAGCAATTAAGGAATGTGATTATGATGGCAGTAATGAGGGAAATGCAGATGGAAGGAGGGTTAAACCCTCTATGTAGATGGAGGGAGGCTCAGAGTTTAGAAAACGTGACTGTGGGGTAGGAAAAAAAAAGGGGACAGAAAACTACACCTGCTAAGCCCTGTGTGGGTGTGGAGTTCTCATCCTTAGAAATTTGCTCAGGATAGCTAGAATGAGAAACACTGCTTCCTGTGAAAGAAGGTCATCAACATGCTAGAAACAACCTTTGCAAATCACCATACTCCCTACTCAGGAAGACTCATAAGGTCCTTGGCTTTTTTTGGTTGACGGGCTATTTATTACTGATTCAGTTTTGGAGCTCATTGTTGGTCTTTTCAGGGAATCAATTTCTTCCTGCTTCAGCATCAGAAGGGTACATGTGTCCAGAAATTTATCCACATTTTCTAGGTTTTCTAGTTTGGATAAGGAAAGGGAACAATGCTCTTACCCAGAAAGGGAGCACTGCCATTGCATAACAGCTAATCATCACATATCCAAACAATGCCTTATATTTAAGGAAAGAAGTCCCTAATAATCTAGCTTAGGCCGGGCGTGGAGGCTCATGCCTGTAATCCCAGCACTTTAGGAGGCCAAGACAGGCGGACCACTTGAGGTCAGGAGTTCGAGACCCACCTGGTCAACATGGCAAAACCCCATCTCTACTAAAAATACAAAAATTAGCCAGGCATGGTGGCACGCACCTGCAGTCCCAGCTACTCGGGAGGCTGAGGCAGGAGAATCGCTTGAACCTGGGAGGTGGAGGTTGCAATGAGCCGAGATCATGCCACTGCACTCCAGCCTGAGTGACAGAGCAAGACTCTATATCAAAAAATAATAATGATAATATAATAATCGAGCTTAAAGGACAAAAATAACAACTTTGGTTATGGCTTATTATGCAGCTTTTGCCATAATAACAAAGTATCCCAACACTTAGTAACTTAAAACAATCAATTATTTCTCACAATTCTTGGGGAAGCTGGGCCATTCTCCGAGTCTGAGTTGGCTTGACCGAGATGGATAAACAAGAATGGCCTCCCTTTGGTGGCCTGGAGTAGGCTCCGTGTCAGCTGAAGTGGTTCCTTATTTCTCAGCAGGCAACCCCAAGCTTCTTCACATGGTGGCCTCAGGGCTCCAAAGGACAGCAAGATAGCAAGCCCTGGTGCACACATACTTTTCCAGTTTGGGTTTGTGTCACCTTAGCTATCCTCCCATTGGCCGAAAAAAAGTCATATGGCCAGACCAGAGTCTGTGAGAGGGCACCACCCAAGGACTTAGATAAAAAGGGGAGAAAAATGCGTGACCATTTTTACCACAATGGCAATGTACATCTAATATATCACGTTCTTCTAAAGGAAGTGGTAATTATCTTGTAAATTTGTTTGTTTAAGTTCCTTATAGATGCTGGATATTAGATCTTTGTCAGATGCACAGTTTGCAAACATTTTCTCCCATTCTGTAGGTTGTCTGTGTACTCTGTTGACAGTTTCTTTTGTTGTGCAGATGCTCTTTAGTTCAATTAGATCTCATTTGTCAATTTTTGCTTTTGTTGCAATTGCTTTTGGCATCTTCCTCATGAAATCTTTGCCTGTTCCTATGTCCAGAGTGGTACTGCCTAGGTTGTCTTCCAGGGTTTTCATGGTTTTGAGTTTTACATTTAAGTCTTTAATCCATCTTGAGTTGATTTTTGCATATGATTTAAGGAAGGGATCCAGTTTCAATCTTCTGCATATGGCTAGTCAGTTATCCCAGCACTGTTTATTGAATAGGGAGTCCTTTCCTATTTGCTTGTTTTTGTCAGCTTTGCCAAAGATCAGATGGTTGTGGTTGTGCAGTCTTATTTCTGGGCTCTCTATTCTGTTCCATTCGTCTATGTGTCTGTTTTTGTACCAGTACCATGCTGTTTTGGCTACTGTAGCTCTGTAGTGTACTTTGAAGTCAGATAGCATGATGCCTCCAGCTTCGTGCTTTTTGCTTATGAGTGGCAACGATGTACTCAATCCTACCTAAAGAATCTAGAAGAATAAGGGTCAATGTTGGTTTATGCTGTATATGTCTAAATGTAAATGTTTGAACTCTTGTGAAAAACGTTTACAAGTGTATATAACTGATAAAAAAAAGTTTTTAAAAGAAAGAAGAGAAAAGAGAAGGGAGGGGGAAGGAAGGGAAGAGAAGAAGGAAGGGAGCGAGAAAGAAAAGGAAAGAAAAGAAAAGGACTTTCATGTCATATTTAGTTTTATTACTTTGCACTGGCAGAATACTACCAGTCTTATAAAGATTTTAAACTATTCAGTTGTCATTACTTGTCTTGAAAAAAAGCCTCCTATCTCCTGAACTCCTGGCTGGGTTAGATTTCAACACTGTAGCGAGGTACTCATGGTATGTGTCCAGGAACCCAGGTTTCTAATCCCCAGAGTGGTAAATGCCGGGGCTGCTGTCCCAGCCTGGGAAAGAACAAAGATGCAGACCTGCAGTGTCCCATTCTTAGGACATAATTAATGTGCTGGTAATTTTTTTCATCAACAAAGGATTACCAAAATACCACATGATTTCCTCCAAAAATGTGACCCTCCCTTTCCTGTCTCATTTTTTTTTTCCTGGATCCAAACATGGTTTCCATTGGCCTCACAAAAACTGTCACTTCTGTTCATTTTCCTCAACTCATCTCAGTTCCTGCATCCCGAGAAGTCCAGAAATGCTAATGCCAATTATTAGCAGACTCTTAAGGGGCTGCTTCTCTCTCTCAGAGGCTCTTCTCTAAAATGCTTCTTCTCCTTGTGAGGCCAATGGCGTCCATGGCAGCCCACAGCAAACCTCGTGGCGTTATAAAAAGCCAACTAACTAAATAATGCCATAGGAATCTTAATGACTGGGGTCATTTGGCCAACAACATTACACAGTTTTTTCCTCTCAAAATTTAAGCATTCAAAATTACAAATATCCCATCCAATTCAGATTTAATTACTGCTGTTCAAACTTTAAGAACTTTCTCAGTTTCAATTAAGCCAAATTGGAAACAATGAACTGCTAAGGGATAGTGACTCGACCCCCTTTTTTAAGGAGGAGCTGAAAAATGGCATAATTATTATATCTTTCAGATAAAATGTCTATCGTGGACTGGCCTTTTTTTTTTTTTTTTTTACCAAACATTCCTAAATCACCCAGGACAATTTCTCCACATTGATCATAGCCAAGAATGAAGTTAACCTGTGGCAAGCCCGATGTCTGATTGGGCCACAGAGACCATTGTTTCCACAACACAAGTCCGTGTCTGATAGCTGAGCTGATGCAAGGTTTAAGTATGGCAGAGGGTATTTGAGGGAACAACTGTCACGGAAAACCCAGGACTTAAGAGGCACCATCTACCCAAACATACCTGGAGCTACTCTGTACCATCTGCTGGGTAAGGAAAGGGAACTAAAGGAGACAGCCCTTTGGGGCCTTCAAATGACCACATTCATGACTTGTCCTCCCTCCTGTGGGTGGCTAGACTTCAGAGGCAGGCACATCTGAGTGCGCTTTAGAAACGTGGCTTATATCCCGGGCAATATAGTGAGAACTCGTCTCTACAAAAAAATTAAAAAATAAGCCAGGAGGCCGGGCACGGTGGCTCACGCCTGCAATCCAAGCACTTTGGGAGGCCGAGGTGGGCAGATCACGAGGTCAGGAGATAGAGACCATCCTGGCCAACATGGTGAAAGCCCATCTCTGCTAAAAATATATAAATTAGCTGGGCGTGGCGGCACGTGCCTGTAATCCCAGCTACTCGGGAGGCTAAGGCAGGAGAATCACTTGAACCCAGGAAGCGAAGGTTGCAGTGAGCCAAGATCACACCATTGCACTCCAGCCTGGTGACAGAGCTAGACTCTTCAAAAAAAAAAAAATTAGCCAGACATGGTGATGTGTGCCTATAGTCCCAGCTACTTGGGAGACTAAAGTGGGAGGATCACTTGAACCCAGGAGGTCGAGGCTGCAGAGAGCCAGGATCACCCCACTGCACTGCAGCTTGTGTGACAGAGTGAGACCCTGTCTAAAAATTAAATTAAATTAAAAGAAACATCTCTTATACAAAGCAAGACCAGGAGCGAAGGCTTAGTTTAAGAGAGCCCTACCTGTTTGGGAGATGTCTTCTTGAAATGATGACGGATCCATGGTAGCAGTTCTCTGAAGATCCATTTCAGTCTGCTTTGCAATCTACCCCATTGTCTGTAATGATCATCTTTTTTAAAAACCACAGTTTTCTTTAAGTACCTCAAATCATTTTTTTTAATGGGAACTACTCACCCACCTATCAGCTAGTTCTTATAATAAGCCTGACTTTTGTGTTACTGGAAAAGAACACTTTATATATAGTCTTTTTTTTTTTTTTTTTTTTGAGAGGGAGTCTCACTCTGTCGCCCAGGCTGGAGTGCAGTGGTGCGCCCTTGGCTCACTGCAAGCTCTGCCTCCCGGGTTCACACCATTCTCTTGCCTCAGCCTCCCAAGTAGCTGGGACTACAGGCATCCGCCACCACACCCGGCTAATTTTTTGTATTTTTAGTAGAGATGGGGTTTCACCGTGTTAGCCAGGATGATCTCGATCTCCTGACCTTGTGATCCGCCCATCTCGGCCTCCCAAAGTGCTGAGATTACAGGCGTGAGCTACCACACCCGACCACTTTATATATATTCTTACATATATAACATATATGTGAGTGTGTATGATATGCATATGTACTATATATAATGACATGTGTCATATATATATACATATATACATGTAGTTTGTTTGTTTGTTTGTTTTGAGGCAGAGTTTCTCTCTTGTCGCCCAGGCTGGAGTGCAATGGCGCGATCTCGGCTCACTGTGACCTCCGCCTCCTGGGTTCAAGCGATTCTCCTGCCTCAGCCTCCCGAGTAGCTGGGGTTACATGCGCATGCCGCCATGCCCAGCTAATTTTTTAATTTTTAGTAGAGACGGTGTTTCACCACATTGGCCAGGCTGGTCTGGAACTCCTGACCTCAGGTGATCCACCCACCACAGCCTCCCAAAGTGCTGGGATTATAGGCATGAGCCACTGTGTCCAGGCTTCATATATATTATTATATCATTGTGTCATTATATCACTAGCACTTGTTTAAAATGTGCTGTATTTTGTCACCATTGGCTGTTCCACTTCCATGGAAAGCTGAGGGATTGGGGCAAGGGCTGAATTTCCACTCTGTTTCCTCTTGGGCAACAAGATCCTTGCTGTCTGGGAGTTGCCCCTAGCTTCATGTAGGACCAACATCCTTTATATTGACTACTGAAGCCTAAAGCCCTAAGAATTATTTACCTTTAAGCATGTGCTATTTTGGTTTGGTAGATCAAGTGAAACTATTCAGAGTATACATGCCAACTGAAAAAAAAATCTTTTTATTTTTTCCTTTTTTTTGTTTTTTTTTTTTTTGTTTTTTTGAGACAGAGTCTCACTCTGTCACCCAGGCTGAAGTGCAATGGCCCAATCTTAGCTCACTTGCAACCTCTGCCTCCCACATTCAAGCGATTCTTGTGCCTCAACCTCTGAGTAGCTGGCACTACAAGTGCAGCCACCATGCCAAGCTAATTTTTGTATTTTTAGTAGAGATGGGGTTTCGCCTTGTTGGCCAGGCTGGTCTCGAACTCCTGGGCTCAAGTGATCCTCCCACCTCAGCCTCTCAAAGTGCTAGGATTACAGACGTGAGCCACCACCTGTAATCCCAAAAATATCTTTCTTTATCTTTATGCTGGAATCCAATTTATGCTTGTTTATTTTCACAATCTTTGCTTTTGATTTTTTTAATGGCCTTCACCACAAACATCTCCTCCTTTCTTCACCCATCTTTAGTAGTATGAAGCTCTTGAAGGTTGAGCATTTTGCATCTGATGTAATGTCCACTTTTTCCCCAGAACATATTTCTATTTTTCAAAGCCTCAAATTACCATAGTAACTATCAAGAGTCCCTAAAATGTATGTTGCATTCTCTGGACTTAAACCTACTGCAGAGTCACCACAAATGCCCTGAGGATTGTGAAAGAGCTTCATCCTGGGCTGCAAGAAAAGCCGCCCACCCCCAAGTCATTCATTTCTTTCCATTTTAGTGTGTCTTGGGGGAGACTGAGTGACAGACCTGCAAGGATAACGGAATCATCAGTAGAGACTCTGGTTATTGCAGACAGGGAGTGACTGTCCAGTGGCCGCCTGTGCCCAGTCACTGGTGCAGGAGAAAGAAGAGGAAGTACAGAAAAACGGAACAGGAAACAGATGGGAGACATGATCTCTCCAAACTCCAAAACTTCTGAAAAACTTCAGACCAGCCTGGTTGCTTGAAGATTAAGACAACACTGAGATCTGTGCATTGACCGAAGAAAGGCCATCGGAAGCAGGCCTCAGCAAGGAGCCATGTCACGTGGATGCCAAATCCCAGGGGCTGCAGTTCTGCAATACCCAAGGGAAGTGAGAAAGCAAGACAATCACTGAGTCCATCTGGACTGAGATGCCGACCAAAGATTGCACATTTTCGCAATGGTCGCCTTCACCCCAGCATCACGTTGACAGCCAGAATCTCTGCAGACGTGTGATTTGGGGTTAAGAATGCTTGTTTTGAGGCCAGGCGCCGTGGCTCACACCTGTAATCCCAGCACTTTGGGAGGCTGGGGCGGGCGGATCATGAGGTCAAGAGATGAAGACCATCCTTGTCCTTAATTATTAATAATTAAATTATTAAGGCCTGTCCTTAATAATTTCATCCTGGCCAACATGGTGAAACCCCGACTCTACTAAAAATACAAAAATTAGCTGGGTGTAGTGGTGTGCGCCTTTAGTCCCAGCTACTCAGGAGGCTGAGGCAGGAGAACTGCTTGAACCCGGGAGGTGGAGGTTGCAGTGAACCGAGATCACGCCACTGCACTCCAGCCTGGCGACAGGACTAGACCCCATCTCAAAAAATAAAATAAAATAAAAAAAGAGTGCTTATTTCTTCCCTTAAACTTAAGAGATATTTATTTACTGAAAATTAAAGCCCGTAATGGTGACCAGAGGGAAAGGACCCAAGTCTTCCTCACCTGCAGCCTTTAGGGCTCACACAAGGGAAGGAAGGGGACAGAACCTGGAGTTAATGTGTTGAGGCCATTTTCAATGACTCCAGTGCAGAAAAATATCAAGGATCTAAAGGGCTTCATTAAAATTCACCCCAAGGCTAGGTGTGGCTGTAATCCCAGCACTTTGGGAGACGGAGGCAGGAGGCTTCTTTGAGTCTTTGAGCCGGAGTTTGAGATCAGCCTAGGCAACGTAGGGAGACACCTTGTCTCTAAAAACATAAAATAAACTTAAATTACAAAATTCATCCCAAGGTGCAATTATTTATCGAAGATGATTCTTACATCCAAAGTTGAGAGCTCTGGGAGAAACTTTCCAGGTGGGAATGAACATCCAGGCTTCCATGTTCCCTTTCTTCACTGGTTTGGCAAGTGGTTTGGGGTGGTGGGGCTGGAGGGGTAGGAGAGGGTCTCTCCCTAACAACCAGAGAGTTTAACCTGCTTCCTGAGGAGATGCTAAAATCTGACAACCCAGCTGACCTCCTCCTAACAAAGCCTGATAGCAAAACCATCCAAAAATTCCAGACACCCCTCCCCCTTCACAGCAACTGCATTTCACTTGTGACCCGGCTCAGCCTGTGGTCAGGAAAGAGCCTTTGAACACATCTCCAGAGCTGCAGCGATTAGAAGGGCTTTGATTACCCGGCTCAGCTGGCCCTCTCTTCTCGCGATTACTCCCCTCCCTTCCCCCCAGCCCCCTTCTCTCCCCTCCTCACCCCGGTAGCCCAGGCCAGGGCTTTTTTTTTTTTTTTTAAGCAACTCATTTTTTTTCTCTCTCTCTCTTTTCATTTTCCTATAGCATCCTAAACCTCAAGATGTGGTTAACACTAATCCTGATTTATTTAGGATTTATCTGCATTATTAATTCCAATCACGTGAGAAAAAAAAAAAGAAAGAAAAATGCTACAGGCCCCTAGTTTGTATACAAAGTTTGGGTGTTTGTGAAAAGAGCCAGCAATCCCTAAGAAACATATTTTCTTTAGTTATCATTTAAATCTAAACAACTTTCTTTTCTACTCTGAAAATGTTCCTTGAAATGGGCCCTGTCCTTAATAATTTCATTTATTATTATTTCTCCCTCAGTCAATATCCTTTGAAGCTACTTCCTGCATTAATCTGGACTTAATATGGATTTAAACATTGACAATGGAAAATAATTTGGGTTAAAAATAATCTTCCTTGATAAAGCTAGAAAACTCCCCACAACTGTCACCGTCTCTGACAGCTGGGAATAGAATGCGATTCTTGAATCTGCATATTGAAGATGAGGAAAAGCAGAACTAACAGGCTGTATATTATATTTTTTATTTGTCAGCTGTTATGACTGACTGGAGTTGAGTGATATCCAGGGTCTTGACTTGTTGTTTGAATGAATTCATCATCGTTCGGGACATATGAGCAGTTATTTGGTGCCTGGGATGTACTGAAAATATCTTGTTGGAGTGAGGGAAATGTCTTAGGGATGGAAGCTTGCGTGTCTCCTCCACAGAGTGGCTTCTCAGTAACTGATAGGGCCCAGAGGTTCCAAACCCCCTTCCCAGCTCTCTTCTCCGCCCCTCTCCTTTTCTGTTTTTTTCTGTGTGGGTGGGGTGGGGGTGGGTCTTTTCTTTCTTTCTCTCTTTTTTTTTTTTTTTGTTTTTTGCATTCTTCTTTTAACTGATATAATGCTGGAAATAGAAAGTTCACTTTTCTTTGTGTAGCCCCCGGCAAGGTCAGTGTTATCACGTGAATTCTTCCTGAATTTGACTCAAGGAACCCATGGAGATTGGAATATTTTCATGGGAATTTAGAGGAATTCAGATTAGATCTCCAACTCTACTTCGTCAGACCTCAACACGTAGGACAGACCTAAATGTGTTTTTATTTCTCGGGCACCTGCAGAATGAAGGCTCCTGGAGGAGTAGAAAGTGTGTGGCATTGATTCATCACTGCCATTCCTATGCCCGGGCAGGTATCACCAATCAATCACGACATTCTTTCCCACCGAGCAGGAGGCAGCCTCTGTATCCTGATATCAGACCCAGATCCTTCTCACAGTTCCTCAAGGCCTTCCTCCAACCTGCCTCTGACTGGTTCCCCCTTTCATTCCTGCTACAGAATGCTGTTCTCTACATGCAACATTCCTTTCCCAACGAGGAAGCCTTCTCCAACCCCCACACACCTTCCTTTCCCCTCTGAGATGCCTGACCTCAGTAACCAAGTCTCCCCTTCCCTCCATGTCCCTCACCACTTTTTGTGTTGTACGTTTTATTTTAATAACATTTACCTCCTTCCAAAGTAATATAAATTCATTATAGAAATTATATACAATACAGATATGCAAAAAAGTTGGGGATTTGGTCGCCCTTAGCAATCACTCATCTATTTTCTGTCTCTATGAATTTTTGTGTTGTGGACATTTGATATAAATAGAATCATTCAGTGTGTGGTTTTTTGTGACTGGCTTCTTTCATTTAGCATGATTTCAAGGTTCTTCTACATGGTAGCATTCATTTATTCCTTTTTATTGCCAAATAATATTGCCCATTCTGTGTAAGACTTCCTGTTTTGTTTTTGTTTGAGTGATGCCGGTTTCAACACTGTATTCATGTTTCTTATCTGCGCGCACACTTGAGTTGTGCCAGTGATTATTTTTGGTAGAATTCTACTGAATTTACAAAGAAATCCAGTTCAACTTAGTTCAACAGACACATGTTAAGGGTTAAAATGTACAAGATTCTTTGCTAGAAAGTGCTGGAGATACAAAGATGTATACAGGCTCTGTCATCCGGGAGTTTGCAATTTATTTACACCAAATCATGAGAGCAAATCATGTCCACCAGTCACTCTGATACCCCTGGCTTTTAACTACTCTTTTAGTTTACATTATATAGATGAAGACGTGTAAATGTTTTTCAAGGTGATTTCATGCTTTTATGTTTATATCCTGTTATCTTCTAAGGCACTCCAAAACAGAAACTATGGGTTCTATTTCTTTTCTATTATAATAATATAATTACAACAGCTGCCACTTGCTGTGTATTTATTTTATTTGATATGCAAAACAATGTGTGAGGTAGTTATTGTTACTTTCATTTATTGATGAGGACACACTGAGGCTGACAGTGGGAAGTAACTTGGCAAAGGTCATCTGCTGGGAAGGGGCAGGAGCAGGACTTGAACCCAGGGCCATCTTACTTCAAAGAAGCTCACACATTTGATTACTGAGCCACACCAGCCCCAAACTACAGGGATAACATTCTTAGCAGCCAGTAGATGACATTGTCCACCTACCACTCTGGCCAGCCCCTATGCACCTTGGTCTGGACAACCTGAACCAGTCTGTGGTGGGGGAAGAGTGAATCCAAAGGGGCCTGGAGCCTCCATCCAGCAGCATCTGCGGTTGTGTCTGTTCTACTCTTCTGTTGACAGTGGTGGAAAATGTAACTCCCCCAAAAGCTCCGTCTGCTTGGTACAAGAAATCATTGAATGTCATCTTTGGAAACGACCATTCTGGAATCAAACTGTAGAAAATGAAAACTTAGGGATAACAAATTAGGAACCACTCAACCCAAAATGTGTCCTTTGACTGCGCAGGTGTCAGATGGAAGCATCTGAGAACTTGGGCCTCCAAAGCGGTCTGACTACTTCTCCAGACACACCTGCCTGCACTCTGCTGTCATCTTCAACAATAAGGCAGGTTACATCTGTGAGTCTACATAGCACAATGAAGACAATAAATATTAAATAATAATTATTGTTTCTTTCACATTCGCTGACAGGATAAAATCCAGGTAAAGAGCCTTTAAGGTCTAATTACTTTGTAAGCATTGAAACCAAACTGCTAGTTGAAAAATTAATTGTGGAGCAGTCAGAGACGGAGTAGTAGGAAGTTGTTTTGAGCAGTGGTGTCACTCTGAAACGCCGCAGAAGATGTAGAGCAATAAACACCAACGCAAAGTGCCGAAAATGACTGAGCAAGAGAGGACTAGATGTGCAGCTGGTAGCGCATGGACTTTGGTTCATTTCCTGATTACTTTGGCACACAACAGATGTGTGGAGTGAGTGGCCAACTGAATTAATTAACTAATAAGCGGAAATGTCATTAGGGATATTTAGAATAATATGGAAGTGATCTCTACAGCATGAATGAAGGCCCCACATGTTAATAACAATAATTTTTATTAATATAACAAAATATTATATTAATGACATTAATATTAATAAAGTATAATATCTGCTGATAATATTATGTAATGTCAATATAAAATAATATTATAATATAATATAAAATATAGTAATGACAATATGAATATAATTAATAGGATAAAATATAATATAAAGTAAAATATATTGGCATTTATTAATAAAGTATAATATCTGTTGATAATAGTCTATAATATTAATGTAATTATATAAAATATCAACAATAATTGCTGACATTTACTGAGCACTATGAGCCAGGCCCTATTTTAAGTGCTCTATTTATATATATAGCACTTTATATATATATAAAATATATATATAATCTCATTTAATTCTTACAACAAATTGTGAAGCAAATACAATCATCCTCTTGTTTTGTTTTGAGATGGAGTCTTGCTCTGTCGCCTAGGCTGGAGTGCAGCGGTACCATCTAGGCTCACTGCAGCCTCCACCTCCCAGGTTCAAATGGTTCTACTGCCTCAGCCTCCTGAGTAGCTGGGACTACAGGCTCATGGCACCACACCTGACTAATTTTTGTATTTTTATTAGAAACAGGGTTTCTCCATGTTGGCCAGGCTGATCTTGAACTCCTGACCTCAGGCGATCTGCCTGCCTCAGCCTCCTGAAGTGCTGAGATTATAGACGTGAGCCACCATGCCCAACCCAACTTTCTTTATTTTTAAAATGAGGAAATGGAAGCACAGAGAAGTTCAGTAACCCTCCCAACATCACACAGATAATAGTAAAAAAAAAAAAAAAAAAAAAAAAAAAAAGCCCAGCATTTGCCAGACGAAGGCGCATTTGCGGCCATTCTTTAATCTCTGAAGAAATTACTGAGTTTCTAGGACCTTAAAGAAGTATCCAGAGATTATCCAGTTCATAGTTTTCAAATTGCTGCATGGAACCATGGAAATTGCTGTAGAATTTCTACCAACCATAGATTATTTCTGCCAAACAAGGAAGAGTTCAGCTTCCTGGGGAAATATTTGTTTCTTGAACCTGCTTTGCATATTGAATTTCCACATAAGATTTTAGTTTTAAACAAAGGAAAGAGTGTTCCATTGTTGTAGGTCAGGGCTGGCAAACGTTTACTATAAAGGGCCAAATGGTAAATATGTTAGGCTTCACAAGCCATGCTGTCTCTGTCATAACAAGTCAACTCTGCTGTCGTGGTGCAGAAAGAATCATAGACAATACATAAATGAATGAGTGTGGCTGCGTTCCAATAAAACTTTATTTACAATAGTGGGCCATGGGCAAAATTTAGCCTGCCAGCCATAGCTTGCTAAGCTCTGGGCTAAGTCAGCTCCCTGTGGTCAAGTAGAGTTTGCCTAAACTTTCTAAATAGATACTGGACTTTCTTGCTCACAAAGAGAAGATATATTATCCAACACCTCATATTTAACAATGTCCATCATGGAAAAGCCCGGGCTATGGGTTTTTTTATTTTTGTTTTTGGGAGAGGATCTCGCTCTGTCACCGAGGCTGGAGTGCAGTGGCATGATCACGGCTCACTGCAGCCTGGAACTCCTGGGGGCTTAAGTGGTTTGCCCACCTCGGCCTCCGGAATAGCTGGGACTACAGGCACACACCATCATGCCTGGCTAATTTTTTTTTTTTTTTTTTTTTTTTTTTTTGAGACGGAGTCTCGCTCTGTCGCCCAGGCTGGAGTGCGGTGGCGCGATCTCGGCTCACTGCAAGCTCCGCCTCCCGGGTTCACGCCATTCTCCTGCCTCAGCCTCCCGAGTAGCTGGGACTACAGGCGCCCGCTACCACGCCCGGCTAATTTTTTGTATTTTTAGTAGAGACGGGGTTTCACCGTGTTAGCCAGGATGGTCTCGATCTCCTGACCTCGTGATCCGCCCGCCTCGGCCTCCCAAAGTGCTGGGATTACAGGCGTGAGCCACCGCGCCCGGCCCAATTTTTTTATTCTTATTTTTATTTTTCAGTAGAGACGCAGTCTGGCTACGTTGCTCGGGCTTCAGGCTGTGGTTTAAGGCAAAAGGAAACTGCTGTGTTTTGAAGGTTGAATTTGTCTAACAGTCTAACAGTTCTACATCCAAATTCATCCCCGTTGTACCTGTGTTGGGTGGATGGCATGATCCCCTTTAACAATGAAGAAAACAGGCTTAAAGAGGTAGAAGTAGTACCTCGAGTCATGCCAACGTCTCCCCATATGCCATCATACCATATTGGCATGGCCAAAGCAACATGGCTTATCCTACAATGGAATACAGTGGAAGGTCATTGATGTCACCTTTAACCTGTTCTTTTCCAAGAAAAACAATTCCAGTTCATTTCCCAACCTCACTTTTCTCCCTAGGATGTTTTACTACTTCTATTAATAAGAGGCTTAAGAACTAGTACTACCAGCCAGGCACGGTGGCTCACGTCTGTAATTCTAGCACTTTTGGAAGGCCAAGGCAGGTGGATGGCTTGAGCCCAGGAGTTCGAGACCAGCCTGGGCAACATGGCGAAATTCCACATCTACAAAAAATACAAAAACATTAGCTGGGCTTGGTGGTGGCGCCTGTAGTCCCAGCTATTTGGGAGGCTGAGATGAGAGGATTGCTTGAGCCTGGGAGGTCAAGTTTGCAGGATTGTGGCACTGCACTCCAGCCTGGCAACAGAGCAAAACACTGTCTCAAAAAATAATAATAATAATTAATTAAAAAATAAAAAGAAAGAAAAGAGTTTAAAAAACTAGTACTGCCATGTTCATATGGTTTTCTCAAGGCATAACTCAAGAGGAGAATAACCTTGCAATTTCAACAAGCCGTTCTCCCATTCATGCTTTCTAGTTGTTTATTGTCTGTCTTAGCAGAGGCTGCATTGGGGGTTTGTATTAGCTGATCCTCCATGGTCCGTATGCCTTTCAGAAGATCTTTTTTTTTTTTCTTTTGAGATGGAGTCTCGCTGTGTCACCAGGCTGGAGTGCAGTGGCTCGATCTCGGCTCACTGCAACCTCCGCCTCCCGGGTTGAAGCGATTTTCCTGCCTCAGCCTCCCAAGTAGCTGTGGCTACAAGCATGTGCCACCACGCCCAGTTAATTTTTGTATTTTTAGTAGAGACGGGGTTTCACCATGTTGGCCAGGATGATCTCAATCTCTTGACCTTGTGATCCGCCCATCTCAGCCTCCCAAAGTGCTGGGATTCTAGGCGTGAGTCACCGCACCCGGCCCAGATCATTTTTTATCTCTATACTTTGTTTTCCTCCTCCTGTTTTTGTCTCTCTTAAATTCATACTATCTTGGGAAATTTTGGAATTCTTCCAGTTTTGTAACCTCGTTTTCATCAAATATTTAATGGCACTACTAGCCTGGTTATATGCCACCAGTAGATAAAGAAATCTAATTTCTTTCCCCTGCCTGAGATAGGTGGAAAATTTGAGGCTGGGCTATTGATAGTTAGAATACTAAATCTCTTCCAGAACACATTGATTGCCTTCTTTTTATGTTCGCTGAACTGTCTTGGACTTGCAGGACCTCTTATATCTATTTTTCAATTCATTCTGGATTGGTTTCATTTCAAGAACCAATCAGCCCCATTCAACAGACAATACGAGGTTGGTGCCTTCCCAGAAGTCAGTGACGGTATCACCTCTCATAGCTCTCAGTTCCAGAAAAGTCTGTGGCCATGCGTCACCGCAATCCACCTCCATGACTGAATGGAAATCCAGCTGCATGTGAAACAGAAGAGAAATCCATCATAAGTGGAAAACTCAGTCATCAATAAGCGGCTCTGCAGGCCTTTCAGTTAGGGACCAACCACAGAACTGGCTCTCCATCAACAATCAAACAGTCTTTAGCTGTGATCAGCCACTTCCATCACCTCTGAGACTGGCAGGTTTCCAATAAAGCCAATCGCCCCCTCCCCCCAGGGTAAGGTCCTCCGCAGGAGGCTGCCATTGTCTTTTAGCCCAGCAATTTGACAACAGTGTTAGCTGACACTCTATTAGCCAGCAGCTACACCCTGACCTCTGACCCTGACATTGGCCCCTGGCATTGGACCCTGACATTGGCTACACCCTGACCCCTGACTTTGATCATGTGAGGTGGCCCGACCTGCTGGTCAGCTTGAGAGAAAGCTGGCCAGGACCGAGCAGGGCTCTCTGGTCACCCCTGCTCCCCCAACAGGAGGCTTGAGCTTGAAGTACAGAAACAAGCCCGAGTTGAACCTAAGATGGCAAAGGTGAAAGTTCAGAAGCGTGTCCATCAGCAGCCTGTCACCACAGGACGATGTACAAACCATGGGGGCTTTCAGCACAGGGATAGCCGTTGTCACCAGACAGTTCTGCTCCTTAATGGAAAAGACGTGTCAAAATATGGCTTACAAAATACAAAATAATGGACTGAAATGTACATTATATGAGGGTGTTAGATTGCAATGTACTTTACAGTGGGGGAATTAGATTGAAGTGTTATGCCAGGGTAGTTAGGTTGAAATATGGATTATCCCAGGAATGTCAGCTTGAGATGTGCTTTATAACACAGTTGTTCAATTAAGATATGCTCTTCAGTGCAGGCATTAGCCAAGAGATGTGCATTATAGCCAAGTTGTTAGGGGAAGATGTGGATTCCACTTTGCGGGGAGGGGCGGGTAGGAGAGAGGAAAACACCTTGGGTTGAATATTATTCAAGGTTAGGGAATGTCTTCTGCATTCGTTGGGTTTCAGGGGTCTGAATACGTGGAGTAGGACACAGCGTGGTGTATAATGTTCCTTCCCGTCTCCTTTCTCCCCAGCCAAACAATCTGCCACTTTCCCCACTTTTCCTGTTAGGGACTTAAAGGCTTCCCCCATCAATAAAAACATTAGCTCACTAAACAGCCTGATGGCTTTTCCTTCCCTGGCTTAACCCTTCGGGAGCTGGGGTTTCCTTTGGATTTGTAAAGATATTGATTCCAGATAATGTTTGCCTTTCTAACTCTCTCTTCCTTAGACTTGATGGATAGGTTCAGGGCTACATCTCGGCAGCCAACTCACCGCAGCTACCCAGGGAAAGAGGAATGGAAAACGAGGCAAGTGTTCAGTAGTTAACACCATTTGAATCCTTTCCCTGGGATAGACGGGGAGAAATGCGGTGGCCAGGAGAATTCCATGAGTACAAGATTTCACTTTCAATTTCCCTCATCCTTGTCCTGATCCCGCTACCAATATTTCTTTAGTTCGACTTAGAGTGTTTTATGATTTTTAATTAATATCAGATGCTGTCTTGAGGTTGGCTGCCCTGAGTTTCATTTTTAAAAATGCCTTTCCCAGTTCAAGAATGTGCTTTTCTATAGCCTAGGAAACATAAGTGAATACAGGGAACTGTGTCATTTGCCTTGATACTGGCCGACAAGGGGGTGACTTGAATAAACCCTCACCCTAGAAAGAAATCTTATTTAAGAAAAATAAGTGAAAAGCAATGGGAGAATCATTCATTAGCCACTTGGCCTGCGAAGGTTTGCCAAACATCTCCCCAACCGTGTTTTTGTCCTTTCTTTTCTTCTTCAGCTCGGAAGATATAAGTTACAACCCCCAGAAGTCTAGCCTAGCGCTATTGGATGGTGTCCAGCTTTGCCGGAATTAGAGAGGTGAGTTCCAGCTTTCTTGTTTCTCAATGAAAGAAAATGTTATACCAGGTGAGTTAACGCAGTCAAAAAAGACTAACCAGCCAGACAAGGACACCAAACAAAACCAAACAGTTCAAAGGAAATTGCAGTGTTACTAGACACCTCTGCAGTGTGCCTGGGGTTTCAAGAAAGAGATAAGCAGGCATTTCTGTGTGCATTTTTCGGGCCGTATTTCTCTAGTTAGAAAAGTGGGTTTGCTGCAAGACAACAGCATTTACCTTTCCTGGCTGAGCTTTCTGTGGGCAAAACACAATGAATGTGACAGAAATATGCTGTCCGGGTGAAGGAAGAAGAAAAAAGCAATTTCACCCACCCTACTATGTCTCTGCCAATGTTATCTTTGTCAATCTTCCCACTTCTCGTCTCTGAGCATTTCTTGGTGAAGGCTTCGTTAGAAGTTGACCCTATTCTCTAGCCTGGTGAGTTCTCTTCTCTTCTCGGGGTCCATTTCTGCCTCATTTTCTAACGTCATGCTTTCCTTAAAAATAGGCTATGAGAGCTATTTCTAACCTCCGTCAAGGGATCCGTCCAACCAGACTCCCATGAGATGTGAGAATGAGCTTAAACCAATCCTAGAGAAGAAAGGGGGGAAACAAGGTTGGCTTATTCTCAGACTCAGTTAAAAAAAAAAAATCTGTTGGGTCAAGTGACATATTTGAGGCCCCTCCCTAGAAGGGAAATGGCAATATGGTTCTACTTAAGCACCACCTAAAACTCCACCTGAAAGAAGAGACCAAATTGTATCCTGGCAGAATCATGGAAGCCTGGGGATTAGGAGCAGCTTTGGAGTCCGTTTCATCCCCATCACTTAATGGCCTTGTTAATATGGACCAATCACTGGGCCTTTCTGGACGTCAGTTTCTCCATCCATGAAATGGACATAGTAGTATCTGACCTATAAGGATATTATGACTCTCAAACAGGGTAGTGCATATAAAATGCTTAGTCTTGTGCCTATAATCATTCAATGAATAGTAGCTGTTAACTTTATCATTTTATTACCATATCAACATCTAGCCCCAGAGCATTGTGCCAATTCACACCAGCGCCTGCGGCATTGACTTATCACATTCCACACTACCCGTCATGCACTCATTAACGCATCTGGTTTTAAAAACACAATGTATCTCTTAGCCTCACTGCTTTATGTGACTACTGTTTATAAGGATTTTCTCTGTACAGGAAGAAGGGTGGCCCTGCCGATGGGGGGAGAAACAGATTACAAGGGCCTCACTGATGGAATATAATCCCCCCTCTGTACTCACTGGTAACTAGCCATGATTGTATTTCAAAGGTAACAGTTCTTCTCTACGGCGGGTATTGGCATGCAGTCTGCAAATAGGACCTAATGTGATCCGACAGCCCTGATTTCTCTAGATATATATTAAAACAACATGCCCAGTGCTGATGGCTCAGAGGTCCTGACCTTTAACAAGGACTTATGACGTAAGGCAACCTGCCCAGGAGAGCAGGCAGGGCAAAAGGCCAGAGGCACAAGGTCATCATGGGCTAATGAAGTGGTCAGCATTGAGTTTCTGTCACTCAGCTGGTTAAGAGGAAACAGAGGGGGAAGTAAAAGAAAATGGGAACATTTAAGAAACAAAGGGAGGGACCATGTTTGAGCTAATGCTCTGGAGGTGAATGATATTGTCAGATGGCAGGGTGATGATGTGCAGCCCATCAGAGCCTTCATCGCAGCCTTGTTCAGTTTTACCTGCTCAACAGGGGCTGGTTGAAAGAGCATCTGCAAGAAGCCAACTCAGTATAAACCCTGAGTTAGAATGAAAATAAACAGGTCCTAAACCACCCTGCTCTTTGTTGCAAATCTGCTCCAGACACACAGTCAGGAAAGAGATCAAGATTACAGGCTGGGCAGTGGCTTCCAGACCTATTCTTTCTCTGCATGGGCAGACTACCTCCTGAGCCTCAGAGTCAGAATCTGAAAAACTGGAATGATAATGCCACCTACCTCAAAGGGAGGGTGGTAGGATTAAATGAGAAAATTTATTTAGCTGAGCATGATGTGATGCCTTATGTCTGTAATCCCAACGCTTTGGGAGGCAGAGGCAGGAGGATCGCTTGAGCCCAGGAGTTTGAGACCAGCCTGGGTAACACAGCAAGACCCTGTCTCAACAAAAAATTTAGAAATTAGCCCTACACGGTGGAGCACAGCTGTAGTCCCTGCTACTCGGGAGACTGAGATGGGAGTATCCCTTGAGCCCAGGAGTTCGAGGCTATAATAAACTATGATCGAGCCACTGCACTCCAGCCTGGGTGACAGAGCAAAACCCCGTCTCTGAAAAAAAAAAAAAAATTATTTAAAGAGATTAGCACAGTGCTTGGCACAAAGTGATCAGTCAAATATCAGCAACTACTTTTGTCATTCCAAATACTCTAACAATCTCAGAAAGCGTGTGAGCTTTTTTAAATGGGTAATACATTGTATATTTCAGAGTAAGACAGTTCCATGAGTTCCCACTGATACAATCTCTAAGGTATTTCACTGGTGGAGTACTTTGAATTTCTGAACCATTCACCCAGTCGGCAAACATCTATTGAAAACTACAGTATTAGGTCATAGGCGTGGTATTATATTGAATCAGAATCATTCTTGACTTTGTTCTTTCACAGCCCGACTGGGGAGGCAGAAACCTCAAGATGTAGAGTGTAAGTGGCAGCATATTACAAGATTATGCTATGGGGTGGGGTGACCAGCTGCTCTTGAGAAGGCTAGAGAGAAGTCAAAGAGAGGGGCTTCTTATCTCTTCCATCACTTGATCCTCCAAATGATGCCTTGGGGAGTGTAAAGCCAAGGTTTCTCTCCCCATTCGTGTTTTTTTGCTTGTTTGTTTGTTGTTTTTGGGACAGAGTCTTACTGTGTCACCCAGGCTGGAGTGCAGTGGCACAATCAGCTCACTGCAACCTCCACCTCCCGGGTTCAATTGATTCTCCTGCCTCAGCCTCCCAAGTAGCTGGGACTATAGGCACTTGCCACCACGTCTGGATAATTTTTGTATTTTTAGTAGACAGGGTTACGCCATGTTGGCCAGGCTGGTCTTGAACTCCTGACCTCAAGTGATCCACCCACCTCGGCCTCCCAAAGTGCTGGGATTACAAGTGTGAGCCGCCACGCCCGGCCTCCCCATTTGTTTCAGGTATGAAAAGGTTGAGACCTAGTCAGGTTAACCCTTGCCTTTGTTTGCCACTGTTAATAGTAGAACTGAAACCTTTAACCCGAACTCCAGACTTCCCTGAGAGCACTGTCTCAGCAGATCAGGATGAATCAGGTCCAATGATAGCCATTAGAGGTCCAAAAATATTCCTCTTAATGAGCACTTTGATCACAGCCAGATTATAATCCAACTCTTGAACATCCCTACACAAGATACGGATGGTTTTAGTTTCGTTTACTGAATTATTAAAAAGGTCATTTTATTTTATACCTTTTTTTTGAGACAGGGTTTCACTCTGTCTCCCAGGATGGAGTGTAGTGACATGATCATAGCTCACTGCAGCCTCAAACTTAAGCAATCCTTCCCAACTCGGCCTCCCAAGTAGCTGGGAATACAGGCACGTGCCCACCATGCCCAGCTAATTTTCAAATTATTTGTAGAGATAAGGTCTCACTATGTTGCCCAAGCTGGTCTCAAACTCGTGGCCTCAACGATTCTCCCACCGTGGCCTCCCAAGGCGCTGGGATTACAGGTGTGAGCCACCATGCCTGGCTCCATCTCACTTCTGAAAGTGAAGCACTAGGGGTTTGTGGAAGAAGCACTGAGCTGAGAGATTGAGAACCAGTACGCTAGTCTCAGCAGTACCATGGTCTCCCTCAAGTCCCATAGCCACTGATGTCTCAGGTCCTGAAACTTTTCTTCATATTCCCTACCTACCTCTGCCTTACAAAGATGATATGAGGATGAACTTGAAAGCATTGATCCAAGGAAGCACTCTGAGTGTTTAGTAGGGAGCATAAAGATTCAATGGAAAAGATTATCAAATTAGACTGTTGTAGCCTGGGAATAAAGAGTTGGAGCATCACGGCGGCAGCCAACTCCCTGTTCCCATCATGACCCAGCCAAAGCTCTTTCCCAGGATTCAATGCCTTGGGAAATTTTTGGGTTTGGAGACTTTAGGAGAACAGCGTAATGACTCACATACCATTAACCAAGGCTGTTCTTTTTTTCTCTCAAATATAGACCTAGCTTTAAGCTTTATTTTTCTGATTAAAAGATAATGTACAATATCTTGAGAAATGCAAGCAATTTATCAAAGCATAAAAATTAAAATCGCCAAAAATTCCACCACCCAGAAGTAAACACGGTTAACCTGGACTTCGTCCTATCAGATATCTCCTATGCATGCACATATACATATGTTTTATTTCGTGCCAGTGGTATCATAGTATGTATACTGTCTGCAACAATATACCATGTCAGTGGGTTATACATTTTCAATAATTTTTGATGATTTTTCATAGTTTCATTGCAATGACTGCATTGCATTCCAGTGTTGGATATACCATTGTTTATTTAACTAATTCCCTATTAATGAGCAGTGATGTTGTAAACAATGAAATGATGGACATCTTTGTGCTTAGTGAATCTGTCTCGTCTCATTAGGATAAATTTCTGTAAGGCGGAATTGCTGGAGATGCTGTCCCCTTCAACCAAATGTTGAAAGGGATTCACATGGTGCAGTGAGAGAATAAAAGGGCAATGACCAGGCAGGGCACAGTGGCTCACACCAGTAATCCCAGCCCTTTGGGAGGCCGAGGCAGGAGGATTGCGTAAGCCTAGGAGTTTGAGACCGGGCTGGGCAACACAGTGAGACTCTGTCTCTACTAAAGAGTTTTCAAAAATAAGCCAGGCATAGTGGTGCGTGCCTGTGGTCCCAGCTACTCGGGAGGCTGAGGTGGGAGGATCACTTGAGCCTGGGCAGTCCAGGCTGCAGTGAGCCATGATCATGCCACTGCACTCCAGCCTGGGTGACAGAGTGAGACCCTATCTCAAAAGTGAGACCCTATCTCAAAAAAAGAAGTAGGGGGCAATAACTAGCCAAGCTGAAGAGTCCCATCAACCCTAGTGACCTGTAACAACTGCAGGAAGACATCCACTCATCCATGGGGAGTGGAGGGTAAGAGAAGGGGAATTTTTATATCCCTGGGGTTAAGCATCATGCCTTGATATTCTGGAACCAGATGTTTGTTTTCTTTCACTCCCTGCCTCCTACTCTTCTTGCCCTGGTCTTCAGAGCCCTGGCATATCTCACAGCTCTCTCTGCAGCGGACAGATCCAGTCTTCATCCCCTGACCCTCTGACCGTCAGCGGGTAGATTCCATCTCCTCTTGAATGGATTTCCTTCCTTGTTGCTTTTCTCTATACAGGGCCCAAACGTTGATTAACTTCTTTGGGTAAAAGTAGGCACTGGGGCCAGCCAAGCAGAGAGTGGAGCTGGGTGATTACATTGCAATGTTTTAATTTGTCTTCAGACAAACTCTCATAAGCTTTCACGAGAAAATCTCCCATTAGATGTAGTCATTTAATTTAAGAACAGTTGGGAGAGGAAGATGAACTAAGATGACAGATGGAGGAATGCAGATGTATGTCTTAGAGGGACTCAGAAGCACTCTGAGGATTTGGCATCCAGTGAAACACAATGTCGGCTTCTACTGATTGTGCCCATGGACTTCAGAAGTTGTCAAGAAATCATTAGAATACAGGGATTTTCTCCGATGACAAGCAATTTTCATTATTTCCTTCTGTCGGCAAAGTCATAGCAAGATCAACTAAAGAACTGGATATTCCCCCACCCCCCAATACCCCAAATCTAGCAAATACAAAAAAAATTTTGAGTAGCCTTATAGGAAGGCAAAACAAAACAAAAGCATTATAACAAAGCTGCTGTTTGAGATAAGTTTCCTTTGGTCCTGCCACAAAGATAATTTTTTTAATTCCATGCTTTCTCTGGCTTCCTTCATACAGATTTTCTGAACATCCTAATTTGGTGTTTGTATCATTCAACATCTATTACTGTTTTAGGACCACAGTTATTATTTTAATTATAATTTAAAGCTGCCTAATATACCCGGAGGTCACTGGGCACCTAAAAGAAATAAATAAAAACAACTTGCCATTTTTAAAGGCAGCATGTTTATTTGCAAGTCCCACGAGCCACTCAACCAAGACATCATAAAACCTTCAAATAAACTAAAACGGAAACAAAATAAAATGCCCGTTCTTAATCTCCTTAGAAGGCAAGCAGGAGAAAGTTGCAGCTAGCTGAATGCTGGCATGAGAACTCTGGGGGCGATTTCATTACTGAGTTCAGGAACTGAAGTGTGTATCTCAACATCCATATTCCATATTCCAAGCTGCGGTGGGTTTACAGTCCCTGAGCCTTGATGTAAAGTTTCAGTCAATGAGAGGTCAGTATAGCAATGAATCTGGTGCAGAAAAAGAAAGGGGTAGGTGAGAGAGGCTTGCAAATGCCTACCTACTGTCTACTTTATCCAGATAGCACTGGCTAGCTCTCTGCAGTGTAGGTATCTACAAAGCAGTATCGATCTCATCAGCTCTGATATTTTAAAATGTAGAATTGCTGAAATATCAAAGTCTAGTGATTTTATATTTAGAAGGCAAAAGAAATTTCAAGACAGTTCCATAATGTTCCTACATGTGAGTTTCCATAACAGAAAACAGTAAAATCATTTTCCAATCATTTACTGCTAGCATTTTCCATGTAATCAAAGCTGTTATGGTTTGTTAAGCAACAGAATTATCTAGTAGGCAGGAGGCTTATGCTGCTCCAAGACCTGCTAGCTACACAAGTATGCAAATCACCAAGTATTGTAGAAGCTGTTAGATAAACATTGTCAGAATCTCCAGCAGAAAGCATTTCTTCCCTGCACCCCTAGAATTGTCTTATTTGATTGGTGCAAAAGTCATTGCAGTTTTGGCCATTACTTTTTTTTTTTTTTTTTTTTTTTTTGAGGCAGAGTCTTGCTCTGTCACCCAGCGTGTAGGGCAGTTGGTGCAGTCTCAGCTCACTGCAACCTCTGCCTCCTGGGTTCAAGTGATCCTCCCACCTCAGCCTCCCAAGTAGCTGGGACTACAGGCATGCACCACCATGCCTGACTAATTTTTGGTGTTTTTAGTAGAGACGAGGTTTCACCATGTTTGCCAGGCTGGTCTCGAACTCCTGACCTCAAGTGATCTGTCTGCTTTGGCCTCCCAGAGTGTTGGGATTACAGGCATGAGCCACCGCTCCCGTTGGCCATTACTTTTAATGGCAAAAACTGCAATGACTTTTGCACCAACCTAATAGATAGTTTAGAATGAAGCTCTTTGGGAACCAAAGAACTGGACTGTCAAGTTTGGGTCACCCCAAATTCCAAAAACAAGGCAGAAGAGTGATGTCCTCAGAGTGGCAAAAATGGAGTCCCCAAGATCTCCTTGTTTACTGTGGAAGACATAGGAATAAAAGAAGGACAAGAAAAAGGAAAGGAAAGGAGTTAATTGATACTCAAGGTGGCAAACTCAAGTGGCTCCATGGATTATGCAAATAATACAAATAATCACGCCTGTAATCCCAGCACTTTAGGAGGCCGAGGAGGGCGGATCACAAGTTCAGGATTTCGAGACCATCCTGACCAACATGGTTAAACCCCGTCTCTACTAAAAATACAAAAATTAGCTGGGCATGGTGGCGTGTGCCTGTAATCCCAGCTACTCAGGAGGCTGAGGCAGGGGAATTGCTTGAACCCAGGAGGTGGAGGTTGCAGTGAGCCGAGATCGCACCACTGTACTCCAGCCTGGGCGACAAAGCGAGATTCTGTCTCAAAAAAAAAAAAAAGAATATAAATAAGTGAAGTGAGCCTAGTATAAGGCAATAGGGAGAGGTAGGGACCGTGGAAACCATGCCCAGCCTAAAAGGCAGCTGCTACTCAACTTTAGTTGAAGTTTCCTAAGCCCAGTGTAACCAAGGCTTTCAATTAAGAGAAGCTGGAACTATTTTTTTTAACCTGAAATATCTCAAATTTTGATTGTTGGCAATCAATTTGATTCGAACATCCGCACATAGAATAGTGTTTTCTTTGGTATGTGAAAAGACTTCCACAGGCCACATTCAGTTCATAGGTCATAAGTTTGCAACCTCTCAGAGAAGTGAGCGATTCGGAACTAAAAATGGCAGCAGGGTCGAAAGCTTGGAATGGATAATTTACATTGAAGAGTTCTTTTATTCTCTGTCCTTGGATAAGGGACAGTCTCATCAGGCCTTTGTACTAATTCCCATCCACGAAAGAAAATAAATCCTTTTTCTCTCCCATTCTATCCAATGTCCTGGAACCTAAAATAACATTTAGTCTGCTCCATCTGTTCTTTCTGATTCTCTTTGTACATATTGAGCTGGTGAATGAACTCGGTGTGTACTGAGCTAGGCAAGGGTTTATGATCTTTTAGCCTTCTGAGATGGAGATGGATAGATGCATAGAAAGTATTCACAGAGGGCAGAAAGCTCTATTGCAAGATTTCTTGGATAAGCTATAATACAGTTTATTGGTTATTTAAGAGTATGCTTATTGATTAAAGATATTATCCTTACAACAGTCCTGGCATTTCACTTAAATATATTGGTATTCAGAGAGTGTATCAGTCTGTTTTTACTAAGTAATGATGCAGTAACAAAAAACCCCTGAGTCTCAGTGGTTTGCAACAAAGATACATTTTTGTTCAATCAACACAGGTTGATTGCATCTCCTCTCTATTTTGTCTTTATTCTGAGACCTGAGCTGAAGTTGCTGCTTGGGCCTGACTTCAAAGCATTCTCATGCTAGAAGGGAGAAGAGAAAAAATCACATGATGACTTCTAAAATTTCTGCTCAAAAGTAGCAAACATCACCTCCTCTTACATTTTATTGGCAGCCAAAGCAAGTCACATGGCCAAGTCTGATGTTGATGAGATGGGAGAAGGATAATCCTCCCATAAGGAAGGGTAATATTTGGAAACAATTAAAAAAAAATCTCCCACAGTGGGTACTGTCTCAGGGACTTAGAAATAGAGAAATAAGAACTAACAGGGAGCCAGGTGCAGTGGGGCATACCTGTAATCCCAGCACTTTGGGAGCCTGAGGCAGGAGGATCACTTGAGCCCAGGTGTTCAAGACCAGCCTGGGCAATACAGCAAGGCCCCATATCTAAAAAAAAAAAAATGTTTAGTTAGCTGGGTGTGGTGACACGTGCCTGTGGTCGCAACTGTTAGGGAGGCTGAGGCAGAAGGATCACTTGAGACCAGGACTGAGCCGTGATAACGCCACTGCATGCCAGCCTGGGCGACAGAGGAAGACTGTCTCTTAAAAAAAAAAAAAAAAAAAAAAAAAAAAAAGAGGTGGGGAGACTAACACGGAAGGTCACTAACAGCTATTGTTAGAAAAACAAAGCTAGTCCTCAAAGTCTGTTCCGATCCTGCTAGGGGCCATTGAGGTCATCTGAGTTGTGAGTGGTTAAAAGCATGGTACCTGAAGTCAGACTTGCTGGGTTCAAATCGTAGCTCTACCATTTACTATCTGTGAGACCTTGGATACATTACTCAACCCTTTTGTGCCTCAGCTTCCTCTTTTAAGCACACCTACCTCATAGGGCTACTGGGGGGATTCAACGAATGAATATTAGATATAGGCGTAGACATAGATATAGATAGACACAGAGCACTTGGAACAGTATTTGGCACATAATAAGTATCGGCTATCACTACAGCAATTATGACTGGAAAGCCATCAGTCCAAATGCATCTCAGCTACCTAGATTACTCCAGGTACGAATCCCATATTAAAATGCAGGCACTTGTGGGAGGGCTAAAACATTAAGTTCAGCTAATACTTTCTTGGGGATTACTGTGAGAGCAGCTTCTAACAGGGTATGTCCCAAGAAAGGGATCTGGAGATGGAGAAAACAGAAATTGGTGGACAGGAACCCCCAAAATACCACAAAGAAAGTACCACAAATTAGGTGGCTTCAATGACAGAAATTTATTTTCTCATAATTCTGCAGGCCAGAAGCCCAAGATCAAGGTGTTGGCAGGACTGGTTTCTTCTGAGGCCTCTCGTCTTGGCTTATAGCTGGCCATCTTCCTCCAGAGTGTTCACATGGTCTTTGCTCTATGTGTCTGTGTCCGAATCTCCTCTTCTTAAAAGGACACCAGTCTTATTGGATTAGGGTCCACCCATATGCCCTCAATTTACCCTAATGACCTCTTTTTTTTTTGAGACAGAGTCTCAAGTAATTCTCCCGCCTCAGCCTCCCGAGTAGCTGGGACTACAGGCACTCGCCACCACACCTGGCTAATTTTTGTATTTTTAGTAGAGACGGGGTTTCACCATGTTGGCCAGGCTGGTCTTGAACTCCTGACTTCAGGTGATCCACCCACCTCAGCCTCCCAAAGTGCTGGGATTACTGGCGTAAGCCACCACGCCCAGCCCCGAATTACCTCTTTAAAGGTCTTATCTCTAAATACAGTCACATTCTGGGATACTGGGGGTTATGGACATAATTCCACCGTAACACTCAGTTACACATTAGAATTCCCAAGAGATGCCCAGACCATGCCCTAGACCAAAAGCATCAGAACTTCTGTGGGTGAAATACAGGGCTCTGAACTTCTTAAAACACCCCAGGGGCCTCCCATGTGTTGCCAAGGTTGCTCATCACTGGAGCAGCTGGCCTTCCACTCAGAGCACTCTTTGGTGATCCATATTTTGCTGTGCCATGCATCTTCATGAATTTCTCCATCACGATCGGCCAAACCGACCAGGAGAAGAACACTTGCTGACGAAGACGAGAGGGAGAGATGGCCAACATCGAGCATTTGTCTTCCCTCTCCTCCTGATTGATCACTTTATACAATAATAAAACTTTTAAAAGGTTGAACCTGAACTGAGGCTGTGACTGTGACACGATTAATCAAACCCTTGAAGAATCATGTTACATTATGTGCTTCAAGCATTGATCCACTTCACTAAAAGTTGGCCTGAAATACAGCCTAGACACAGGATATGGGATCTGTAAGAAACGGCCGGGATGCTGTCAATTGCTTTGTGTCTCTGTGTGATATGTGGTCCTATAGCAGACCAGACCATGAAGCAGGACAAATTCCAATGCATCAGAGAGGACATCATCCAGTCCCCAGCTGGCCCCAAATTGCTAGGAGTGGAACTACAGAGAAGAGAGAGCTGATTACGGCGTGTTCCTGAAACCTGCTATCATAATACCTTCATCCACGAGGCTCCCAGTCTCCTTCCCTCTTCTTGAATTGATTCCAGACAATCCCAGGATCTCTGACACCATAAAGTTTTCTCCAGGGAGGCACAAGTTTGGGTCCTCTCTAAATCAAAGTTTTAAAGGACCAAGTGCATCCCCTCTCCACTCTTTTTTTTGAGACAGAGTCTTGCTCTGTCACCCAGGCTAGAGTGCAGTGATACAATCAAAGCTCACTGTAGCTTCATTCTCCTGGGCTCAAGTGATCCTCTGACATCAGCCTCCGGAGTAGCTGGGACTACAGTTGTGTGCCACCTCATGGGGCTAATTTTTAAATTTTTGTAGAGATGGGGTTTCACTATGTTGCCCAGGCTGGTCTTGAACTCCTGGCCTCAAGCAATCTTCCCACCTCGGTCTCCTAAAGCACTGGGATTACAGGTGTGAGCCACTGCACCGGACCCTCATCCCTCTTGCATCACAGGGAGGCATCAAGCCAATAATAATACCTAGCATCTCTGTGCAGTGCTTTCTAGTTAACCGAGCAGTTAAACATCCCCAAACATGTGAGCCTCACAACAGCTCCAGGAGGTAGGTGAGCCAAGATTTTTGATCCCCATTTCCCAGAAAATGCAACTTGCTGGGAAAGGAATGTGAGTTGCCGAGATCATAGAATGTGTGGTAGAACTGGAATACAGTACCTAGTTTTAGGACTCGGATCCAGTGGCTTTTCGTAACTCCCTGCTGCAGGCAACATTGGAGACCACAAAAGAAATCAGATCTTGTACTGGCCCCAGGCAAAATCAGGTAAAGGCAAAGCTCCTTTGATGCTTTCGCCCTCTCCTCTGGATATCCCTCCCACCCTGTGAGGCTCACTGTGTCAGCTCACACTTTGACTAGTATCTCTGGGTCCTAAAGTCTCTCTGTCTCTCTGTGTTCCCCTCTTAAAAGTACCCTGTCTGACTTAGCTGGTCCAGTAGGAAGAATCAGACGTGCCCTCAAAGCCCAGCTTGAGCTAGCTGAATGACCTTGGACAAGTTACATTTTGCTTTTTCATTTCCTCCTCTGTGAAATGGATTCTTACTAGAACCTACTTCCATAGGGTTGAATGAAAGATTGTATGAGTCATGTACATAAAGCACTCTGGACCATGAATTGCGTTTATTAAGTACTTCACAAAGGCAGTTGTTTTTTTTAAATGATTTATATTTAGGCATTCATTATATATAACAGGCATAGTAGCTGACCTTTTGCAGGTCCTGCTATGTAATGCTGTGCGTTGACTTGTGCTCATGGTATTTTCATATGTTCTTTCATTGAATTCTCATGTCAACCCTAGAAAACAAGTCCTATTATTACTCCCACTTTACAGATAGAGAAGCTGAGACACAAAGAAGTTAACAAGAGCCAGCAAGGGACAGGACCTGGATTGGAGCCCAGGGGGTCTAACTCCAGAACCAGCGCCACCAGCTCAGGCACAAAGCGGCAGTTGCATAGAGGTTGGTGACAAATGTCTTATAGTGCCCCTAGCCATTTGCATTTTAAAATAAGACTGTCTGGGCCCAGCGTGTTGGCTCACCCCTGTGATCCCAGCACTTTGGGAGGCCGAGGCAGGTGGATCACCTGAGGTCAGGAGTTCGAGACCAGCCTGGCCAACATGGCGAAACCCTGTCTCTACTAAAAATACAAAAATTAGCCAGGCTTGGTGGCAGGTGCCTGTAATCCCAGCTACTTGGGAGGTTGAGGCAGGAGAATCCCTTGAACCCGGGCAGCGGAGGTTGCCGTGAGCTGAGATCACCTCCATTGCACTCCAGCCTCAGAGACAGAGCAAGACTCCATCTTAAAAACAAACTATTGTTTTGTTTTGTTGTTATTTTCTTCCCTATATACTCCACACTTTAAAAAGTAATGAACATCATGTTTTAAAATGATAGGGCAAACCCAGTCTCTGGCTCCACGCCAGTGTCACTCTCCTTGTCCTCAAGTTGCCTACTGCCTCAGTGCAAAGCTAGACATTGTAGACCCTCTCGGAGAAGAGTGTATGGTGCCAGGGATCCTGGTATTGTCTGTAAAGACCAAAAGGATGAAAGCATTGGAGCACACAGCAAGATGGGATATAATTAAGTGCCCAAGAACGCAGAGCCATCTCTTGAGACTGTCGGAGTACAGCTCTCTTTCCAAACATGGTATTTTCCCTGATGTTTTTTTTTTTCCCTCCACCAAAAATTTTCCACTTTAATTACGTGGGTTAGGTTAGAGGAGCTCACCTTCGGAACTTTACATGCGCAAACAGCTAATCCCTTCCATAAGACACATTTCTGGGAAAGCCCAAAAATAAATGTTTACAGTCTGTGCTGGGATAACAGAACCCAGTGGAATTAGAAATGATTTAAGTATTATAGGTCCATGCCCTAAGAAACAATTTTGGGAGAGCTTTCGCCTCTGCATTCTGGAATTCTGGCCTTCATTGTCACAAAGAGTGGAATCACTGGCAATGCTCTCGGGTTAGACGCTTTCCCTGTTTTCCTGCTTTTGCCTTAAACACAAGGAGGATGGTTAATTAAAACCATATTTAAAATATTAAGTCGACTACCTAAAGGAATGAAGTTTATTAAAATTGCTAAGCGTTAAGTACAAAACTTAAAATAGCCTGAGCACACTCTCCTTAGCCCATACCCAAAATATCGGTTGAAAGGAGCATGAGCACAGACATTGGCGAGTGGGCATACACACACACACACACACACACACATACACATGCACACACATGCACATGCGCGCACACATGCACACAGGCGTGGGCACACATACATGCACACACGCACACGCACACACGCACACATCTGCATGCACACACACGCACACACTACACCTCAATACGTTGATATATCAGTAAACGGAATGCATTTCTCAAGCAACCAGCATTTGACAAGCAGAGGGCAAAGACGATCTCCTAATTAAGGTACATAGAAGGCTGTTACACCTCAAAATTGTGAAATGGTCTCATGGGCTCAGAGAAAATAGAGACTGACACTAGATATCACTTCAATTCTGTGTGTGTGTGTGTGTGTGTGTGTGTGTGTGTGTCAGAGTCTCTGCCACCCAGGCTGGAGTGCAGTGGTGCAATTTTGGCTCACTGCAACCTCCACCTCCCAGGCTCAAGCGATTCTCATGCCTCAGCCTCCTGAGTAGCTGGGATTACAGGAACCCACCACCACGCCTGGCTAATTTTTGTATTTTTAGTAGAGACGGGATTTCGCCGTGTTGGCCAGGCTGGTCTTAGAAACTCCCGACCTCAAGTGATCTGCCCACTTCAGCCTCCCAAAGTGCTGGAATTACAGGTGTGCCCCTCCGCACCAGGCCCACTTCAACTCTTTAAGGCTCAGTTTCTCCACCGGTCATCTGGGGTCAGTGTTATCCCCTTTGGAAGAGTGTGGGGAAGGTTTAAGGAGAGACTTAGCACAAAGTAAGTAGGCACTTGCTCAGTGTAATGCCCCTTTCTCCCCAGGATCTCTTTGGGGTTCAATTGATAAAACATGACCATTACTCCAACAACCACATGAGGTGAGTGTTACCATCCCCGTTATATAGATGAGAAACTCTTCCAAAAGGTATTCTCTGATGGTCTCTTCTAATGCTAAGGAATTCCCTTGTTTGTATCACAAATGAGTGGGGAATTGATCTGGACTTTCAGAAACAACCAGGATTTGGGGAACAAGCGGAGAAGGATGTTTCAGACAGGATCAAACTCTACAGAGGCTTGTAAGAGAATAGGGAGTATAAAATGGTAAAAGATCAAAAGAAATGCAACCTTTTCTTCTTCTCCTTCCATATAGAGTGCTTGAGTATGGGTCAGTCAGTGTCATTTGTTCCTGGGCTTATAGTACCTGTTATTTATTAAGTACCCAAGCTGAGAGCCAGTATAGGAAAATGGTTAAGAAAAAGTGCTCTGGAGTTGGTCTGCCTGGGTTTGCATTCCTGCCTGTCATTTATAAGCTGTGTGACCATGGGGAATTCTTTCAACCTCTCTGAGCACTAGGTTTCATGATTGTAAAATTAAGACAAGAATAGTTTCTTCACATGGTTGCTTTGAGAATTAATCAAGTTAATATATGCAGAGCTTTTGCCGTGCCTGCACCTGTGAACATTCAGCACATGGTAATTTGTTGTTGTTGCTGTTTTCATGTGCTGTATATAAATAAAACAAGATTTGGGTGGATTAAGAAATAGACCAAATCACCCAAATAGTAACAACTGGTAGAGACAGGATTCTAAAACCCAGCCCCCCTGTATCAGTCAGAAAAAGTTCAGTTATGCTGGGTAACAAACAAGGCCAAAAATTAAGTGATGTGACACAATAGAAGTTTATTCCTTATTCACACAAAATTCATTGCAGTTTTGGAAAACTATGCATCCATTTGCTTAACATTCCAGATAGTTTCACTCTTATCCATATCAACACTAGTATGCAGGATCACAGTGGCAAGCAAAGAACAGGAAGGTTGTACACCAGTAATTAAATGCTTCTACCCAGCAGGGACATGCATCACTTCTATTCACATTTCATTGGCCAAACAAGTTACATGTTCACATCTAATTCAAGAAAAAGAATTACAATCCTTCCGAGGGCATAAAAGTTCAGGAAAATAAGTCATCAGCCAGTCTCTTAACTACACTATATGGCACCATTCTGCTTCTGTCTGTGATAGGACCAGGCATTGTCCAACTTTCTCTGCAGCCATTAGTTTCAACAGCCCTTACTGAGTGAGGTTCAGGAAAAAGCATCGGGGTTTTAAATGAACTAATTAATCAGCAACTGTTCCATAACATCCAGTCTGCACCCTGTTCCTTTCTTGCCTGCCAGCAGTGCTCCGTGGTCAGTGGCTGTCCTCAAGTGCCCCAGTCAGCTCGGCTGAGCCCAAAGCCTCCCATCTCTGCATTCAGGGGCTCTCTTCTTCCCCCATCCATCACCAGGGACCAGTGATCTTGCCTGTCGATGCCCGGCTCTCGCTTGATGTCTCAGTTCCGGAACAGAGATGCTCCAGCTACTACCTGGGAAGGCTCTGGCCCCAAAAATATTTAGTTAGCAGCCATTCAGTTAAGTGGAATTGACTTTTTATCGGCTTTCCTCTGTACGGCTGCCACCAGCGAAGGCTGTTTCCTTCTTCCCTCTTCTCTGCCTGTCAGTTTCCTCCACATTCCTATCGGCAGCCTTTAGCTCTGATCGATACTAACCGCTGTGTAACAGCTCACGCACGACTGCTCTGGTTTGCATCGATCAGACCCTTCTTCCAACAGGTAGTCAGCTATTTGAGGCAATGACTTGAGATAAACACCTACTTTTACTTCAGGCTAATTCATTTCAGGTGGATTTCAAGGAGGCCCTGCACCCCGTCTCTTAGACAAGCTGAAATTGGAGAGTCAAGATCCACGCACTGCATGCTTGAGATCCTAGGAGACCTTTCTTCCTCTCCCGTTTTCTTTTTCTTTCCCTTGTATTTTGTAAGTGCCACTTATAAACAAGATACCAGGACTCAGGACGTTGAAAATGCCACTTCAGAAAATGTGTCGGCCATCCATCCCTCTGTCCTTTTAATGAGATGCATCCGGGACTGCAGGAAACCAAGACTGCTGCGGAGGCAGGATTGTCGCTGGGCAACCAAGCATCCTTCCAGCTGCCCCAGAAAGAATCTCACAATGTCCTGCAATCCCTGGTCTTCTCACCACCTCAGGGGGCGGTCCTTGAATCCACCCCCATCCTTGTTCCAGGCTCACAAGTGAAATTTACCAGGAGCTGATATTGCAAAATAGATTGCTATTTCGCAACTGACTGCAGTGTGTGGGAGTGGTACAACTTATTAACATGTGCACTGCAACCAAAGAACACACAAGACTGGCTGACGTACACTTTTTTTCCAACGTGTACCCTAAGTGTGGCTGAATGATACATCTAATACTATCATTCACCTATCACGTGGCTCCCAAACCTCCCATCTGTTTCTGTTTCTTCAGTCCCCGCTTGACACATCCAGTACTTCAGTCCCCAAGTCCTGTTGTGCTTCCCCTAGCAGCGCAATGCCCTTGTCTCTTCCCTCCATCTAGGCTGCTATCATCCTCATTCAAGCCCTCATCACCTAGTGCTTGGACCTCTGCAGTATCCTCTCGCTGATTGCCTGGCTTCCAGTTGCTCCCTGCTTTGTTAGTTTGGCCTTGCACACGGATAAATTTCCTGGTGCCCCGCTGTGATTGCCTTTCTCTTCTCTGAAGTCCTCAGTGGCTTCCCAGAGCCTCCCAGAATGGAGGACAAATTCCTCCACCCATCATTCTGGTCCTTGGCTCTCTCCCCATTCTCTGTCTTTCCCCATTCTCTAGCACAAACCCCATACTAGTCCCTGTGGATGACTCACTGCTTCCTCTCTGTGCATTTTTCAGCTATGTGCCTAAGAAACAAATGCTGTGTCCCACACCCTCTTTGAAATTGGTTCAAATCCTGGCTCCATTTCTTATTACTGTATGACCTTGACTGAGTTATCTAACTTCTCTTTGCCTCAATTTCTCATCTGTGAAGTGGGATAATAATGGTACGGTATTAGGGTTCTCTAGAGGGACAGAACTAATGGAATAGATATGTGTGTGTGTGTATATATATGCATATATATATACATATATACACACATATATATATATGGGAGTTTATTAAGTATTAACTCACACGATCACAGCTTCCCACAATAGGCCATCTACAGGCTGAGGAGCAAGGAGAGCCAGTCCAAGTTCCAAAACTGAAGAATTTGGAGTCCAGTGTTCGAAGGCAGGAAGCATCCAGTACAGGAGAAAGATGTACGCTGGGAGGCTAGGGAGTCTCTCTCTTCACATTTTTCTGCCTGCTTATATTCTAGCTGCACTGGCAGCTGATTAGATGGTGCCCACCCAGGTTAAGGGTGGGTCTGCCTTTCCCAGCCCATTGACTCAAATGTGAATCTCCTTCTGCAACACCCTCACAGACACACCCAGGATCAATATTTTATATCCTTCAATCCAATCAAATTGACATTCAGTATTAACCATCACAGTACCTACCCCATAAAGTGGCTATGAAGATTAAATAAATTAATGTATGTACGACATCCAGAATGGTACCTGCACATAGTAGGTTCCATGTCAATGTTTGCTCTATTATTTTCTTCATCTCTCCAAGCCACAACTCAAAGCAGACCTCCTCCATGAGTATTCTGCAGGTCACCCTAGCAAAAAAAAAAAAAAAAAAACAGCTCAATTCCTCTTCTGCCACCCACAGCTCTTGGTTTCTTCCGATAATATAATAATATTACAGCAAACAGTGACTGGGTGCTAGGTACATGATCAGGGCTTTCCTATGCATTATTGCTTTTAAATCCATGGGCTGGATACCTTCCATTTGCCCCAGATCTACTCTCTCACCTTCTCCACCTTGCTTTTTGCCACAGGAGGCTGATTTGAAGCCCAGTGGCTTCCAGTTGGGTTTGGCCAATGAGGATCACTGGCAAAAATAGGCAAGAGGAAGAAGTTAGATCAGAGTTTGTATTCTCCCAGCCCCCTCCCAGCCATGTCACTGCAGAACAGACTCATTTCTCAACACAAGGTTATGGGTCCTGTTAAGCAACCCTCTTGACCCCACCTGCTCTGTCCCCAGCTTCTCGTCACCATGCCCTGTCCTTGCTTCCCACCTGGGTGCTATCACAACCCCAGTGCGCTACACTCTCTCTTGTGTTTCCCTGAACCCTGACCACATCTTTGTAGATGTAATAGTCCCTTTATAAACTCTCCTCAAGTTATCCTAATACAGATGTGTGACCCTGGCCGACACAGTTCTCATTACAACCCTGCAAAGCATGTACTGTCACTGTTACCGTTGCTATCAAACGTGTCCAGGATTATATCTAAGTGGTGGGACTGAACCTGCCTGGCTCCAAAGCCCGCACTCTGAATCGCTCTAGGGTATGGTCTGAATGTTGAAACCTAATCCTCAATGTGATGATATCAGGAGGTGGGGACTTTGGGAAGTGATTAGGTCATAGGGGTGGAGCTCTCATGAATGAATGGAATTAGTGATCTTATAAAAGAGACCCAGAGAGCTAGCTTGCTCCTTCCACCACATGAAGGCACAGCAAGGAGACATCATCTATGAACCAGAACGCAGGCCCTCACCGGACAGCAGATCTGCCGTCCCCAGTGCCTTGATCTTGAACTTCCCAGCCTCCAGAACTGGGACAAATATATTTCTGCTGCTTAAAAGCTACCCAGTTTATGGTATTTTGTTACGGCAGCCGGAACAGGCCAAAACACACTATTATAATAGCTCTCCTATACAAGGTTGTAAAGTGGTTATTTCTACATGGATTTTCCCACCTGTGACTCAAACTGTATTAGTTGGTTGGTTGGTTGGTTTTGCCATCTGTCTTAGTCCATCTGTACTGCTATAACAAAACACCACAGACTGGGTAACTTATAAACAATAGAAATGTATTTCTCACAGTTTTAGAGCCTGAGAAGTCCAAGATCAATGTACTGGCAAATTTGGTATCTCATGAAGTCCCATTCCTCATAAATGGCATCTTCTTACTGGGTCTTCATATTGCAGAAGGGGCAAACAAGCTCCCCCAGGCCTCTTCTATAAGGGCATGAGTCCCATTCAGGAGGGCTCTACCCTCATAACCTAATCACTTCCCAAAGACTCTACCTCTTAATGCCCCTAAATTGGGGATTAGGTTTCAACATATTAATTTCCAGGTGACTCAAACATTGAGACCATAGCACCATATTTTTAAAATATCCAAAACTTAGAGACTTAAAACAACAATTGTTAATTAGCTCACCATCCTGGAGGCTGGCAGTTTGGGTTGGGCTTAGCTTGGAAGTTCTTCTGTTGAGTTCACCTGAACTTGTGTATGTGGCTACAGTCAGGTGAGGACTGTCTGAGGCCTGGTGGTCCCAGATGGTATCACTTATGTGCCTGGAACCTGGGAGGGATCCACAAGGGTGACCAGGCTATGTGTCTCCAGGATCTAGTAAGCCAGTCTAGACTTCTTCACATGATGGCTGGATTCCAAAAATAGCAAAAGAGAGCAAACCCCTCTGTGCAAGTGCTTGTCAAGCTTCTGCTTGCATTAGGTGTCCTGATGTCCCGTGAGTAGTATAACCCAGATTCAAGGGCTGGTGAAACTGACTCCACGTCTTGGTGGGAGGAGCTGCAAAATACTGTAGCCATTTTTTTTTTTTTTAATCTACCACATGGGACACTCCTTTCCGGAAAGATCTATGCCTTTGACAACTTCACATCCTGTATCCTCATAACCCAAGTCAGAAAAGCAATGTGGGGGCTGGCCCTGTGTTTTAGAGGGTGGGGAGTGTCCTCTTTATAGCTTGGTGAACATCTGACACTCTTCCTGCCTGTTACCACCAGACTGAAAATAATTCTGAAAGGGCAGTCTCTTAAAACGTAGCATGAGGGAGTGGAATTTTTTTTAATTAGGCTAGAGCAGAATTTTTAAAAGAATCTTTTCTTTTCTTCAGTTGCCTCTCCCTTGTTATACATTTTAACTCCACCCAGCGGCCGACCACATCCAGCCTGGGCTCTCCTTCTCGCTCCTCCACACCACTGTTTGCTTGGCAGCAGTGCTCAGCTCCCAGGGCCACGGAAAGCCGAAGGAGAAGTCTTGCTTCCTGCTCTCCTCACTTCGTGTTTTCTTTCCTCTGCTCCTTCTGGGGCTCACCCTTAACTGCTGACTCCTGCTCTGTGCCCATCTGGTGCCCCACTAGGAACAGGATGCTAGGAAGGGCTGGACAGTTTGTCTACAGGGAATCCCCTGATGGCCCCCCAAGTTGGTCACTGCACCCCGTGGTGGCCTAGAGACACAGCCAAAAGACTTGACCTCCAGGAAGCCGCAAGACAGAAAACAAATCCTAAAATTAGTTATATGTGGCCAGGCACAGTGGCTCACACCTGTAATCCCAGCATTTTGAGAGGCCAAGGCAGGCAGACCACTTGAGGTCCGGGTTTCGAGACCAGCCTGGCCAACATGATGAAACCCTGTCTCTACTAAAAAAAAAAAAAATACAAAAATTAGCCTGGCATGCACCTGTAGTTCCAGCTATTCAGGAGGCTGAAGCATGAGAATCGCTTGAACCCGGGAAGTGGAGGTTGCAGTGAGCCGAGATTGCGTCACTGCACTCCAGCCTGGGCTACAGAGTGAGACTCCATCTTAAAAAAAAAAGAGCAGTTGTATGTGAAATTATATTTAAAGATACTTGTGAATTTGATGTGGCTATCCATTAATTAATTTCACAAGTATGGATAGGGTACCTACCATGTGCCAGGCCCTGGAAATATAAAATATGGTTCCTGCCCCTGAGAAACTTATAGTCTTAGTGGGGAGAGAGACACACGAAGACAATATGAATTAATATTCATGAATAATAATATTCATGAAGAGAATATAATTAATATGAATAGGTTGGAGCAAAAGTAATTGCAGTTTTCACCTTCAAAAGTAATGGTGAAAACCACAATTATGGCTGGGTGCGGTGGCTCATGCCTGTAATCCCAACACTTTCGGAGGCCGAGGCAGGTGGATCACGAGGTCAGGAGATACAGACCATCCGGACTAACATGGTGAAACCCCGTCTCTACTAAAAATACAAAAAATTAGCCGGGTGTGGTGGCAGGCGCCTGTAGTCCCAGCTACTTGGGAGGCGGAGGCAGGAGAATGGCGAGAACCCAGGAGGCAGAGCTTGCAGTGAGCCGAGATCGAGCCACTGCACTCCAGCCTGGGCAACAGAGCAAGACTCCATCTCAAAAAAAAAAAAAAAGAAAGCTGCAATTAGTTCTGCGCCAGCCTAATAAGTCCTATGTAAGAACATATCATGAAAGATGTTAGAAGGCCACTGTGCCTAGCCTGAGTGATTGGGAAAACTGTTCTCAAGGAGATGCTGTCTGAAATGGTCTAGGCCAAAGATGTCCAGTAGAAACACAGTACAAGCCATGTGTGTAATTTTAAATATTCCAGTAGCCATATTTTAAAAAGTAAAAACAAACAGGTGAAAATAATCTTAATAATATATTTTATTCAACCCAATATGTCCAAAATATTACCATTTCACTATGCAATCAATGTAAAAATTATTAATGAGATATTATACATTCTTTTTATTGTGTTAAGTCTTTGAAAGCCAGTGCATATTTTATACTTACAGTACATCTCAATTTGTATGCCAAATTTTCAATTGTTAAAGTAAAATGTAGTCCTATCAAAGCAATAAAGCTGTGTTTAACAGAAACATATATTATATTGCTTTGATTTAAAATTTGTAATTTAAATTAATTGTGATGAAATAAAGTAGAAAATTCAGTTCCTCACTGGCAGTAGCCACATTTCAAGTAATCCATAGCCACGCATGGCTAGCAGCTGCCATATTGGAGAGTGGTGGCTTAAGCGGATAAATAGATGTAAAACAAAGAAAGTAGAGAGGATAGGGGCCCGGCACAGTGGCTCACACCTGTAATCCCAGCACTCTGGGAGGCCGAGGTGGGCGGATCACAAGGTCAGGATATCAAGACCATGCTGGCTAACACGGTGAAATCCCATCTCTATTAAAAATATAAAAAATTCGCCGGGCGTGGTAGCACACACCTGTGGTCCCAGCTACTCGGGAGGTTGAGGTAGGAGAATCACTTGAACCCGGGAGGTGGAGGGTGCAGTGAGCCAAGATCCTGCCACTGCACTCCAGCCTGGGCGACAGAGCGAGATTCTGTCTCAAAAAAAAAAAAAAAAAAAAAAGGTAGAGAGGATAGGGCAGAAAAACAAACAAACAAAAACAATATCAAGAAAGGCACATGAAGAAAGGTATGGGGTTTGGCCAGGCACAGTGGCTCATGCCTGGAATCCCAGAACTTTGGGAGACCAAAGTGAAAGGATCACTTGAGCCCAGGAGTTTGAGAGTAGCCTGGGCAATGGAGTGAGACCCTGTCTCTACAAAAAAATAAAAATATGAAAAATTAATGGAGCATGGTGGCATGTGCCTGTAGTCCCAGCTACTCAGGAGGCTGAAGCAGGAGGATCATTTGAGCCTCGGAGTTTGAGGCTGCAATGAGCTATGATTGCACCACTTATGTGCACTCCAGCCGGGGTGACAGAGCAAGACCCTGTCTCTAACAACAATAACAACAACAACAAAAATAGTATGGAATGTGGAACTCTAAACAGCTTAATATTACTGTGATTCAAGGGGCAGGACTAGAAATGGGAAATGAGCCAAGGGTCATGAAGGGATAGATCAGGGACAGAAAGAGCCTTGAGTGTGAAAAAAACAAACAAAAAAAACAAACATCAACTGTGTATTTCACTTAGTATGGGGGAAATTGAGCACAGAGGAACTTTCAGGAGTAGACTCCTGGCTGGAACCACTAAAACCCACTGGGAATGAATTCAGCCTCCTGGAGGCCTGGGACAGAGGCTCTGCAATTCCACATCTGGAATAAGAAAGCTCAGCCTCAAGCAAAACAAAGGTTTTTTTGTTTGTTGTAAATATCCTGGGAAACATAGCAAGCCCCTGTCCTAACAAAAAATGTAAAAATAAAAAGTATAAACCATGCAAGGTGTTGCACGCCTGTAGTCCCAGCTACTTAGGAGGCTGAAGCCAGCCACTTGAACTCAGGAATTCAAGGCTGCAGAAATATGATCACACTACTGCATTCCAGCCTGGGGGATAGAGCAAGACCCCATTTCTAAAAGACGTAAAATAAAATACATGAAGTTTATATTTCCTATGATGTAACTGTTAGAAATCAACTCAAACAGATCTCAGTAAGGATGCCTGTTGGCTCACATGGAACATGGCAAAGGTAAAGCAGGCCACACGGCTGGTTGGTCCAAGCGCTCAGGAGCATAATGAAGGGCCCAGAGCCCTCCTTCCTCTCTACCCCATCAGCCACAATGTTGCCCTCATCCTAAGGCCTGCCCTCCTTGGAGACACAGTGTGGCTGCCAGTTTAGTGCGGAGCCCCATGGTAGAAAGTGCTTCCGGGCTGAGTGTGGTGACTCACACCTGTAATCCCAGAACTTTGGGAGGCTGAGATGGAAGGATCACTTGAGCCCAGAAGTTGGAGACCAGCCTAGACAACATAGTGGGGCCCCATCTCTACAAAAATTGTTTTAAAATTTAGCTGGGCATAGTGGCATGCACCTATGGTCCCAGCTACTCAGGAGGCTGAGGCAGGAGGATCACTTGAGCACAGAAGTTTGAGGCTGCAGTGAGCCATGATCGCACCACTGCACTGCAGCCTGGGCCACAAAGTGAGACCCTGTCTCAAAAAAATAAAAATAAAAGAATTTTAAAAAGAGAGTGTTTCTGCACTGTCATTTCAAGTAGGATTCCTGAAATTTACATGATAGTACCATCCCAGGACACAGTGCCCACCCTGAAAGGAGTGACTGTAATCAGGGAAATAAAAGGTACTGCCTGGCTCAAGTTATTCAGGGCTCTCAGCTGGAATAAGCTACAAAGTCCATGGGCTGCATGGGGATGTAATTACCTGAAGGAAAATCTGGATACTGCTAAGGTGGAGGATAGTTACATGGGTGCTGGGTAGCAACCAAAAAATGTCAAGTACTGTGCACCCCTTTGGCTACTCAACATGTACTCATACCTATCTTCCACAGAAACACTCTTACAAATACCCATACCCATATAAAAATGCATGCAACTCAAATGCAAGAGCCCAGAGGCTTGTATAATTACTACATCCTGTGAAATTCCTCTTCTTGAAATTCACAGGTAACTCCTAGTGGTCCAGTGACCTGTGATTAAATAAGTTATCTACCCCCAATACACCCAATACACTGAAGAAAGAATGGGAGGTATACAATAAAAACTCTGGGAAGATGGGAAGTTGCACATGTCATATCCTAAGAACAAAAAAATAGGCCAGGCATGGTGGCTCACACCTGTAATCCCAGCACTTTGGGAGGCGGGGCAGGTAGATCACCTGAGGTGAAAAGTTCAAGACCAGCCTGGCCAACATGATGAAACCCCATCTCTACTAAAAATACAAAAATTAGGCAGGCATGGTGGCACACATCTATAATCCCAGCTATTCAGGAGGCTGAGGCACGAGAATCACTTGAACCTAGGAGTTGGAGGTTGCAGCGAGCCGAAATTGTGCCACTGCACTCTAGCCTGGGTAACAGAGTGAGACTGTCTCAACAACAACAAAAAAAACTAAGAACAAAAAATAATTAAGACCTCTGGCAATAGAAAGAATTCTTGGTATCTAATATAGACCACAGAGGGTCCTCTTTGTCCATCTGTCCTTCATGGGCATCTCTGAGGAAGGCAATGGGAACATGCATTCTCTGAGGACTGTACTGCTTTAGCAATTCACTACCTCTGGTGTGATTTTGGGGGTGTCTTAGTTAGTTCAGGCTGCCATAACAAACAACTCTAGACTGGATGGCTTATAAACAACAGAAATGTATTTCACATGGTTCTGGAGGCTGGGAAGTCCAAGATGAAGGCACCAGCAGATTTGGTTTCTGGTGAGGGCTCACTTCCTGGTTCATAGACAGTCATCTTTTCTGTGTCCTCATATGGTAGAAGGGGCAAGGGAGCTCTCTCTCAGGCCTTTTTTATAAGGGCACTAATCCTATTTGTGAGGGTTCCACCCTCATGACCTAATGACCTCCCAAAGGCCTCACCTTCAAATACCATCATATTAGGGGTTAGGATTTTAACATGTGAATTTAGGTGGGGACACATTGGGTCTATAGCAGGAGGCTAGAGATTGACCTAAAGTACACCTAACAATTTAAACAATTGCAGACTATTGTCACCCTTTCTTGCCATTTCTTTAGCAATACTCATCCCCCCAAAAACTAATAGGCTTTTCATATTTTTGCCTCTAGACAACTCCATTGGGTCGTAACCATAGTCAGAGGTTTTGTTTGATCATGTGTTTTCAACCTGGAAATTTCTACTTTCTGGCCCCAAATCTCTATGCTTCACCTGTCTACTAGTTTTCAAATTTTTTGGCCATGACCCATAATGAGAATGAATTTACTTCATGACCTAGTATACAATTATGCATGTGCATATTGGTATGTATTTATGTATAACTAAATCATAAGTTTTATTATACAACAGTATTTATGGCCACTACATGGGTTACATGCTAATAGTTTCTATTCTGTTGAAAGAGGAAGGAAGGAAAGAAGGGAAGGAGGGAAGAAGGAAGGAAAGAGGGAAGGAAAGAAGGAAAAAGAAAAGAAAAAACAAGCCAGTAACAATCCATCAAATTGAGTTTATAGTCCACTAATGTGTCATACCTAGAGTTTGAAGCACTACCTTTAGTTCAGGCCTAGTGTGTGGCCTCTTCCTTCATTTTAGCCTTTGCTTTGTAGGAAATAAAGACAATAGCCTTGGGTAGGCAGATTCTTATTTCTTCATGCCCTCAGACTGTTCCCAGACACTTCACAAAGCACATGCATCCCCCTTGCTTAGACAGACAATGTTCACCAGAACAAGCCGGGAGACAGCCTAGGATGAGGCAGGCCAGGCTTTTTCTGTGTTCTCATCTCATCTTCTGAGAACCCTCCCCATTCCTGCGTGAATAAACTGGGTTTGAGATAGAAAAATGTGGTTTTTCCAGCCCTGCAGTACCCAGGGTTAGGACTTTTGGTCATTTAAATTACAGGCCACAGGTGGAAAGAACCTCTCTTAGCCAACCAGAGTCCTTTGACTTCTTGCTGGAAAACAGAGCACCTTCAGCCTGCCTCCCAAAGTGCTTCATTGAAGGCTGCTGGAAGAAGCCAACCCACTCCAACATCCTGAATTTTTTCTGCTAAACTAAGCTTTGATAGGTACATGGTCTGCATCCCCAGGTACAAAAAATGACAGTTTCATCCTCAGCAAAATGGAGGCCTCCAGCTTCCCAGCCTGGAGTCTGGCACCCTCCCCAGCCACTTCTGGCCTTCTCCACTTGCGATTCCACAATGTAGGGAGTGTTTGTTACACATTTCTGGTTCAAACTCTCATTCCTCCTCTTGAGAACTAGCCTTTCTTCTCCAAGCCCTCCTTGTCCTAAGAAAATGCCTGTGAGTGAGTAACTGTCAGCAAATCCCCATTAATGAGGTAGTCAGAATTTTCAAGGGACACTCCCCCGCCACCCACCCACTCAACCCGGCTCTGGAGTACGTGGATTTCATCTGGGAGACTCTTGAAGGTAGGAACAGTTTTCAAGACCCAAAGGGCATAAGCACTAAAGGCAGGATGAAGCAGTGGAAGCAGAGAGCAACATTTTTTTTTTTTTTTTTTGAGACAGAGTTTCGCTCTTGTTGCCCAGGCTGGAGTACACTGGCATGATCTCTGCTCACCGCAACCTCCGCCTCCTGGGTTCAAGTGATTCCCCTGCCTCAGCCTCCTGAGTAGCTGGGATTACAGGCATGCATCACCACGCCCGGCTAATTTTGTATTTTAACAGAGACGGGGTTTCTCCATGATGTTGGTCAGGCTGTTCTGCAACTCCTCACCTCAGATGATCCATCCTCCTTGGCCTCCCAAAGTGCTGGGATTACAGGCATGAGCCACTGTACCTGGCCAGAGCAACCTTTTAGAACCAGGCAACCCTGGACTTGATTAGTGGCTCCATCACAAACAATGTGAACTTGAACAAGTTATCTCACTAAGCTTCAGTTTCCTCATCTGTGAAACTGTCTATAGCAGTGCCTCCTATAATTGTGAGGGCCAAATGAAAGACGTAAAGCATCTAGCCCTACGCCTGCCCTTGAGGAGGTGCTCCAAAAAAGTTGCTATCTGGTTCTAGAAGCAAGGAGATGCTAGAAGGTGGGAGATGCTGAAGGAAGCCAAGTATGGACATTGGACTCTTCAGAGAGGGTCTCATTCTGTCACCCTGGCTGGAGTGCAGTGGCATGATCCCGGTTCACTGCAGCCTCGACCTCCCAGGTTCAAGCAATCCTCCCCACCTCAGTCTCCCAAATAGCTGGGACTATAGGCACACGCCACCACACCCAGCTGATTTTTTTTTTTTTTTTTTTTTTGTAGAGATAGGGTCCCATTATGTTGTCCAGGCTGGTCTCAAACTCCTAGACTCAAGCGAGCCTCCTGCCTAAGCCTCCCAAAGTGCTGGGATTACAGGCATGAGCCATCACGCCTGGCCTGGACCCCGTAATCTTGGGGCAGTGGTAGACCTTGGATCCCTGGAGTCGGACTTAATGGTCTCCCGCAAGGCACCAACTCAGCAGCGTCTGCTGAGACTTGGAGATGAGGGGCAGCCAGGATCAGGGTCTGGTTTCTCCGGCAGTTGGTCCTGAACTTCAAGACATTGGCTACCCCAAGAATTGCTGGTGGCCAACAAAGAAGGCCTAGGGAGAGAAGCTGAAGACAGCTGCTTCTATGACAGTAGACTCTTGAGGAATCGCTATAGAAGGGCCTGGGGCCCCAGGGTAGAAATTGCAATCAGCTAGGCATGGTGGCATGCGCCTGTAGTCCCTACAGCTTGGGAGGCTGAGGTGGGAGGATTTCTTGAGCCCAGTAGTATGAGACCAGCCTGAGCAACACAGCAAGACCCCATCTCTTTAAAAACAAACTAAAATTAGGAAATAGCAGTAATCCTTTGCCTGTGAGTTGCCCTTGTGATCAAAGACAGGCTGGCCATTCACAAGGTGGCAAAACTTATTTCCTTGCAGAAAATTGCTAGTTTTCCCATTTTATTTTTTTTATTTTACTTTACGTTTTTTGAGACAGGGTCTCACTGTGTCGCCTAGGTTGGAGTGCAGTGACGCAGTCATGGCTCACTACAGCCTCGACCTCCTGGGCTCAAGGGATCCTCCCAGCTCACCCTCCTGAGTAGCTGGGACTGCAGGCATGTGCCACCATGCCTGGCTAGTTTTTAAATCTTTTTCATAGAGATGGGGGTCTCACTATGTTGCCCAGGTTGGTCTTAAACTCCTGGCCTCAAGTGATCCTCTCACCTTGGCCTCCCAAAGTGCTGTGATTACAGGCATGAACCACCATGACTGACAGTTTACCCAATTTCTGATAACAACCTAAGGGGTGATTAATAAAGAATATTAAAAAGGTAACTTTAGTTAAGAAAATTCCAACTTATCTTCAACCATAGTGTGAGACCATCACCAAATAGCCTCAGAAAATGAGTAACATACAGGCAAAATCCATTCCCTTGAAAGTTTCCAGCCAGACACGGTGGCTCATGCCTGAATCCCAACACTTTGGGAGGTTGAAGTGGGAGGGTCACTTGAGCCCAGGAGTTCGAGACCAGCCTGGGCAACAGAGTGAGACCCCCATCTCTTAAAAAAAAATGGCCGGGCACAGCAGCTCACGTCGGTAATCCCAGCACTTTGGGAGGCCGAGGCGAGCAGATCACAAGGTCAGGAGATGGAGACCATCCTGGCTAACATGGTGAAACCCCATCTCTACTAAAAATACAAAAAAATTAGCTGGGCATGGTAGTGGGTGCCTGTAGTCCCAGCTACTCAGGGAGGCTGAGGCAGGAGAATGGCTTGAACCCAAGAGGTGGAGCTTGCAGTAAGCAGAGATCGCGCCACTGCACTCCAGCCTGGGTGACACAGCAAGACTCTGTCTAAAAAAAAAAAAAAAAAAAAGTTTCCAAAAAAGAGTCTTGGTCATGAGAAAAACTATTTGTTTTAACCTTCCGCCCATGTAATGTAGAAATGGATGCATCATACCCCATTAGTAGGAACCAAGACCCGCCATCCGTGTTTAATTCCACTTTCTCATATCTCTTCTAGAATGTTCCTTCCTGTGCATTTGTTGCTGGCATTCACCTCCTTGCCTCTTCCCAGTAGCTCACGTAGTGGGTGTATGATTATAGCCCATGGGATTCTTGCATAATTGTAATTACTCACATTAAAGCAAGGCCTCGAAGGATGCCTCATTCTCCAGGCTGTCATGTGGACATGGGTGTGGATAGACGTGGGCCGTATTTATTGTGGCCTGTGATTTTTAATTTCTTAGAGGCAGCTTTATGAAAGCTGGCAGGAATTTTTGTACTTCCTCAGGCCTTTTGCTAATCCTCAATGACAACTTGTTCTTAATTTCCCAGGCCAGTTTATTGACCTCTGGGACGTGGTGAAAGATCTTATATTGTTCCTTCCTAGGAATATATAATGTCTCCTTCCTCCCTTCACTTCCTCTGGCAGCTTCTCCACCTCCTCGCCTGGTTCCATCTCCCACTCTCTTTCTCCAGGCCTCTTGCCCTCCTCTCCTGCTCTCCTTCTTTCTGACCTTCTCTTTCTCTAACTCCTCTTCTCTCTTCCTCCTCTCATTCCCTCTTTCTTTCTCATATTCTCTCTCTCCTTTCTCCCAAAGACTAATCCGGCTGGTTTGCTGGATCTTAGGGAAAATCCCTAAGAAGTTAGGGATTTTCAAAGTTTGTCTGAAGAGCCAAAGTTTGTCCAGTGAACCAAGGCGCAGGGCTGCTGTGGGTGCTGGGTCCAAAGTGTGCAGGATAACTCCAGGGCGGGCCTGGCTCCGATGGGGCTGTGCAGCCGCTCACCTGGTCAGCCAGGCCCCAGGGGCAGCAGCTAGGACCCTCCTCCCTGGATGCAGAGGAATGTGGGTGGGGTCTGGGCTGCTTCTCTCCGCCCTTCACTAACCTTCCCCTTTCTCAGTCTACTGGGGGAAAGCACTTACTTTTTTTTTTTTTTTTTTTTTTTTTTTGAGATGGAGTCTCACGCCGTCGCCCAGGCTGGAGTGCAGTGGCGCGATCTCAGCTCACTGCAACCTCCACCTCCCGGGTTCAAGAGATTCTCCTGCCTCAGTAGCCTCCCGAGTAGCTGGGATTACAGACATGTGCCACCACGCCCGGCTAATTTTTGTATTTTTAGTAGAGACAGGGTTTCACCATGTTGCCCAGGCTGGTCTCAAACTCCTGACCTCAGGTGATCCACCCACCTCAGCCTCCCAAAGTGCTGGGATTACAGGTGCCAGCCACTGGGTTCGGCCTTTTTAAAATTTTTTTAAATCCTTCCTGCCTGGCTTTGTTGTCATCCTTTTAATTTATGAGACTAGGACTCCCAAAGCTCCTTGCCTCACAGGCCCTGCCCTTCTTCCCTTCCTTCCGTTTTTCTCTGTCTTCCTATTGTGTCGACTCCTCTGTAGGCTCCTGCTTGGGGTTCTGCCTCTCTTTCTCTCATTATCCCACCCCTCTCTTCTTCTCTGTCTTCCCTTTTTCTCTCCTTCTTATCCCTCTTGAGATCAGGTGCCATGGGCAGACAGGAGCAGAGAGAAATGGAAAACTCTGGAGAGAAGTTTGTCCAACATGCCCGGGGCATCTCCCCAGGTGTTTTCTAGAGCACCTCTAGAAAAGGAGGAAAAGGACTATGCACCACCTAGACCCACCAGTGTAAGATTCTACAACTGCAAACCTGTTCTCCAGTCCCCTCTAAAGCGATTCTTGGTAGAGGACGGTCAGTGGGCTTTGGAGTCAGGAAGGACTAAGTTTGAATCCAGGTTCCTTGAGAACTTACACGAATTTGTTAAACCTCGTTTTCCCATCCATAAAATGGGGACAAGAAATGCTTCTTGGAGTTTCAAAAACTAAATGAAATAGCATATATGGCAAGGGTTTAGAATGTGTTAGGTGCACGGCGAATCCCTCCCTCTCTCCTTCCCTTCCTCCCTTCCTTCCTCCCTCCCTCTGTCCTTTTCTTTTCTTTCCTTTCTTTCTTCCTTTCTCTCTCTCCTTCCTTCCTTCCTCTCTTTCGCTCTCTCCTTCCTTCCTTCCTCTCTTTCTCTCTCTTCTTTCTCTCTCTCTTTCTTTCTGTCTTTCTTTCTTCCCTCCCTCCCTCCCTCACAGAGAATATGGAATCTGTAAAGACTTAGGATAAACAGCAAAGCTTGGCAGTTGAAACATAGGAGAGTGTAGAGTTCCTTTTATTCCTTTCTGAATGGGTTGGTGCAATTTCCTATAGACAGCAAGAGCCCCCAGGTCAACTTTTATTCTGTGTATGCTGTGTAACTGTATTTGATTCTTTAATGTTTAAATAGTGGCTGCTTCCCCTAAGCTGGCATGATTGTTAGACCTCCCATTAGTGTGTTTATTTATTTTTAATTTCACTAGCAATGTGTCAAAACATTCTCAAGGGAAAAAACAAAAACAAAAGCAGAATCGAATAGGATAATAGAAAAATGCTGGCCGGGTGCAGTGGCTCACGCCTGTAATCCCAACTCTTTGGAAGGCTGAGGCAGACAGATCACTTGAGGCCAGGAGATCGAGACCAGCCTGACCAACATGGTGAAACCTCGTCTCTACTAAAAATACAAAAATTAGCCGGGCGTGGTGGTGCGCACCTGTACTCCCAGCTACTCAGGAGTCTGGGGCAGGAGAATCGCTTGAACTCAGGAGCCGGAGGTTGCAGTGAGCCGAGATCATGCCACTGTACTCTGGCCTGGGCAACAGAGTGAGACTCCATCTCAAAAAAAAACATAAAATCATAAAATCATAAAATGCATCCTTACTGTTATTATTCTGCAACTTGGTCATTTGTTTATTTATTAGTTTAACATGCTAGGCCAGGCACGGTGGTTCACACCTATAATCCCAGCAATTTGGAAAGCCAAGGCAGGCAGATCACGTGAGCCCAGAACTTCAAGACCATACTGGCCAACAATGGGAGACCCTATCTCTACAAAAAATTAAAAAATTAGCTGGCTGTGTTGATACGCACCTGTAGTCCCAGCTACTCGGGAGGCAGGGGTGGGAGGATCATTTGGACCCAGGAGGTTGAGGCTGAGCTATGATCGAGCCACTGTACTTCAGCATGGGTGACAGAGCAAGACCCTGTCTCCAAAAAAAGCTGGGACAAAATACAAAGAATTAGTGATCCTGTGTAAAGAGTGTATGGAAATTTTAGGAGTGTTTTTTGTAATTTTTCTTAAAACTTGAATTATATATGTTTTTAAAATTACATAATAAATACAAAGTCATGTCAGGGAAATTCAGGTTAAAATATCACTGATGTATCTTTTATTACAATTGAATTGTCACAAACAAAATTATATTATCCAAGGACCAAGGAAAGGGCATACTCAGATACTACTGTTTCATGTGCAAATAGACACAACCTGTTTGAATGTATCTTACTGAGATACTTGCACAAGTACATGAGAAAATGTATAAGGATTTTTAGGATTTAAAAGTAAAACAAATGAAACTCTTCTTTTTTTTTTTTTGAGACAGTCTCGCTCTGTCACCCAGGCTGGAGTGCAGTGGCGCAATCTCAGCTCACTGCAAGCTCCACCTCCCAGGTTCACGCCATTCTCCTGCCTCAGCCTCCTGAGTAGCTTTTTGTATTTTTAGTAGAGATGGGGTTTCACCATGTGAGCCAGGATGGTCTCGATCTCCTGACCTCATGATCTGCCCGCCTCAGCCTCCCAAAGTGCTGGGATTACAGGCATGAGCCACTGCGCCCCGCCCAAATGAAACTCTTTAATGTCGTATCATTAGTTTTGTTTACTTTGAAAAGCTTTTAATATGAAAAGTTTTGGTGGTTTTTTGTTTTTGTTTTTGTTTTTGTTTTTGTTTTGAGACCAAGTCTCGCTCTGTTGCCCAGTCTGGAGTACAGTGGTTTGATCTTGGCTCACTGCTACCTCTGCCTCCCAGGTTCAAGTGACTCTCGTGCCTCAGCCTCCCAAGTAGCTGGGACTACAGGTGTGCACCACCATACTCAGCTAATTTTTGTGGTTTTTGTAGAGATGGGCTTTCACCCTGTTGACCAGGCTGATCTTGAACTGCTGGCCTCAAGCAATTCACCTGCCTTGGCCTCCCAAATTACAGGCACGAGGCACTGCACCGGAAAATTTTTAAACAAAAAAAATACGGAATGCTTCACGAGTTTGTGTATCCATCCTGCGCAGGAGCCACGTAACCTGTGTCGTGCTGATTTTAGTGCATGCGCTGGCAGAGCAAGCACTGCAGCTTTATTTGTGATACCAAGAAACGGGTGGAGATGGCCAAAATGTTCAATCACATTTATGTTGGTTAAATGTATTTGGCTTTGTTCATATTCTGGATTAATACGAAGCGCTTCAACAGAATGACATGGAAGGGTGTCTGAGATGGACTGTTGGGTGAAAAAAAAGCAATTTACAGAACAAAATGTTTCCTATGATTGCATTTTTGTAATAAAGACACGAAACCTATGCACACGCATGCGTTCACATCCTCATTCACTCACTCACATTTGAATGTGCACAGGAAAAAGTCTGGAAAAATACACGTGAAACAGTTACCAGATCATTCTCTAGAAATTCCTCTAGTCCTGCGGAAAGACCACCCAGCTCCATCTCTCAAGTCCTCAGGCTGGCTGTGGAGGGTCCCCTCTGAAGAGCCTTGTGCTGGAACAACAGGGATGCCTCCGGCCAGCCAGAATCCCCAACCAGTGCCTATCAGCTTGTTAGCCGCACCTCTTTGCTGCACCACCAAATCGCTGGCAAACGCCCCCAACAAGGGCTGCTGTTTCCAGCCCCATAACGGCCAGAGCCCCTCCCCATCGCCACCAGGCCTGCAGGGCAGGCAGGGTCATTACTGAGTTCCAATGAAGGGAGTGTTTATTATTGTTTTCGGTTTGATGCTGATCCCAAAAGGACCTAATCAACAGGTAATAAGACCTCATGGGAGTGATTAGAAACCTCAACTTTAACCCTGTTAGAACCACAGTGGAGAAGGCCAGAGTCACTTCAGGACTGTGCCCCGCACTCCACAGGGCCTGATGGGGAGGGGGCCAGAGAGGTACTGGTGGGTGTGCTCCAGGACCGGCAGAGAAGGGGATCTAGATGGAGGAGAAGATATCCAAAATTTAGTTTACACAATAACATACATCCACTGGGTGTAATCCCAGCACTTTGTGAGGTCAAGGTGGGAGGATCACTTGAGCCTAGGAGTTTGAGGCTGCAGTGAGCCGTGATCCCACCACTGCACTCTAGCCTAGGCAACAGAGCAATACCCTCAAAACAAACAAAAAATAATATACATCCTTCTCCTCTTCATCGTCTTCCTCCTCCTCATCATCATCATTATTCTCTCTCTCTCTTTTTTTTTTAAGGTAAGGTCTTGCTCTGTCACCCAAGCTGAAGTGCAGTGGCATGATCACCACTCACTGCAGCCTCAACCTCCCAGGCCCAAGCAATCCTCCCACCTCAGCCTCTTGAGCAGCTGGGACCACGGGGGCACACCACCATACCCAGCTAATTTTGTTGTTGTTGTTGTTTATTTGAGATGGAATCTTGCTCTGTCGCCCAGGCTGGAGTGCAGTGGCACAATCTCGGCTCACTGCAAGCTCTGCCTCCTGGGTTCATGCCATTCTCCTGCCTCGGCCTCCCGAGTAGCTGGGACTACAGGTGCCCGCCACCACGCCTGGCTAATTTTTTGTATTTTTAGTAGAGACTGGGTTTCACTGTGTTAGCCAAGATGGTCTCGATCTCCTGACCTCGTGATCCGCCCGCCTCAGCCTCCCAAAGTGCTGGGATTACAGGCATGAGCCACTGCGCCCAGCCCATACCCAGCTAATTTTTAAAATTTTCTGTAGAGACGAAGTCTCACTATGTTGCTCAGGCTGCCCTCAAACTCCTAGGCTCAGCGACCCTGCTACCTTGGCCTCCCAAAGTGGGATTACAGGTGTGAGCCACCACACCCAGCCCATTATCATCATTCTTGATTGAAAACCTGTGCTAGGTGCTTGGGGTTCCAAACCAAATACGCGTGGTGCTGCCCTCAAGATGCTCACAGCATGGGAATAAAGACTCAAAATGCCATAGGAGCTACGCTACAGAACAGGTTTGTTCCAGGCACAGGAGTGATGTGGAGGAGGGAATTCTCAACCTTGTTGGGTGAGTCAGGGAAAGCAGATGCCCCAGTAGAGTGATATCTTGTCATATGCAGATGTGACAACATTTGTCGGTTGAGAAGAAAGGGCTTATATTTAAACACCCACCTCTAACATGGATCTCCTTTTGTTTCTGAAGCTGCCTTATATCCTTTTTTCAATAAGGTTTGATATGAAATATATAAAACTAAAGAGGAATCAATTTTTTTATTTTATATTTTATTTTATTTTATTATTTTTTGAGACAGAGTCTTGCTCTGTCGTCCAGTCTGGAGTGCAGTGGCATGATCTTGGCACACTGCAACCTCTGCCTCCTAGATTTAAGCAATTCTCCTGCCTCAGAGTCCCGAGTAGCTGAGATTACAGGTGCACACCACCACACTCAGCTAGTGTTTTTGTATTTTTAGTAGAGACAGCATTTCGCCATGTTGGTCTCGAACTCCTGACCTCAAGTGATCTGCCTGCCTCGTCCTCCCAAAGTACTAGGATTATAGGCATGAGGCACTGCACCCAGCCTAGAGAGGAATGATTTTTAAAATACATACTTAAATGCTTGCTTTTTTGGTATTACAAGTGACTCACCTGCTAACCGGTTAGATGGACTGTTAGTCCCATCCATTAGCAAAACTTAATAATGTCTGAGACGATAGCAGTGTCCGGACCCATTTGTCATTACTCATGTGGTGACCAAGTGCATTGTTGCATAACTGTCACACGAGGACACCCTTGGAAGTGGACAGACTAACTCTAGACAGGTGCACCATCATTATTGTCAATTGATAGTTGACAAATGTTTTGATTACTTAAACTTTCTAAGGCAGGGCTTCCATGATGAATGATGGGAACTTGGAGACAAAGTCACATCTATGCAGGCCAAATTGGCCCCCAGCTTTTTCCAACTTGCACAGAATTACAACAGCCTCTCTAGTTATTGCCGTGCAAGATTTTGCATCTTGCATGAAACTAGCTGCAAATGTCATATGAGCTGGGATGACTGATTTGACCAGGCCCAAGGGCACAATAAAGGGATGATATCAGATAGAACATGAAGCCATCTGACTGCTTGGCCCTTTGTAGCCTTTTAAGAGCACTCACCCTTAGAGAGGGAGAGTTTGTACATCTTCCGTCTTGTGTAATCCTGGGTTCTCATCCTGCTAGAACAAAAGTCTTGGAACCCAAAAACTGACACCATGCAAAAAGCATGGGCATTTAAGGTCTTCTCAGAGCTGAGAAAGCTTCACCATCACTAAATAATAAAAGAATGTTAAATTCCACAGATTCTTATTTTACAATTCATCCAGCCACCTAGGACCCAGCAGTGGGCATGGAAAAAAAAGAACAAGACAAGATCCTTGCTCCTAGATCTTGCGCTCTAATTGAGCAAAATGGGCAGAAATCATTGGAATATCATGAGAAAAGTCAGGCAGTAGCCAAAGCTCAGGGAACCAAGAGAAGCCCCTAACAGGTCATAGGGAGGAGGGGTCTAGGAGGGCTTCCGAGAAACATTGAAACTGTGTTTTGCATGGCGGAGAGGATTCCCTGGCTCTGAGGCTGGCGTTCCGGGCGGCAGGTATTGCATGAGCCTAAGCACAGAGGTAGGAGATGGGGCGGGGGGAGGGGGTCCGTGTACATATAGGGAGTGGGAGAGATGCGGGGGTGAAAGAAAAGCTGGATCTAAAGGAATCTCGATCATGATGATCATGAGGGCCATGAAAAGAATTTTTGACTTGGAAAGCCATTGCAGTGAAATGTTTTGTTTTAATTAACAACAAAAATATTTAATTTAATTTTATTTTTTGAGACAGAGGCTCACTCTCTCACACAGGCTGGAGTGCAGTGGCACGATCTCAGCCCATTGCAACCTCCGCCTCCCAGAATCAAGTGATTCTCCTGCCTCAGCCTCCCAAGTAGCTGGGATTATAGGTGCCCGCCACCATGCCCAGCTGATTTTTGTGCTTTTAGTAGAGATGGGGTTTTGCCATGTTGGCCAGGCGGGTCTTGAAACTCCTGACCTCAAGTGATCCGCCCGTCTTTGCCTCCCAAAGTGCTGGGATTACAGGTGTGAGCCAGCACGCCTGGCCTGGGGGAAAAAATATATATATATATGTGTGTGTGTGTATATATATATATATGTGTGTGTGTATATATATATATATGTGTGTGTGTGTATATATATATATGTGTGTATATATATGTGTATATATATATACACACGTGTGTGTGTGTGTATGTGTGTGTATATATATGTATATATATGTATGTGTGTGTCTGTGTGTGTATATATATATGCATATATATATATATAAAATTAGAGACAGTGTCTCGCTGTGTTGCCCAGGCTGGTCTTGAGCTCTTGGCCTCAAGCCGTCCTCCCACTTTGGCCTCCCAAAGTGCTGGGATTACAAACGTGAGCCACCACTCCTGGCCCAGCAACAAAAAACTGACTATTAAAGAAAGCAGTGGCCAAGGACATATTTGTGCAAGAGCTCATCGCCAAGCACAGTGAGTGATGGCTGCAGTGGCCTGCTGTTTTGTAGTCCTCTTCCCTCCGCAGGATGCTTGCATCACTTCTTCTTCTCAGAATGGTCCAGTGACAAACATACTTGACAGGTCCCTGCCTTTAGGGATCTCACAGTCAAGTGAGGGACAGACTTGGGTTTGATCATTCAGCCATATGATGATGGAAGCGAACATAAAATGCTATAGGAGCACATGGGGGACAGAATGGTGGGGTTGAAGGAGTGGCCAAGGAAGGCTTCTGAAGTAGCCACTTTTCAGCCACATGTTAAAAGTTAGCCAGGTGAAGAGGATACAGGATCAGGCCTATACCTGAAGTCAACCGAGGCCCTGAGAGGTTCTTTTCTAGAGACCCTGTGTGTTCCCATTACGCTTGTACAGCTAAGCCTGTGAACTATGAACCAGCCTCATGTGGTACGTACTCCCCCAGAGTCTCTCGTAAAGAAAATGTCCCACTCCTTCACTGAGAGATTTGCCCAAATGGTCACATTGAAATCCACAGGAGGCTGGGCATGGTGGCTCATGCCTGTAATCCCAGCACTTTGGGAGGCTGACGCAGGTGGATCACTTGAGGCCAGGAGTTGAGGCCACTCTGGGCAACATGGTGAAACCCTGTCTCTACCAAAAATACAAAAATTAGCTGGACGTGGTGGTGCGCACCTGTAATCCCAGCTACTCGGGAGGCTGAGGCACCAGAATCACTTGAGCCCAGGAGGTGGAGGTTGCATCGAACTAAGATCGCGCTACTGCACTCCAGCCTGGGTGACAGAGCGAGACTCTGTCTCAGAAAAAATAAAATAAATAAATAAATACATAAAATAAATCCATAGGGAGCACATAATTCCAAAACGTGGAGATTAAGTATTCAGTTACTGGATGATTGTGGCTATGGCCTCAATGCCTGTCCATCTGGAGACCTCCCATAACAGTCTGGATGGAGATCGGTGCATTTCATAACCTAACATGTCAATTTACTTTGTCCCAAAGATACTTGGCCAGTTCTTCCTCGGAGGCCACCATCACACAGCTTCCATGCAAAGCCGTGAGACTGGGAGATAGACCAGTGGAATCAGAGTGCCTTCAGTTAGTTTGGAACTTTGGTCAAATCACTAAACTCCTTGCCTTGGTTTACTACATTATTTCCCACCGTATCTGCCAGAACAAGCCTAGTTTTATCTGAAGATCTAGGAAGATGATGATCTATGTAAAATGTCTCTGTAAAGAGGCCTACGGATAAAAGTCTCCACCAGACTGTTATAGGAGGTCTCCAGATGGACAGGCATTGAGGCCACTGCCACAATCATTGGGTGACTTAATGCTTAATCTCCGCATTTTAGTAAACACAGAAAATATTCATCAGACCGTAGAATGCTCATGCACTGTGAGTGGGCCAAAAGGAGGCACGAGCTATGATTCCTACCCCTGAGGAGTTCACGGACTCACAGAGGAGTTTGGATACAAAAACAAATTAACTGTACTGCAATGTGAAAGTGCTGTAATAGAGGAAGGTTCAGAGAGCTATGGAAATAAGGATAAGGAAGTAATTAATTCTCGCCAAGCATCTTTCTGTGGGCCACCAATGGGAGGAGAGACCCTCCAGGAGGAGGGAACTGCTGGAGGACAGGCCTAGAGGTGTGAGCGCACAGGACTTGTTGAAGGAAGAGGCAGAGTCTGGTTTGGGGTACCCAAGGTTGGGGTACATGAGTGAGGCGGGGAGACAAGGCTGGGAACCTGAGATACTCACGGCCCAGGATTTTAAGCCTTATCCAGTAGAAATGGGAGCCAGTAGAGACCTTTTCAAAGATAATAGGCTGGGCGCAGGAAATCATGCCTGTAATCTCAGCGATTTGGGAGGCGGAAGCGGGTGGATCACTTGCGGTCAGGAGTTCGAGACCAGCTTGGCCAACATGGTGAAACCCTATGTCTACCAAAAATACAAAAATTAGCCAGGGTTGGTAGCAGGTGCCTGTAATCCCAGCTACTCAGGAGGCTGAGGCAGGAGAATCGATCCAACCTGGGAGGTGCAGGTTGCAGTGAGCTGAGATTGCACCACCACACTCCAGCTAGGGCAACAGAGTGAGACTCTGTCTCAAAAAAACAAACAAACAAAGATGTAAATGTAGGAACACCAGTACCCAATGGCTACCATTCACTGAGTGCCTGACCTAGGCCAGGAACCACGTTAAGTACTTACGTTTGTTTTCTCTTTTGACCTTTATAACAACCTGTAAGAGAGGTACTATTATTACTTCCCTTTTACAGAAGATGAAACTGAGGCTTAGAGAGGTAAGGAACTTATCAAAGATCGTCCAATAAGCGATAGAGCTGGGGTTCTCACCTCAAACCCAGATGGTGGTTTTTTGTGTGTTTTTTTCAAATTTCCATATTAGCAAATGCAGACAAATTGACAGTCAGCAATACCAAGGACAGAAAGGCTAGCTATGCTTATGACTGTGAAAGTGTTTGGAAGGTCAAAAATCTATACACACATCGCTACATGTCAGCAGTGGGCCTGCGATTAAGAAATTCACCTGTTCAATTCAACAAATATTTTTCAAAGCACCATATACAAGGTCCTATGCTAGAGAAAAGCAAAGGTGACCTAAAGAAATTCACTTCCAGCAGCTTCAAGCCTAGTGGAAGAAATAGAAAAGCATATGCATAGATATGTATTTCACAAAGTGGACAGATGCCGGAAAAGAGGGGCAATGTGTACCCTGGATTTCCATACTGGAAGTGGCAGCATTTGGCATCTCGAGGTGAGCTCAGGTGAACATTTCCAAGTTCTTCATCTGCAAGAGCAATCGTGAGGATGGAAGAGGCCAGGCACAGTGGCTCACTCCTGTAATCCCAGCACTTTGGGAGGCTGAGGTGAGCGACTCACCTGAGGTCAGGAGTTTGAGACCAGCCTGGACAACATGGTAAAACCTCGTCTCTACTAAAAACACAAAAATTAGCCAGGCGCAGTGGCAGGTGCCTGTAATCCCAGCTACTCAGGAGGCTGAGGCACAAGAATCGCTTGAACCCAGGAGGCGGAGATTGCAGTGAGCTGAGATGGCGCCAGTGCACGCCAGCCTGGGTGACAGAATGAGATCCTGTCTCAAAAAAAAAAAAAAAAAAGAGGTGAGAATGGAAGAAATATTACTGAAGAGGTAGCACCCAGCTAGAGTGAGGTGCATGTTGGAAGGGGTGGTGTACTGGGTGCAGAGGACTGGAAGGTTGAGGTTTGAAGCCTAGGGTCTGTGAAACAGTGATGTCATTAACAAAAATAAAGAAGTCAAGAAGCAGGAAATCTGAACATGTAATACAATCTGGAAGAAATGCCAAACTCTGGCCAGGCACAGTGGCTCACGCCTGTAATCCCAGCACTATGGGAGGGTGACGTGAGCGGATCACTTGATGTCAGGAGTTCGAGCCCAGCCTGGCCAACATGGTGAAACCCCACCTCTACTAAAAATAAAAAAAAAAATTTAAAAAAATTTAAAAAATTAGCTGGGCGTGGTGGCGCTTGCCTGTTGTCCCAGCTACTCAGGAGGCTGAGGCAGGAGAATTGCTCGAACCAGGGAGACGGAAGTTGCAGTGAGCCAAGATCGTGCCATTGCACTCCAGCCTAGGTGACAGAGCAAGACTCCATCTCAAAAGGGGAGCAATACCTTTCAACACGGTAATTATATTACTTGTGCCAAAAGACAATGTTCTCAAATTTATGAGTGATGCTGAGGAGTCTGAAGCCCACCTTAGAAATTCTGATTCAGGAGATCTTGAATGGGGCTCATCAATTTGAAATAAATTTTGAAATTTTGAGAAGATGGGTTATGGACCACAATTGAGATATAATGGTGCTGCAGTGCTCTAATGGTACAAACAGGTTGGAGAGGAATCGAAAGTGAAGCAGAGGAGATTGTATCAGATTGTCCAAGAAGAAGGCAAGCGGGACTCAGAGCTGATGGGATTTGGAACAGGTGGATTTAGATGGTTTGAGAATGAACAGGGGTTGAGGGGGTGCTGAAGCACCAGAGCAAGGACATGGTGGATCCTAAGGACATGGATAAAGCAGAAAGCAGCAGTCAGGTGCTGGGGGTCCCTTGTTTTCCATGTTTAATTCTCAGAATCCTTTCTTAGAGAATCCTGGAAATTGGCTGGGCAAGGTGACTCACCCATGTAATCTCAGCACATTGGGAGGCCGAGATGGGCAGATCACCTGAGGTCAGGAGTTCAAGACCAGCCTGGCCAACATAGTGAAACCCCATCTCTACAAAAATACAAAAATTAGCCAGGCGTGATGGTGGGTGCCTGTAATCCCAGCTACTCGGGAGGTTGAGGCAGGAGAATCACTTGAACCTGGGAGGTGGAAATTACCCAGGAGGCAGAGGTGGTAGTGAGGCAAGGTTGCGCCACTGCACTCCAGCCTGGGTAACAGAGCAAGACTAAGACTCCGTCTCAAAAAAAAAAAAAAGAGGGGAATTCCTGGAAATTGAATTCTAACCTGGAAATCAGAAAACTGGGAGATGTCTCCATTTAAGTATGGTGAAGGGGCTTTCTTGCACTCTGCCACTTCCTGATATTTCTGAGAACCAAATTCTGCCAAAGAGTTGCAAAGTTAATCAAACCCAGCAAACCTGGGCCAGATCAAAGAAAAAGGCATGCCCGTTGGTGAGATCGTCTCAGCTCTTGAGTCCTAGTGGCTGATGTTTATTTGTTCGTCTGATCAAGGTGTTTTTGAATACTTACCATGGGCTTTGGGCTGTTCTAGAGTATGTCAGGGTCATCCCTCAGCTGTCTGTCTTCTCTGCACTGTCTATTCCTTCTCTGCTCACTAGCTCAACTCTCAGAAATTAGGAAAAGGAATGAAAAAGAAATGGAACAAAACCCAGTATGTTTGGCTACTTCCTAATGTTTTTAATGAGAGGCTCAATGGTGGAGCCCCGGAATTGTCAACAGTAAAACCTATGGCTTCTCCACAGGTATCTTTCGTCTGAATTCCCCTTGCCCCCAACCCCACCCTGTCCTCATGTGTAATGGGCTGATACCCATAGTGAGATGGTGAACATTTAAATAGCATCTCAAGTCCTCAAGACAATGCAAGGTTCCCAGGAAAGGGATTCCACTGAGAAGGCCCCAGGTAGCCAGAAGGAGAAGTTCCAAGGTATTCCAAGATAATCCAAGGCATGGCTGATGCATATGGTAGACTCGATGACCCAGATGACTCTGAACATTTGGCCTGTTCCTGCTTTCTCCTTCCCCTTCCCACCCCACGTCTGTTCCTCCTGAGAGCAGGACACACAGAGCTCATTTCTCTCTCTCTTTTTTTTTTTTTTTTTTTGAGATGGAGTCTCACTCTGTCGCCCAGGCTGGAGTGCCGTGGTGTGATCTCGGCTCACTGCAACCTCTGCCTCCAGGGTTCAAGCTATTCTCCTGCCTCAGCCTCCTGAGTAGCTGGGATTAAAGGTGCCTGCAACCACACCCAGCTAATTTTTGTATTTTTAGTAAAGACAGGGTTTCACCATGTTGGCCAGGCTGGTCTCAAACTCCTGACCACAGGTAATCCACCTGCCTCAGCCTCCCAAAGTGCAGGGATTACAGGTGTGAGCCACTGTGCCCGGCCAGAGCTCATCTCTTAATGTTTCCAAATAAAGCTGTGGTAAGAACCTAACTGTCTGGTGTGACAAAAATAAAAAACTCCGACAACAAAAATTGCTATTCAAAGTAAAGTATTATTTTAGGGTGGCATTATTTTTTAAATTCACATTTTTCATTTGTTATAACATGTAGCCGTTCTGTGAACACATAGATAAGAGGATACAATAGCTATTTGACAGTGTAGCTCTCAGAATATTTGCATATCCAAGAGATTATTTCAGGAAGTGTACTTAGACTGACCCTATTAACCATTCACAATATTTTGTCTTGAATCCAATTCACACTCTATAGACATGTCCAATTCACATTTCAGCTCTTACACTGTTTTCCCTTTTAGACTGTATATTAGGAAATAAATCCCTAACATCAAATTTCATGACAACCTCTGCTCCGGCTGACATGATTGAAAGGGAATTTCACTCATCCCAGGTGATTCTGTTTCTTAATTTGTTCTTTAGCATACCTGAGAAGCAGCTTGTTTTATCAAGTCCAATGTAGGGGGTGGAGGTTGCTGGTGCAGAATTCACAACCAGCACCAGCCGTGGCAATGCCAGAGGATGACTGCAAGAAGTCCTTTGAAGCGGCGGCGTTGACAGTCAGAGAGGAATTCCCAGGCATAAATGGCTTTGCCACGTGTGCCCACGCTGGCTCTGCCAAGCTAGCAAACAGAGCATCCAAGATAAAGGTAGATCAGATGAAAAAAAAAATGTGATGGTCAAAACATAGATATACAGCCAGGTGCAGTGGCTCACGCCTGTAATCCCAACACTTTGGGAGGCCAGGGTAGGAGGATCGCCTGAGGTCAGGAGTTCAAGACCAACCTGGCCAACATGGCAAAACCCCATCTCTACTAAAGATACAAAAATTATCCGGGTGTGGTGGCATGTGCCTGTCATCCCAGCTACTCAGGAAGCTGAGGGAGGAGAATCACTTGAACCCAGGAGGTAGAGGTTGCAGTGAGCCAAGATCATGCCACTGCACTCCAGCCTAGGTGAGAGAGCAAAACTCCATCTCAAAGACAAAACAGGTGGGGCACGGTGGCTCACACCTGTAATCCCAGCACTTTGGAAGGCTGTGACGGGTGGATCACGAGGTCAGGAGTTCGAGACCAGCCTGGCCAATATGGTGAAACCCTGTCTCTACTAAAAATACAAAAAAATTAACTGGGTCTGGTGGCCCATGCTTGTAGTCCCAGCTGCTCAGGAGGCTGAGGCAGGAGAATCGCTTGAACCCAGGAGACAGAGGTTTCAGTGATCTGAGATCGTGCCACTGCACTCCAGCCTGGGTGACAAAGCGAGACTCCATCTCAAAAAAAAAAAAAATAGATACACAAGGGACGCAGATACTTGTACACTCATGTTGACAGCAACATTATTCCAATAGCCAAAGAGACTAACAACCCAAGCGTCCATCAACAGGGGAGTGGATAAACATAATGTGGTATATCCATACAGTGGAATATTATTTGGTATAAAATGAATTAAGGTTAGATACATCTTATGACATGGATGAACCTTGAAAACATTATGTTCAGTGAAAGAAGCCAGATACAAAGGGACAAATATTGTACAGCGCCATTTATGTGAAATGTTCAGAATAGCAAATTCATAGAGACGGAAAGTAGATGAGAGGTTTCCAGGGGCTGGAGGGGCCACGGGGACGGGGAAAGAGGGAATAGGACTTATTGCTTAATGGGTAAAAAGTTTACGTTTAGAGTGACGAGAAATGTTGGAAAGAGATCGTGGCCATAGTCTCACAACACTGCCAGTGTGATGAACAGCACTGAATTGTACACTGAACAATGGGTAAAATGGCAAATTTTATGTTGTCTATATTTTAACACAATGAAAAATTAAATAACTTGAGACATATGTATATATAAATCCAGGTAAAACCTAAAACCAGATAATCCAGTTGAAAAGTCATGAAAGCTATTCATGGGAAATTACATAAACAAGTTAGAAAAGACAGTAAGAGCTGTCTCAGAGCTAACCCTATTCAAACTGTCCAGAAAGAAATCTTTCTAGGCCAGGCTCAGCAGCTCATGCCTGTATGGCCAGCACTTTGGGAGGCCAAGTGGGGAGGATTGCTTGAGAACAGGAGTTCAAGACCATCCTGGGCAACAGAGCAAGTCCTGTCTCTACAAAAAAAAAAAAAAAAAATTAAAATTAGCTGGGTGTGGTGAGGAGGCAAGCACCTCTAGTCCCAGCTACTTGGGAGGCTGAGGCAGAAGAACTGCTTGAGCCTGGGAGGTTGAGGCTGCAGAGAGTTGTGATGGTGCCACTGCACTCCAGCCTGGGTGACAGAACAAGACCCCACCTCGAAAGAAGGAAGGGAGGGAAGGAGGGGGAGAGAGACAGAGAAAGAGAAGAGAAGAGATGAGATGAGATGCAAAGAAAAAATATTTCTCCTCTTGCCTTGGCTTTCCCTGTGGCCGTTTCTTTACAGCACATACTTATGGCTGTGTTTTAAGATCTCATCTCCTGTGTTTTGGGCAAAGGTGCCAGTCTTCTTGACTGAGTTCCCCTCTGTCCCAGCACACCTGACATGAAATGAGGTTCTAAAGGCAAGCTTACTCCCGGGCATACTTCTGCCTTGAAGAAGAGTTTTAACATGATGCCCCATTCTCTGCCTTCTCCTGTCCCACTCCCTTCCCACCATCAGAAGTTCAGCTTCAATGCCGGGCATGGTGGCTTGTGCCTGCAATCCCCCTGTAATCCCAGCATTTGGGGAGGCTGAGGCAGGTGGATCCCTTGAGGTCAGGAGTTTGAGACCAGCCTGGCCAAAAGGTGAAACCCCGTCTCTACTAAAAAAAAAAAAAAAATTAGCTGGGCTTCATGGTGCACACCTATAATCCCAGCTACTTGGGAGGCTGAAGTACAAGAATCGCTTGAACCCAGGAGGTGGAGGTTACAATGAGCTGAGATCGCATCACTGCACTCCACCCTGGGTGACAGAGTGAGACTCTGTCTCAAAAAAAAAAATAAAGAAGTTCGGCTTCAGCTATTGCATACGAAGACCTCTGAGTTTTCATTGGTTTAGGAAATGTGCAGGGCTGCTGTAAGAGCGCCTACGAGATGGAGGGAGATCCCCTGAGCTCCCAGACCATGAAAGACCCAGCCACCACCCGGTCTCCAGCACTGGGAGTCATAAGGAGCAAAAGCTACTTTCTGGAACAGTTATAGGAGCCCAATTCGGGGCAGGCAGCCGGAGCAGGCAGGCAGGCAGGCAGTAAAGAGTTTCCAGGTCCCTGGGGGACTGTAATCACATTCCCCAACCAGGTGCTGGGAGGAGGGCTAGTGGCTTCCAACCTTCTTGGCCCGGGGCCAGCATCTCCAGGCCCCTCTCCACCCTTGGCTCAATCACATCGTCTTTCCAACCAGAAGCTTGTTAACTGTTTTCCTGTGCTTTTATTCAGATTTCAAGGCACCCTCTGTGTGTTAAACTTCAAAGAAAGTTTGCTACAGTAAGTGCAATGTTGTAACAAGTGGAAGCTCCTAACAGCTCTGTTGAAAATGGTTTATTAAAAAGAAGGGGCCGGGATTCTTTTCCCCCTCCACCCACCGCCTTCTTTCAAATGAAATTGCATTTGTGTCTGAATTAAGTTGCCCGGTATCAATCCTGAAGTTTTTAAAGATGAAAAGCAGAACAGCCACACAATATTTAAAATGTAAAATGATTACCAAATGGCATCAGGCCAATGTTTATGAATCATTGAATATGATGATAAAATCATAAAAAATAATCACCAAAAAGTAAATAAATTACCCAGCTTACTGCGTACTTTCACGTAAGGTCTGACACAAAAGCTGCAGCCATGAATGATTTATACCTGTTTTAACAATAATACTCATTTTACTGAAAGATGGTCAGCACTTGGGCCGCTGTGGGCAACATGCCAGTTGTCGAAAGGTTAATGTTTCAGCAGCAATACATTAAATTATGAATAACACCAGTCCCAAAATGGAAGGTTATTAGCTCAGTCTGCTTAATTAGCCCAGCTAGAACTTTGCCATCTAGTAGCAGTGCCCATTACTTCAGCAGTAGCTAAGATGGGGGCTGGCAGTGTGGGATTCTTATGCCAGACTGGGGACAGGGAGAGGCAAGATGGGTGTGGGATGTCTTTTATTTTCTTTTCATCCAGTATAATATTAAGAGAAGCATCCCAGAGCCAGGCGCAGTGGCTCATGCCTGTAGTCCCAGCACTTTGGGAGGCCAAAGTGGGAGGATCACTTGAGCTCAGGAGTTTGAGACCAGCCTAGGCAACACAGCAAGACCCTTGTCTCTATTTAAAATAAAAAGTAAAAAAAGATAAGCATTTCAGAAGCTGGTTTTCAGGATTTTTAACTCTCCCATGGTTTATCTATGAAGACTTCACAGAAGGAGCTGCGCACAGTGGCTCATGCCTGTAATCCCAACGCTTTAGGAGGCTGAGGTGGGCAGATCACCTGAGGTCAGGAGTTTGAGACTAGCCTGGCTAACATGAGGAAAACCCTATCTCTATAAAAATACAAAAATTAGCCGGACATGACGGTGTACATCTGCAGTCCCAGCTACTCAGGAGGCTGAAGCAGGAGAATCACTTGAACCCAGAAGGTGGAGGCTGCAGTGAGTCAAGTTCGTACCTCTGCACTCCAGCCTGGGCAAAAAAGCAAGACTCCATCAAAAAATAACAACAGCAACAACAACGACAAAAAACACTTCACAGGAGGAAGGAGCAGAAATTGTTAGGGAGGAGCTTGGTCCTTGGTCCTTGTTGGTGTGGACCCACCGTGATCTGGTTCTACATGTGTTTGTTGCTGCTACACCTGAGCCCCACCGAAGTAGCATAAGGTACCATCCACTTTGGCGCCCACCGTGACCCGTCAGCACTCATCCAACACAGGCATGTATTGGGCAGCTACTTTGTACCTAGTACTTACAAAGTCAGGAATAAGACAAACACATTTTTAATCTAAGGGAGGGGACAGACAACCATGTTAAACAATCAACTATGCAGTTATTGCATTAATTACAGTCACATGGCTGTTATGAAGAGAAGGTTTACAGGACCAGCCCCTGGACTGGAGTCAGGGTAGGGGTTCTTAGAGAAGGCTTCTTACTGTTCAGATCTCTAAAATGTGTGAGTAGGAATTAATTGGGTGAACTTCCAGGAAAGAACCTTCCAGGGAGAAAAATACCTAAACTATGCCTGTGTTTCCAAAAAGAATGCTGCTGGAGAAAGATCAGGCATTATTTTCAAAGGTATATTGGAAGAGGATTTGCCTACCTGGGCTATAAGAAAGCTATTGAGCGCCTAGCTTGTGTGTGCATTTGTAGGGGGTTGGGGGGGTCCACACTCAACCCCACAACTTTCCCTCACCCCATCCTGCCTTTGCCCTGCCAGGTGCTCCAGTTCTAAACTCTTAAGTTTTCAGCCAGGAGCAGGGCCAGGACTCACCCGTGCCATGCCGGCTACATCCCTGCTAGAGCTAAGCTGTCTGCACCACCGCCCCAGCTCTACTTAGTACTATTAGTAGCTTGTTTTTCTAAGCCCTAAAATTCATTTTCTTTTCCCGCCTCGCTTCCAGAAAAATAAATAAAAGTGAACACATCACTCATTTAAGACGAGGAATGGAATTTAGGTTGCGTTTTTCTTTCTATTTTTATGATTAGTTAGAATTTTCCTGGGAACGCCGCCAGGAGGGCATTATGGTGAGATAATGTCCTGTATTTAATCAGCGCTGTAATGGCGAACTGTATTCTGTGGGGAGAGGCCGAGTTCACTCATCCTTCTCCGTGCTGTCTGTTTGCAGGAGACGACCGGTTAGCCCAAGATGAAGACAAGGCCGAGAAATGGCTGGGCTCCAGGCTTGTGTGACAGCCCGAGAGTGGACAGGGCGCAGCTATGACTCCATCTCTTCTTACAGGACCTGGAAGCTCTGAGAGCCCTGGAACCCCCAAAAGAGCTGAGCGAAAGGGGCCCTCAAACGGACCAAAGTGATCAGCTGTGGTTCTGCATCTGCCAGACTTTTTCAGGGTCGTCCCCTGTGGCTTTCAGACGTCTGTTGGCCTGGGCACACTTCTGGCTTTCAATATGCATCTTTCCCCTTTGCAACCCAAACACGATGTGCAAAGGGTGGCACGTGGCCTTTGAGTGAACCTGGAAGTCAACGCCAGGTAGGACCGGATCATTCCCTTACCTCTGCATGCGCGTGGTCGTCCAGAGTTTCCCGAAAACCTCTGCTGGAGGTGAGGGCTCGTGGTTTGCAGCTGTCGGGGTTGTTCTTGTTTTCAGAGTTCTTTGATCCATTGCTGAAGAATGAAGGGATCTCTGGGAGGGGTCAAATAGCAAAAGGATATGTTAGAGAGATGTTTGAAAGGATGGAAGAAAACAAGGGCCCGAAGAAAAAGGAGAAGGGATTTCACCTCCAGGAAGGGCACACAGAGCATAAACGAAGGGATACAGGTTGGCTTTTCTCTGCAACTAGCATGGGTGGCTGGGAAAACAGGAGCGCGTGGGACACACACAGCCTCTCAGATTTACTGTTGTCCCTATTAAACTCCGGGTCTGCATGAGCCGTCTGTTCAGGTAAGGGCAGTGGAGAGCACAGGATGCCCCAAGCAACCCATAAATAGCAGGGTGAAGACAAAGTGTTTATTACTTAGCCTCATGAAGCCCATATAAGCGCTCTCCCAGAGCGCGAGAGAGCAAGAGCATGTGTAAGCCAGCCCGCGTGTGTGTCCCGGGAGTGGGAGCCCCAGACACGGCGTTCGCGCTCGGCTTGATTCTATGAAGGCGTCTATTTGATGGAACGTACTGGAACAGTTCATAGCCAGCCCAGCAAACCTTGTGTGGAGACAGAGCTTGCTTTTTCTCTTTCCTTTTCCTGTTTGCAGTGAGAATGAGGCCTTTCTCTCCCCGGCCCTTTGCTCTCCCCACAGTTGTCTCACGAGGTCACTTCCTGCTGACAGGCTCCTTTCAGTGCAAGGTTTGGATGGAAACAATACTCCGTTTTCTGGGGGACTGGTGAGGCTCTGGGCCTCACCAGGCTGTCTTAAACTTAAATGGGATATTGTTTCAGTAGGGCTGACAGTTTCTTCAGACAACTGGCTCTATGTGATGCAAGACTTTATCCTTTTTTGTGTGTGCATGTGTAAATATATATATGGTATCTTCATACCATCAACACGCAGTGGCAGAAAGGTGGCTTATGATCATGATGTTTGCTTTCAAGTCTGGTTCAACTACGCACTAGCTGCGTGTTCTTGGGCAAGTTACTAAGTGACTTTCCCTTTTTAGCTGGGCATTAGTGTCCTTAATTCACACTAGCCTGTCTATAAGAAATCTTCGAGCTCAAACATTCGTTGATTCTGTGATTGCAAGACACTACATCACTATGTTCAACAATGAACTTAAAAGCACTTTCTCTGAATAGCTAATATATCGGCAGAACCAATTTCTAAGAGCAGTTAAGGATATGTGCTGAATGTTCTGTTGAATATCCTGAATACTGAATGTATTGGTTTGCTAAGGTGAGGGGAAAGTAGAAGAGACCTATGTCATCACATTCTAGCGTCTCGAAATACCCTTATAGATATTCTCAGGGTTTTCAGCTACAGTGATCCTTGTGGCCATTGGATAGTATTTTGAAAATTAAGTGGCACTGTCAAATGCTATATTTTGCGAATTTCTGAATGAAGACTCAGCTCGACAAACTCTTTCATCCCATGAAGATCGTAAAATAAATGAATGCAATTCACCACAACTAAGGTTAACTATTTGGGGTCATAATATCAAATATCAGGGTCCTCAGAGGAAACTGACAGGATAAAGATGGGATTGAGCAAGGCTCAGTCTCTGAGATGCTAGGGACCATTTGACATAGCCAACCTCAGGCTACTGCTGGCCAGCTCTGCAGAAGTGTCGCCAGCACAGGAGTGTGTGCTGGCCTTCGAGGAAGGTAAGTCCCTGGCTGATCCAAGAAAGAGGGATTCCCTGGGGTTCCGCCAATAGGCACAGTGGGAATCACAGCCCTGCAGCCACTGAAAGCCATTGCCAACTCCTTTGTTGATCTCCATAAGGTTGTCTCTCCCAGGCTTACTGCCAATGCCCCTTTTGGAAAAGCGTGACACTGCTGGCTGCCTGATTAGTGGTCTTTACTGCTTTTTTTTTTTTCCCCGCTTTCTTTTTTTTTTTTTCCGAGACGGAGTCTCACTCTGCCGCCCAGGCTGGAGTACAGTGGCGTGATCTCCACTCACTGCAAGCCCCACCTCCCGGGTTCATGCCATTCTTTTGCCTCAGCCTCCCGAGTAGCTGGGACTACAGGCACCCGCCACCATGCCTGGTTAATTTTTTGTATTTTTAGTAGAGACGGGGTTTTACCGTGTTAGCCAGGATGGTCTTTATCTCCTGACCTTGTGATCCGCTAGCCACAGCCTCCCAAAGTGCTGGGATTACAGGTATGAGCCACCATGCCTTGCCTTTTTTTTTTTTTTTTTTCAATATGGGATCTTACTCTGTCTCCCAGGCTGGAGTACAGTGGTGCAATCATGGTTCACTGCAGCCTTGACCTCTTGGGCTCAAGTGATTCTCCCACCTCAGCCTCTCAAGTAGCTAGGACTACAGATGCACACCAGTACACCTGGCTAATGTTTTGTATGTTTTTTGTTTTGTTTTTTTTTTTTTCTGTAGAGGCCAGTTTTCACCATGTTGCCCAGGCTGGTCTCGAACTCCTGGGCTCAAGCAATCTGCCTGCCTTGGCCTCCCAAAGTGCTGGGATTACAGGCATGAACCACCACGCCCCACCCTTTACTGCTTCTTTAACATCCAGCCCGCTTTCCCTCCCTTTCTTGCTTCCATAGACATTTATTGAGCAAATACTATGTGATAGGCACTGTGATAAGCACGTGGCACTCATATATTTAAACAAATGGTCCCTGAGCTCAGAATACTTTTTGCCTTATGAAAAAGATAACCAAGTACACAACAACAAATGTACTTTATTTATTTATTTACTTAATTTGAGACAGGGTCTCTGTCACCCAGGTTGGAGTGCAGTGCCACCATCTCAGCCCACTGCAACCTCCGCCTCCCAGGCTCAAGCCATCCTCCCACCTCAGCCTCCTGAGTAGCTGGGACCATGGGCGCATGCCACCATGCTGGCTAATTTTTGTATTTTTCATAGAGATGGGGTTTCCCCATGTTGCAGAGGCTGGTCTCAAACTCCTGAGCTCAAGGGATCTGCCCACCTTGGCCTCCCGAAGTGCTGGGATTACAGGTGTGAGCCACCAAGCCCGGCCCCACAGATATAGTTTAAATACAGTTATTACAGTGAACTTGGAGAGCACGGATTAGGAAAAAAAGTGCCTCAGCCTGGAGGGGTTGATATTGTTGCAGGCAAGGCATTGTCAGGAGAGGACACATGCCCTATTTGGGCATCACAGGTAGGTATTTTGTGCATTGTGTGTAGGATCTGGGAAGCAATCAAGACTGGAGATGAGCTTGGGGGCCACTAGCCTTAAAGCAAGCACAGCTTCGGTTCAGGAATATTTCTTCATCCTTATATCCTACAGATAATTCCCCAGCCTTGAACACTAATAGGGGAATCTTCAAATCTTGCCAGTCATTAACAAAAGGCTTGACGATCATTAGTAAAGCCTGCAGGTCAGTCTCCCAGGGCAGCATGGTGCCTCAGGCTCTGTGTCTGCAAGGATGAGAGCCTTCCCTGGTACATTCATCCTATCCAGGGATGAATCTTGAATCACAGGATTCCTGTTGTCAGAGACCTGCCCTGATTCATGCCAGTCAGTGCAGGGTCAATGGATAGTGTGGTCACTGCATCCATCACTTAATCACAGTGGCATCCCTGATGTTGCTTGCATTAGACCCTTGTTCGGTGACACAGTTGGCTTCATGGTGGCCCAGCTCTGTGCTGTTTGATTTTTCCTCGGTAAAAATATGTTCATGGAGTAATGAGATGCAAGGACACAATCTAAAGGTATAACATTAGACCGGGTGCAGCGGCTCACGCCTGTAATCCCAGCACTTTAGGATCCACTTTACGTGGATCACCTGAGGTCAGGAGTTTGAGGCCAGCCTGGCCAACAGAGTGAAACCTCGTCTTTATTAAAAATACAAAAATTAGCTGGGGGTGGTGGCAGGTACCTGTAATCCCAGCTACTCGGGAGGCTGAAGCAGGAGAATTGCTTGAACCTGGGAGGCGGAGGTTGCAGTGAGCTGAGATCGCGTCACTGCACTCCAGCCTGGGCGACAGAGCAAGACTCTGTCTCAAAAAATCAATTAATTAATTAAAATTAAAATTTAAAAAAAGGTGTAACATTACCTTTGCCTTTGGAAGTGAGTGTCTGTCTGAGGCTACTGAGATCCTCACCCAGGGCTATGTTAAGTTCAAATGCAGAGGCCCCATCCAATCCTAAGGCCTTCAACGAGCTGTGCCTTTCTGCCTCGTGCTTTCTCTGGCTGCCACCTGCCCTGGACCCCCACCATGGATACTAAACAGTCTGACTTCCCTTTCAGGATCTATGTAGGGTCAAGACTGTCCAATGAGTAGTGGGCATGGCCAGCACTATGAGGTTAGAAGACCAGACTTCTTGTGATAAGATGAGCTCCTGTCAGTGGTCTGCTTTCTGACACTGGTGTCTCAGTCTCTCTGATCTCCTGCCTTGAACTTCAGGATGTACCTGAGAATGTTTTAACTCTCATTTAGTTACCTGGATCCATGCCCTCACTACCTACTGTGACCTGCCGTACCTACCTGATCCCCAAAAACTTGCCTGAGCATGGAACTCTAATCCTCATTCTGCCACACTCATTTCTCCTTTGTTCTTATCCATACCTAGAATCGACATGCAGATAGAATTCATTTAGGTGGTTTCTTATATTCTAGGCTTCATGCAATCATGGAGATGGTAAGTACAGGTATATGAAATAAAAGAAATGTGGCAGGCACAGTGGTTCATGCCTGTATTTCAGCACTTTGAGAGACTGAGGCATGTGGATCGCTTGAGCCCAGGAGTTTGAGACCAGCTGGGGTAACACGGTGAAACCCCATCTCTACGAAAAATACAAAATACAAAAATTAGCTGGGCATGGTGGCACACAGCTGTGATCCCAGCCGTGCAGAGGGCTGAGGTGGAAGGATTGCTTGAGCCCAGGAGTTTGAGGCCGCAGTGAGCTATGATCACTCCGCTGTGCTCCAGCCTGGGTGGCAGAGGGAGACCCTCTCTCAAAAAAAAAGAAAAAAAAAAATGAAATGAAAGTTTAGGCCAGGTGCAGTGGTTCACGCCTATAATCCCAGCACTTTGGGAGGTTAAGGCGGGTGAATCACCTGAGGTCAGGAGTTCGAGACCAGCCTGGCCAACATGGAGAAACCCCATCTCTACTAAAAATACAAAATCAGCCAGGCGTGGTGGTGGATGCCTATAATCCCAGTTACTCAGGAGGCTGAGGCAGGAGAATCATTTGAACCCGGGAAGCTGGAGGTTGCAGTGAGCCAAGACCATATCACTGCACTCCAGCCTGGATGACAAGAGCGAGACTCCATCTCAGAAAAAAAAAAAAGAGAGAGAAATGAAAGTTTGGCTTGGCTTGTAAACTTCTTTGTCCCTTACAATTTAAGACATTTCCTGATCCTTGAACCACATTAAATCTCAAAATGTATTAGACTTTGGGGACACTATCCTTGACTCCTGGAAAGAGCCCAAACTGACATTAAAAAGTCATCTTCTCCATGAAAAAAGATGCACAAATGCCAGTTGCTTAGAGTCCCAGGGGATTCTTGTCCATCACCCCCCATTTTTAATTAGAGTTATAATCATCTCTCAGGGGACATCTTGAGGCTTCATTAAATCCAGCAGCTTCCCTGTGATATCTAAAACTGGTGATGTTTAAAATCTTGGCTATATCAAAAAGAATGGCAGTTTGGGGAAAACATATCTGTTGTCTAGGGGCTTTAGGAGAAATGAGGTTCCCTTGTGCCTCTGTAAGACAAGGACTTTCCTGGAGTTAGCCTGAAAAGCTGTACCTCTTGTTGTCCCGCTGGGTACGTTGGTTTCATATTCACGTCACATTCCCGGATCCTCAGAGGCCCCAGTTAAACCTCACAGTTTGCCATCTGTGACTTACTTCACAAACCCACAACAGGTAGTTAGTTACATGACCCTTTGAGATGGACCAGCCTGTCTAGTTTTAGGACTAGTACTGTGTTCGTAGACCAGGAATTCTCCATGGCAGTATTCATTATACTTTTTAATTAAATTTTTAAAAGTTTTTAGTGTTTTTCTAATTGATAAATAATAGTTGTACCTATTTCGGGGGGCACATGTAATATTTTGATACATGTGAACAATGGGTAATGATCTCATCAGGGTAACTGGGATACCTGTCACCTCAAACATTTGTATTTTCTTATGTTGGGAGCATTCCAGTTCTTCTCTTCTGGCTATTTTGTTGTTTTGTGGTTTTGGTTTTCTGTTTTGTTTTGTTTTTTGAGACAGGGTCTTGTTCTTTGACCCAGGATGGAGTGCAGTGGTGTCATCACAGCTCATTGCAGCCTCAACCTCCTGGACTCAAACAATCCTCCCACCTCAGCCTCCCGAGTAGCTGAGAGCACAGGTGCATGCCACCACACCTAGCTAATTTTTGTATTTTTTGTACAGATGGGGTTTTGTCATGTTGCCCAGGCTGGTCTTGAACTCCTGTATTCAAGCAATCTCCCTGCCTCAGCTTCCCAAAGTTCTGGAATTACCAGTATGAGCCACCATGCCTGGCCCTAGATACTGTGAACTATACATAAAATTATTGCTAACGATAGTCCATTTTCATTCATGTTGCTTCAAATGACAGGATTTAATTCTTTTTTTGTAGCTGAGTAATATTCCATTGTGTATATATACCACATTTTCTTTATCCATTCATCCATTGATGGACACTTAGGTGGATTCCATATCTTTGCTATTGTGAGTAATGCCACAATAAACATGGAAGTGCAGATTTCTCTTCAATATACTGATTTCCTTTCTTTGCGACATACACCCACCAGTGGCACTGTCAGATCATATGGTAGTTCTATTTTTAGACTTTTGAGGAACCTCCACTTTTCCATAGAGGCTGTACTAATTTACATTCCCACCAACAGTGCACGTGGGTTCCCCTTTTTCTGCAACTTTACCAGCATTTGCTATTTTTTGTCGTTTTGATAAAAGCCATTCTAACTGGGGTAAGATATCTCGTTGTGGTTTTGATTTGCATTTCTTGGACAATTAATGATGTGGAGCATTTTTAAATGGCATTTTAAAAATATACTTGTTGGCCATTTGTCATACATATGTCTTCTTTTGAGAAATGTCTGTCTGTCTAGATCTTTTGCCCATTTTTAATTTGATTTTTTTTTTTTTTTTTTTTTTTGCAATTGAGTTGTTTGAGTTCCTTATATATTCTGGTTACTGATCTCTTGTCAGATGCATAGTTTGCAAATATTTTCCCCCATTCTTGTAGGTTGTTTTTTCACTTTGCTAATTGTTTCCTTTGCTGTACAGAAGCTTCCTGGCTTAATGTAATTCCATTTTTCTAATTTTGCTTTTGATGCCTGTGCTTTTAAAGTCTCATTCCCAAAATTTTTGCCCAGACCAATGTCCTGAAGTGTTTCCCTAATGTTTTCTTCTAGGAGTTTCATAGTTTCAGGTCTTAGATTTAGTCTTTAGTCTATTTTGATTGATGTTTATTTATGGTGAAAGATAGGGGTCTAGCTTTATGCTTCTGCATATGGTTATCTAATTTTCCCAGTCACATTTATTGAAGAGACTGTCCTTTGCCCAGTGCATGTTTTTTGTTGAAAATGAGTTGTAGCCCAGGAGTGGTGGTTCATGCCTGTAATCTCAGCACTTTGGGAGGCCGAGGCAGGCGGATCACTAGAGGTCAGGAATTCAAGACCAGCCTGACCAACATAGTGAAACCCCATCTCTAAATTAGCTGGGCGTGGTGGTGCACACCTGTAGTCCCAGCTACTCTGGAGGCTGAGGCAGGAGAATCACTTGCTGGGAGGCAGAGGTTGCAGTGAGCCAAGATTGTGCCATTACACTCCAGCCCGGGCAACAAGAGCAAAACTCCATCTCAAAAAAACAATAATAATAAAATGAGTTGTAAATGCTGTAAATGTGTGGACTTATTTCTGGTTTTCTATTCTGTTCCATTGGTCTATGTGGCTGTTTCTATGCTAGTACCATGCTGTTTTGGTTACTATGGCTTTGTAGTATATTTTGAAGTCAGGTAGTGCAGTGCCTCCAGCTTTGTTCTTGTTGTTCATGTTTGCTTTGCTATTTGGGGTCTTTTGTGGTTCTAGGACTTTTTTTTTCTATTTCTGTGCAGAATACATCTGGTATTTTGATAAGGGTTGCATTGAGTCTGTAAATTGCTTCGGGTAGTACTCTTGACATTTTAACATTAATTCTTTCAATCCATGAGCATGGGCTATCTTTGATCTTTTTGTGTCCTCCTTAATTTCCTTCATCAGTGCTTTATAGTATTCCTTGTAGAGATCTTTCATGTATTTGGTTAAATTTATTTCTAGGTATGGCCAGACGCGGTGGCTCATGCCTGTCATCCCAGCATTTTGGGAGGCTGAGGTGGGCGGATCACGAGGCCAGGAGATCGAGACCATCCTGGCTAACACGGTGAAACCCCATCTCTACTAAAAATACAAAACAAAATTAGCCGGGCATGGTGGCAGGCACCTGTAGTCTCAGCCTGGGAGGCTGAGGTGGGAGAATGGTGTGAACCCGGGAAGTGGAGCTTGCAGTGAGCCGAGATCGTGCCACTGCACTCCAGCCTGGGTGACAGAGCAAGACTCCATCTCAAAAAAAAAAAAAAAAAAAAAAAATTTAGTCCTAGGTATTTTATATTTTTGTAGCTGTGGGATTGCTTTCTTACATTCTTTTTCAGATTGTTTGCTGTTGTTGTATATAAATGCTACTAATTTTTTAATGTTGATTGTGTATCCTGCAACTTCACTGAATTTGTTTATCATTTCTAACAGGTTATTTTGGTGGTGTTTCTAAGTTTTTCTAAAATAGGTCATCTACAAACAGTAATAATTTGACTTCTTCCTTTCCAGTTTGGATGCACTTTATTTCTTTCTCTTGCCTAATTTCTCTGGCTAGGACTTCAACTTTGTCAAGAATAAAAATGGTGAAAGTGTGCATTCTTTTCTTGTTCTAGATCTTAAAGGCTTTCATTGATGACATTTTTATTAAGATCATTGCTATTGGCATTTTGAGCCAGATAATTCCTTGTTGGTGGAGGTAATGTGTCTTGTGCATTGCCAAATATTTATCAGAATCGTGGCCTCTACTCATGAGATGTCGGTTGTCACTACTAGAAATGTCTCCAGACACTTCCAAATGTCCCTTGGGATGTGGGGGGCAAAGTCAGCCCCAGTTGAGAACCATGGCCCTAGACCTCACGTAGAACAGGTGTGTCACCCTGGGGCTGTGTGGTCTTTCCAGTGGAGGCATGTTCTGGGGTATCTGTGGAATCTTCTCTGGCCTATAGGAAAGAAATAGGAAAGGCCGGGCATGGTGGCTCACACCTGTAATCCCAGCACTTGGGAGGCTGAGGCGGGCAGATCGCTTGAGCCCAGGAGTTTGAGACCAGCCTGGGCCACATGGCAAAAACGCATCTCTATAAAAAACACAACAGTTAACCAGGTGTGATGGTGCGCACCTGTAGTCCCAGGTACTCAGAAGGCTGAGGTGAGAGGATGGCTTGAGCCCGAGAGGTCGAGGCTGCAGTGAGCCAAGATTGCACCACTGTACTCTATCCTGGGCAACAAAGTGAGACCCTGTCTCAAAAAATAAAAAAAGAAATAGGAAAGGCATGACTACAAAGAAAGTCACTTGACCATGAAAACCACAAGACTTTCCACCATTCATTTACAGCTTTTCACCCTTTGTGTTTTATATATCAGATAATTATTCAGATGTGTTACCAGTTGTGATACAGAAGGGAACCATAATGGAGAGAAAAGCCAGATGTCCCTGTCCAGCCATGTCACATCCTACCGACACACTTTGTGCCATCACAAGAGGTCTCATTAGCAGTAAGCTCATAACTCAGGTTTTATCTGCATGTTATGCTGACTTAGATGGCTCTACTAAGGTAAGGTGTTGGGGTTTTTTTGTTTCGCTTTTTTGAGACGGAGTTTTGCTCTTGTTGCCCAGGCTGGAGTGCAATGGCATGGTCTTGGCTCACTGCAACCTCTACCTCCTGGGTTCAAGTGATCCTCCTGCCTTAGCCTCCCAAGTAGCTGGGATTACAGGCACCCGCCACCAAGCCCAGCTAATTTTTGTATTTTTTTTTTTTTTTTTTTTTTTTAGTAGAGATGGAGTTTCACCATGTTGGCCAGGCTGGTCTTGAACTCCTGACCTCAAGTAATCCGTCCACCTCGGCCTCCCAAAGTGCTAAGATTACAGGCATGAGCCACTGCGCCTGGCCAGGTTTTGTTTTGTTTTGTTTTAAATACTGTTTCCTGTGTCTCTTTGGCCATTACTACAGATTCCAGTAATGTTGTGATGTTTCAGAAACTGTGTCATCCTTTCTGTGATTTCATCACACTGCATTTCAAAGACTGCTTTTATTCTAAGGAGCTGATTTTTATGAGCAGTGACTAAGAGAAACAATTGGGACTGCTGAGATCTGCCCAGGCACACCACTTCCCTCGTGCCTAGGGAGCTTAGTCTTCCAGTATTCACTCCAGGATCTGCTTTCATCTTATACAAAAAAAAAGAAAGTAAGTTAATGGGAATAAAATGTAAAATTCATTCATTTGGCTGGGCACGGTGGCTCACGTCTGTAATCCCAGCACTCTGGGAGGCCAAGGCAGGCGGATCCTGAGGTCAGGAGATCGAGACCATCCTGGCTAACACGGTGAAACCCCATCTCTACTAAAAATACAAAAAAAATTAGCCGGGCGTGGTAGCGGGCGCCTGTAGTCCCAGCTATTCGGGAGGCTGAGGCAGAAGAATGGCGTGAACCCAGGAGGCGGAGCTTGCAGTGAGCCAAGATCGCGCCACTGCACTCCAGGCTGGGCAACATAGAGAGACTCCCTCTCAAAAAAGAGAAAAAAAAATTCATTCATTCAAAGAAAGGTTACCAAGTAGGATCTTGTGCTAGTTACCATGAGATATTTTGAGGCACCTAAGATAAAAGCTCAGAGTTCAGGAGCTCCTTATCTCGTAGTTGAATCAAGATGTAGACGAGGGCTGGATGCGGTGGCTCACACCTGTAATCCCAGCACTTTGAGAGACTGAGGCGGGTGGATCACCTGAGGTCAGGAATTCAAGAACAGCCCGGCCAACATGGTGAAACCCCGTCTCTAGTAAAAATATAAAAATTAGCTGGGTGTGGTGGTACACACCTGTAGTCTCAGCTACCCAGGAGGCTGAGGCAGGAGGATCCCTTGAACCTGGGAGGCAGAGGTTGCAGTGAGCCAAGATCGTGCCACCGCACTCCAGCTTGGGTGATGGAGTGAGACTCCGTCTCAAAAAAAAAAAAAAAAAAAGATGTGGACAAGAACATTTATAATTACAAGTCAAGGGTCCTATGACATAAGTGCCATAAACATCCAGAACAACGTCACTGGAAAAAAGGGTGAGTTCTGCACACTAGAGTCCATTGCCTGACCACAGATTCTAGAATGCATGTGTAAATGGCCTGTGAGAACACTTTATTTTCTTTTTTGACAGAATTGGCATCTACCAGTGGAACAGGGAAATAGAGAATACAAAGAAGAGCTGGGCTTTAGTGAGGCATTTGATAATATGGTTAAAGACAATTTGGGCCGGGCACAGTGGCTCATGCCTGTAATCCCAGCACTTTGGGAGGTCGAGATGGGCAGATCACCTGAGTTCAGGAGTTCGAGACCAGCCTGACCAACATGGAGAAACCCCGTCTCTACTAAAAATACAAAATTAGCCGGGCATGGTGGCGCATGCCTGTAATTCCAGCTACTCAGGAGGCTGAGGCAAGAGAATTGCTTGAACCTGGGAGGCGAAGATTGTGGTGAGCAGAGAGCAGAGATTGTGCCATTGCACTCCAGCCTAGGCAACAAGAGCAAAACTCTGTCTCAAAAAAAAAAAAAAGAAAGAAAGAAAGACAATTTGCTCATTTATCTCATGGAAAAGAAGATGAAAGATGAAGTACAAATTAGTTAGTGATTGGTATCAATGTGGAGGAGATTTCTGGTGCTGGGACAGTGAGGTTTTGGTAGTCCATGTGTGATTATCATGACATCATATGTTGCAAGATAAAGAATTCAAAAGATTTTTGATAGACCAAGGCAATGCACCAAATCTAGCAAGGTGAAATGTAACACAAGAAAATGGCAGGTCTTGACCTTGGACCTGAAAACCCATCTGCACAAACTCGGGTGGAGGGAGCCAGGCTTGGTAAGAAGTATTAGAAAAGACCTGAAGCTTTTTTCTTTTCAGACTTTTGGGCACATTTAAGAATCACCTGGCTGAGCACAGTGGCTCACACCAGAAATCCCAGCACTTTGGGAGGCCAAGGCGGGAGGATTGCTTGAGGCCAGGAGTTCGAGACCAGAGCCTGGTCAACATAGCAAGACCCTGTCCCTACAAAATAATGTTTTTAAAAATTAGCCAGGCATGGTGGTGTATGCCGATAATCCCAGCTACTGGGGAGGCTGACGTGGAAGGATCATTTGAGCCCAGGAGTTTGAGGCTGCAGTGAGCTCTGATCATACTACTGTACTCCAGCCTAGGCAACACAGCAAGATCCCATCTCAAAAAAAAAACAAAGAAAAAGTCACCTGGCATAAATGTTTAAAATGTGGATTCCCAGGTGCTACCCCAGATTGTCAGATTCAAGTTTGAGGTGTGGACCAAGAATCTCCATTTATTAAAGTGTCTTAGATAGCTCAGACTGCTATCACAAAATATCATAGACTAGGTGGCCCAATCAACAGACATTTATTTCTCACAGTTCTGGAGGCTGTGATCAAAATACCTACACATTCAGTTCCACCCTCTTTTGGGAGGACACAAACTTTCAGTCCATAACATGAAGCTCTCTGGGTCATTCTGAAGTAGGAGCTCCATGAGCCACACTTTCTGAACCGCTGTCTTAGAGGTTTCAGTTAATGGGTGGAGGCTTTCACAATTGTACTGGGCAAAAGTGTAATGAGGAGAACAAAGAGGTGAGAATCCTGCTGTACTGTGGGAGACAGAGCAGATGTGGATAATTCACATTTAATATTGGGCCATGACATTTTAAGAAGAGAGTCAAACTGGAAACAGGAAGGCAAAGGGGACTCAGAGGCAGAGCCTGTGAAAAAGAGTTGAAGAAACTGGCAGTTCCTAGCTCAGAAAGATCAGACTGAGAGAGGAGGCCAGGACAGGAAAAGGTTGTCTGCATCAGGGAATTAAACTTGCTCTGTGTGACCTCACAAGGTGACACTAAGACCAGTAGGCAAGAACCACAAGGGATCTATTTAAAAGGCTCAAAATAATGACCATCTTCTCTAACAATCAGAGCCAGCTGTCCACAGTGCCAGAGGTGCTCAAGCAAGGGCCAGAGAACACATTTAAATGATTCTTCAGGAAATTGGGTAATGAATGGAAGGATGGCACATCAAAAAGGCAGTAGAACCAAGGCAAGTGTTACTGTTCTTGTTCTTGTTTGATTGGAGAGAATACAGCATGTGTAGGTTTCCAAGTAGAAAGGGAGTAAAGATAGGAGGCCAGGTGTGGCAGCTCACGCTTGTAACCCCAACACTTTGGGAGGCCAGGGTGGGAGGATCACTTGAGGCCAGGAGTTGAAGAACAGCCTGGGCCACATAGTGAGATCCCATCTCTATTTTTAAAAAATTAAAAATAATTGGTTTTTTTTGGAGACAGAGTCTCGCCCTGTCCCAACCTCTGCCTCCTGGGTTCAAGTGATTCTCCTGACTCAGCCTCCCAGATAGCTGGGATTACAGGCATGTGCCACCATTCCTATCTAATGTTTGTATTTTTTGTAGAGACAGGGTTTGACCATGTTGGCCAGGCTGGTCTTGAACTCCTGACCTCAAGTGATCTGCCCACCTTGGCCTCCCAAGGTGCTGGGATTACACGTGTGAGCCACTATGCCCGGCCTTAAAAATAAATTTAATAAGAGAAAGATATGAAAGTGATGGAGGCAGGTGTGCCGTGGGGACAGCAGTGGGGAGAGACAAGTAAGTGAAAGAGAAGGGGACTGGAAGGACCTGGTCGGGTTGGACTCCAGAGATCAGGGAAGATTTGCAGTGGAATCACAGCAGAATAGAAGGAAGGAAATAATAGTTAAGGCTACAAAGATATTTCATGATGAAAAAGAGGAGGTGGTAAAAGGCACCATAAGGTAATGTGACAGGCAAGTTGAAGTTCATTCCAATCTTGGTTTTAAGAAACAAAGGGGCCGGGCGCGGTGGCTCACACCTGTAATCCCAGCACTTTGGGAGGCTGAGGCAGGTGGATCACGAGGTCAGGAGATCGAGACCATCCTGGCTAAGATGGTGAAACCCCGTCTCTACTAAAAATACAAAAAAATTGCCTGGCATGGTGGCGGACGCCTGTAGTCCCAGCTACTCGGGACGCTAAGGCAGGAGAATGGCGTGAACCCAGGAGGCGGAGCTTGCAGTGAGTGGAGATTGCGCCACTGCACTCCAGCCTGGGCGACAGAGCAAGACTCCATCTCAAAAAAAAAAAAGTTCTTTAGTGGCCAGGCGCGGTTTATAATCCCAGCACTGTCTAGCAATCCAGAGGCAGGTGGCTGGGGGTAACCTGGGCTAGGAATTGGCATGGTAGACCAAAGAAAAAGGATAAAGGAACTTAAATTTCAGGCTCACGAGATTGGTAAATACCAAGCTGTGACCTGTGAAGGATAGTGTGGATTTTCTGCTTCCAGAGCCTTTAAACAAGCAAGTATCTTAGTTAAGCTTAGGAACCCCAAGCCCTAGAGATACCCAGAAGTACCCAAGATACCTGAATTTCATTTCAAGGATGCCACCTTTGTGCTCCCGTCTTGGTCTTGACAGAGTTGGGGCTTTGACTTCGAGGTTGTCTCTGTGCCAGGCGTATTCTGAAAATGTTGGGTTTTTATGAAGCCCTGAGATTTCAGGAAGGGTGCAGATCCTGTGGCCACTGTAATTTGTCTTAAGACAAATAAACAATGAGGTTTTTCATACTTTTTCTCCTGTCTTTCTCCTTTGCTGCCTAGTGGATTTTCAATGTGTTTATGAAAAATAATGGCTTTGGCCAGGCACAGTGGCTCACGCCTGTAGTCCCAGAATTTTAGGAGGCCGAAGCAGGTGGACCACCCAAGGTCAGGAGTTCGAGACCAGCCTGGTCAACATGATGAAACTCCATCTCTACTAAAAATACAAAAATTAGCTGGGCGTGGTGGCAGCCACCTGTAATCCTAGCTCCTCGGGAGGCTGAGGCAGGAGAATCACTTGAACCCAGGAGGCAGAGGTTGCAGTGAGCTGAAATCACGTCATTGCACTTCAGCCTGGGAGCAAGACTCTGTCACAAACAAAAAACAAAAAAGAAAAATAATGGCTTTGACGTGCATGAGATCTACATGATTGACACGATCGGCAAATTTACTCTGTCTGTCTTTGGTCTTGACCCCATTTAATTCAGAAATAATTTCTAAATCTAACACCTAAATCTATGGGAGAGATCTGGAAATAGGCTTGTCAAAGTGGAGGTCATATACCTTGACCATTTACTTCCTCATTGTTTTTGCAGGATGAACTCTTAAACGTTTCTTAAACACTAGTAGATATGCCTTTTTTTTTTTCTAAGCAGATTTTTTGCAGGATAAAGTTGTTTATAAGGGAAGCTGTTGTTATTGGCTAAAATCACGGGAGAGTCACTTCATTTTTAACAACGTGGAAAGACTGAAAGAAAGCAGGACTAATGCCTCTATTTTTAAAAAAGAAACAGGGAAGTGCGCAGTGTCCTAATCTGGAACTTCACCTGGAAAAAAAAAAAGATTACCAATTTATTTCTAGAATAATCTGTAGTGAATGCAGTGTTGGGAACTTATATCACTTGACAGAACAAGTCCTGTCAAACTGATTTATTTCCTTCTGTGAAAGAGTAACAAGATTTTAGTAGATTGAGGGGAAATGATCAATATAATCTATATTTTATTTAGCAAGATGCTTGAACCTGCTCCATCCAACATGTTGGTCAATAAATTCAGAAAATTTGGGGATTGGCATTAGACGTCTAGAGGGCAACTGAGCTCCTATCCTGGGGCCTAGATTTATTAGCGCATCCTTTTTGAGAGTCCCAAAGGAGGGGAATAGTTACCTGACCTATTTTAAGAGGAAGACATGCTAGTGAATTCCCCTAGAAGATCCTCTGAGTTCTGATGAATGTATCTGACATGTTTGTCATTCATGGTTTTGATTATTCAGATATGGTTGGAAGATCAGTCGTGTGTGTGTGTGTGTGCGTATACATATATATATACACACACACATATTTTATAAAATAAAGTTAATGCCGCTGCGCACAGCCATTCACATACTGTGTGTTCACATGCTTCTGAAAATTCCCCAAGAAATTCCTGACAGGATCGGTTCTCAGGCTTCTCTGTCACCAAAGAGGTGGGGGGAATAAGAGGAAACAATAACTCTGAAAGCAAGTGAGATGTGTGGAAATAAATCTGTCATACTCTGTAATTCTAAAAGAGAAAGATACTTCTGGAAATTCTATCCCAGCTTAGGAAACAGTCGGCTGTGAGAAACAGTGATGATATTACTTTTATGATGAGTCCCTGGATTTACATATCCCCTCTGCTCGAGGGAATCCAAGCACCTTAATAACTGTGACATCATTCTAAACTATTAATCTTCACAACATCCCCCTGAGGAAGTCTGCTAGGCACTTGCATTCCTCGTATTTCAGCAACTTTATGGCTGGAACGAGGTATATCAGGTATCTGTGTATAGGGAGTTTGTCCTTGATAACGTATCTTTATCTCATTGCTCCACTTCCCAGTACTAACAGATTTAACTTAGAGCCCAGTAACACCTAAAAAGAACATCTTAGATTTGTTTCAGTTCCTCTAGTTCATGCAATACTTTTACAATCACTTGATCTTCACGCTGCAACCCTGCAATGCTGACAGGTAAGAAATATCAGAATATTGTTAATCATTTCTGCCATGGATTGACCCCCCTCCATGTGCCAGGGATTGTGCTAGACACTTTATACCTGCAGTCTCATTTAATCCTGAAACAACCCTGTGGGGTGTGCACTGTTATCTCCATTTTACAAGGAGAAGTTACACAGTGAGGATTAAGTGATTTGTTGGGGGCCATCCAGCTGTTAGTGGCAGAGCTAACACTGGAACCCAAGCCTTTGGTAATCTTCCTGTTCTCTAAATTTTGTTTCATTTTTATGATGAAAAGCTGGCCGGGTGCGGTGGCTCACACCTATAATCCCAGCACTTTGGGAGGCTGAGGCAGGCGCATCACGAGGTCAGGAGTTCGAGACCAACCTGGCCAACAGTGAAACCCTGTCTCCACCAAAAATACAAAAATTAGCCAGGCATAGTGGCATGCACCTGTAGTCCCAGTTACTCGGGAGGCTGAGGCAAGAGAATCCCTTGAACCCAGGAGGCGGAGGTTGCAGTGAGCTGAAATTGCACCACTGAACTCCAGCCTGGGCCACAGAGCGAGACTCCATCTCAAAAAAAAAAAAAGTCTTTGATTCTTCTAGGTAGCTCTTTCTTGTATGTATTCACTTTTCTATATATTTTTAATTTATTTATATTGTATATCACTGCAAGATCATGTCTCTGACATTTAGGCTTTGCGTGTAAGGTGAGTCTGTCCTGAGCTGCCAACACTGCCTCACTGATTTGCCATGAGAGAGAGAAGTATTAGGTACTAAATCATATTTTTAAAAACATACCAACAATGAAAACTGATTGTTTTATTGTTACGCCATTCTAGCCCAGCCCACAGGCTCAGCAGTAGATATTATGTCCCCTCTCCCTCCCTCCCTCCCTTCCTCTCTTTCAAGTTGGGGATCATTCTCTTGTTGTTGCTCAGGCTGTAATGCAGTGGTGTGATCATGGCTCACTGCAGCCTCAAATTCCTGGGCTTAAGTGATCCTTCTGCCTCAGCCTCTCTAAGCACTGTGATTACAGGCATGAGCCACCACACCTGGCCTATCTTCCTTTTAGTAGGTAATAATAGAGTAATTATGCTTTAAAACAAGCAAACAAAAAGGCCGAGTGCACTAGCTCACACGTGTAATCCCAGCACTTTGGGAGACCAAGGCTGATGGACTGCTTGAGCTCAGGAGTTCAAAACCAGCCTGGGAAACATGGCAAAACCCCGTCTCTACAAAAAAAAACAAAAATTAGCTGAGTGTGGTGGCATGCACCTATAGTCTCAGCTACTTGGGAGGCTAATTAGCTACTTAGGAGGATCACTTGAGCCCAGAGGCAGAAGTTGTAGTGAACTGAGATTGTGCCACTGCACTCCAGCCTAGGTGACAGAACCTGACCCTGTCTCAAATAAAAAAGAAAAGGAAAAGAAAAGAAAAAGAAAAAAGGAAGGAAGGAAGGAATTTGGTTTAGGACTTACACTGAGTGTTTCAATGCGATCTGATCCTCCCTCCCTCCCTCCCTTCCCTCCTTCCTCGTTGGTTAAGCATGTCTGTATGCCCAGAACTATCTTCATCTTGGAATCGGCATCTGCAGTTTAGTGTCGTCATCATTGTCGTCATCATTGTCGTCATCATTGTCATTATCATTCTCATTATCCTCTCTTCCCCATGGGTACAGCACTGAGTACCAATTAGCATGGTGGGCGTTTATGGAGATGTGTACAGTGAACACTCCATATGGTGCCTATCCTTGGGGAAGCAAGCGGGTCATCCGTAACATGAATACAAATCTACTTATGAATGCATATGCATTTCCACATCATCACAGGTATTCTGTAGTGAAACAAATGGATCTTGTTGCTATTATTTTGGTTTCCGTACAGTTTTACACAAATGCAGGAAACCCACTCAGAGAGCTGAATATGAGGAGCTGGGTGAGGTCACCTCCAACATTGCGCCTGGGACAGGGTCCGCGTGAGGAAGTGAGCCTGAGCCTTCAGCTAGACTCAAAGATGGAGAAAGAACCTCCTTCGTATTATTCTCCAGATACCTCCAAAGTTGAAAGATGCCACAATAAAGGTCATATAATCCTACTGGGTTGGTTGCTTTGTATGATTCTCTCTACCCTCTCTTATATCTTTCCACCACTTGGAGTTTAGTTTGACAAAAACTGATAAGAAGTGAAGAGCACACATTCACTGACAGAGGCATCTCAAACCCACAGCTGGGAGTCGGGAACCTGTGCTTCACCTTACCCTTCCGTACTCATAATTTAGCAGTGGCTCCATAAATGATGAGATATTGAGATGATGAGAATGACATTGAGACTTTCCAGCACTAGTTTTATTTGGAATCAAAAGCCACAACAATAATTTCATTGACCAACGGAGTTATCTACCTAACGATGTCTCAAAACAGCAAGTCCAGGCCGGGCTTGGTGGCTCATGCCTGTAATCCCAGCACTTTGGGAGGCCGAGGCTGGTGGATCAGTTGAGGTTGGGAGTTTGAGACAAGCCTGGCCAACATGGTGAAACCCTGTCTTTACTAAAAATACAAAAATTAGCTGGGCATGGTGGCAGGTGCCTATAATCCCAGCTGCTTGGGAAGCTGAGGCAGGAGAATCACTTGAACCCAGGAGGTGGAGGTTGCAGTGAGCTGAGATCGTGCCCCTGCACTCCAACCTGGGCAAAAGAGTGATACTCTGTCTCAAAAAACAAAACAAACAAAATCCAGCAAGTCCTTGGCCTATGACATTTAGAAGTTTAAAATTAGAACTTGTACAAAATGTTTAAAGCCTGTAGGAAGTTCTAGATTTCCAGCATATCTGAAGAGGATTTAGATCCTGTTGATCCTGGAGAGACATATCTATGACCGACCTCTTCCACCACACCCCTCCCTGCTGTCTTTATACTTTGCTGAAGGAACAGGTCTCTAGAAGGTAGCCTCATAATAACTGGATTCTCTTCTGACTGGCTGCCAGGGCCATTTCAATGGGCATAGTACTAGAAATGTGTCTTAAGTAATAGGAGGCTGGGCACGGTAGCTCACGCCTGTAATCCTAGCACTTTGGGAGGCCGAGGCAAGCAGATTGCCAGAGCTCAGGAGTTTGAGACCAGCCTGGGCAACACAGTGAAACCTCGTCTCTACTAAAATAGAAAAAATTAGCCGGGCATTGTGGTGCATGCCTGTAATCCCAGCTACTTGAGAGGCTAAGGCAGGAGAATCGCTTAAACCCGGGAAATGGAGGTTGCAGTGAGCCGAGATTGTGCCAATGCACTCCAGTCTGGGCACAGAGTGAGACTCCGTCTCAAATAAAAAAAAAAATAGAAAAAGAAAGAAAGAAAGAAATAGGAATGCGCTGGGCACAGTGGCTCATGCCGGTAATCCCAGCACTTTGGAAGACAGAGGTGGGAGGATACTTGAAGCCAGGAGTTCGAGACCAGCCTGGGCAACATAGCAAGACCCTGTCTCTACAAAAAATTTGTAAAACAAATTAGCCTGGCATGGTGGCATGTGCCTGTAGTCCCAGCTACTCAGGAGGCTGAAGTGGGAGGACTGCTTCAGCCCAGGTGTTGGAGGCTGCAATGAGTTATGATCATGCCACTGCACTCCAGCCTGGGTGACAAAGCAAGATTCTGTCTCTAAAAACAAAGAAATAGGAATGAACCCAAACACTGAAGGCAGGTACTATATTAACATTCAGAGTCCCACCTCTAGGTCTTAGTAGGGTCTTCCAATAGGATCCTATATTTTTGATTTTCCTTTTTTTTTTTTTTTTTTGAGACGGAGTTTCACTCTTGTTGCTCAGGCTGAAGTGCAATGGCACGATCTCGGCTCACTGCAACTTCCACCCCCTGGGTTCAAGCGAGTCTCCTGCCTCAGCCTCCTGAGTAGCTGGGATTACAGGCGCCCCCACCACGCCTGGCTAAATTTTGCATTTTTAGTAGCAATGGCGTTTCACTGTGTTGGCCAGGCTGGTCTTGAACTCCTGACCTCCAGTGATCCACCTTCCTCCCAAAGTGTTGGGATTAAAGGCGTGAGCCACCCCACCTGGCCTACATTTCTGATTTTCTATCCAACCCAGTGGTGAACATACCCATCGAAGTACTCATGCCCTCCAGGTAGAATCCCACCTTTCTGAGTGCTGGGGATTATGAATTTACCCCTAAGTAATGACTACTTAATTGTCTCACTCTCATGTGACCCTTCATATCTTCTTCCATGTCCCACTTCCAAGCTAAAAGGGGTATCATCCCACTCAGAACAGCCTAGGGTGGGAGGTGGAAGCAATGGGGCCCATCAGTGTCTGCCTTGTGCCCCTTGGCCTGAGACAGCTGTTCCCTTTGATTCCCAGTGGTGTCACCCTGTGGCCTCACTACCTTGCTGTCCGCTTTCAAAGCAGTTTCCAGGCACACCCTATCTCCACCTTTCTGTGAGAATAAATAAACACTTTGAGGCTCCCATGTCTTTATTAAACATTTCCTCTAAACTGCATGCTCTGGCTCTGTGCCCACGTGCACCAAGAAAGCTGCCCAGGAGCAGCCAAACCCCAGAGCCCTGCCTGCTGGTTCTTCCTATAAATAGGCCTTTGAACAGGCAGGAGGCACCTGCATGGACTGCCACTCCTCCCCTCCTCTCTGCATCCTGGCTTTCCCAGCTCCCCGGGTCTCAGGCTGGGAGGATGCTGAGCAGCCTCCCCAGCCCCTGATAGAATGAGCAGCAGTATCGGCGGCGGCGGCGGCGGCGGCAGCAGCAGCAGCAGCAGCAGAGAAAAGACCAGGAGCGAGTTGCACGTGCTCCCTCCCTCCCTCCCTCCGCTCAAGGCCAGGAGCTGCTGGGACCTGTGGTCTGGCAGTGGGGAAGGCAGGGGAGCCTGGTCAGCAGCAGGGTGGGAAAACGTGGAATGGAGACTAGAAGAAGAGAAGCTGTACATAAATAAAGAAAGAAAGCATGTTTGACCAAACCCCCAACACCGAAATCTCGAAGCTCAGTGGAGCAGGAAATTGAATGGCTGGACTCCGCAGCCTTGCCTGGCCCTCCTCCCCCTACCCCTGGCCCAGAAGACTTTTTAGGCCTCCAGACTTTTTTTTTTTTTTTTAATTTAGAAATCTCAAATCTAGAGAGAAAGAGGAAAGGTGTTTTTAAAAGAGTGAGGGCTCAATGGCCACAGATCTGAAAAAACTGAAAAGCGGGGGGCGGGGGGGAGGGTTGGGGGGCGGGGTAGGGGAGGGAGAAAGAAAAGGGCACCCAGATGTGTGTGTGTGTGTGTGTGTGTGTGTGTGTGTGCGCGCGCGCGCGCGCGCGCGCGCAAGACGGTCTAGGAACCAGCCCGCAAGGGGAAAAGAAAACAAAGGAAAGTGTGACATGAGAAAGACAGAGAAATAAGTGGTGGAAGGCGTGAGTGGTGGGGGAGGGGACCGGGCGCTGGAGAGAGGCAGAGAGGATGGATACCGGAATGCAGGCGGCCTGGGGAGGGAGGGAGGCTCACATGTGCGAGAGAGAGAGAGAGAGAGACAATGATGTCAGCATTTCCTTCTGGATTGGTCACGTGGTCCTTGCCAGGTAAACAGACTGGAAATAGACTCCATAAAGGCAGTGCCTGCCGAGGGAGGGCGGGAGACGAATCCCGCTTCACCCTTTCCTCTCTGCTGCGTCCTCGGCAAGCAGGTTTTCACGTCTGCGACAAGGTGGTCTCAGAGTGGAATTGCATTCTTACAAGTCAAGGAATATGATTCGGAGAGGAAAAGCTATTCGCTTTTATAATTAGCTCAAGGGGTTTGGAAACATTTTGATTAAAAAAAAATAATAGAGGTGGGGACAAATGTGAATCTAAGCTCAGATGCTATGAGTGTCTTGGGCCAGGGATAGCTTATCTTTGTGTCTTCTTTGGAAGGGGCTCAGATGGATCTAGATTAAGGATGAATTGCACGGCCGCAGTTTAGAGTGAAAGGATCAGATGCAATAATTATCAACATTAGGAAACAGAAAATGCTAACAGATTCAATGAGAATACATTAAAAGAGTTTGATACAGTTCAGTGTGTGACCCTGGTGCCCCAGGAAGGAATGGAGACCCCACAACAGAAAAGAAGTTGAAAAAAGGTACAATGACTTTCAAGCAGTGTTCTTTAAAAATGGTATGAAAGGATTCTCAAGCAAAACATGGCAGGAGTTCGGGGCACTTTAAAATGGGAAAGGGACCTCTGGAAACTTTATCTGAAAGCAAACTGAATGAAGCAGGTAATTTTTCCACCTGGAAAGCTCTAGAATCCAAAATGGTAGTGGGAGGAAGAAGTGTATGGATCTTTCTTCAAATGCCTGGAAATAAGGCTTTTGCGTCCATGATGAAATATCTCATTTAGATCACTCTTCGAACAATTTTGGATTGACAGGATATACCATTATGACCAGTTATTTTCTGACCGGGTGGAAATTTGGCCAAAGCCCGTGGGAAGTGGAGTGACCAACTCAGTTTTTCAGAAATGAGTGGGTTCCTAAGATGCAGTTTTAAATGTGGGACAGTCTTAGGTAAACTGGGACCAGTTGGTCACCTTAGTGGGAAGCTAGGAGTCCTAGTCTAGTCTTCATGAATATAATGAGACAATTCACCCCTTCCCCTTCTCTACCCACCAAAAAATAAAACAAAACCACCTTTCATTCTGTTTTTCTCTCATTTCTTATTCTCTCCCTCATTTCTTTTGCTTAATCTTCCCTGATCAGTTTATAGCACTGCATGGCTAATTTGGGTGTGCACGATTCTGTAGACGGACACGTGAGCTGGCAGAATATAGCTAAACTGAACAGTTGGCTTTAGTTGCACCTGGGAAAAAGGAGGGGAAAAAACAAGTGTGCATCATTGCTTCTTCTTTTGCTTCCCCCCTGCCACCCGCTTAACATCCCTTATTGGGGGAGAGGGTGAGAGGCCAGTCAGTATGCACAAGTGTACTTTCAGCCCTCGGGTTAAAAGACAGATATTTGATACCCCTCTCTGTTAACAAAATACGTCACTCTCAAGACTCCCAGCCCAGAGTTATTTTTGCAGCATTATGTAATTGGATTGCCTAGTCAGAAGTACTTCCTTAACAAGGCTTTCAGCAACCTCTCCGTGTGGGCCTGGCCAGTCCTGCCCAGTTACACACACTCATACTTGGGCAGCATCAGTCAGAGTCAACCCAGCCGAGCACGGCGAGGAGTGATCAGCCCATACCACTGGACTGACCACCCTTCCCCCTTGTGCAGTTGCGCCCAAAGGGGTGGTCAGTACCCGCAGTGCGCATGGAGGCCAGAGTTGGTGGACGACCATCAGGTGGCCAAACCTCAATATTGGCAAAGCAGGCATCATCTTTGTTTCAAGGGAGCTGTGGAGCTGCCCCACCCACAGCCTTCCCTACCTTAGGGCCTGCAAGTGGAGCACTCAAGTGACCAGGAGTTCCCAAGGGGCCTGCCTTTGGATGTCTGTCTCTGCCTGCTCTTATTCCCTGTCTACTGGATTTCCTCATATTTTTTCATGAGCAGTTGGTCATCTGATCATCCCTTCCTGTTAGCCCTGCTGACTCACAGAAGTAAGGAACTTGTCTGAGCTTCAGACACAGTCAGAAAATTTACAAAGAAAAACAAAAAGGCCTGGTATGAACTTCCCTAGTATGGCCAGCCGAGGCTGGAAAACCAAGGGGCACACCAGGCAATTGTTACATGGGTTCCAACCCTGTAATCCTAGGATTTTGTTGATATTTCTCTATTGCATTGTCCCTTTTGGCCTTTTTCCCTTTAGTGAATAACATGGGGGACCATGCCCATCAGTGACTTGTCTCTTAGTCTTGAATCTAGCCCTGAATCCATACAAAACCAGAGCACCCTTCCGGGAATATTTTTATTTCCTGCGCCTCAGCCCATCTGCCCTACACATCTATCTTTTCTCATCCCTTGGGTCCCCTGATTCTACTGACCTTGATGAGAGGCAACTGGTGTAATAGAAATAGCTTTAAAGCCTGACAGGCCCAGGTTCAAATTCAAGCTGAGCCACTTAATAGCTGTGTGACCTTAAGTGAGTGACTTAACCTCTCTGAATCTGGTATTCCTCATCTATAAGATGGGACTAATAATACCAGTTTCCCAGGGTTGCTGGGAGAACTGAATGCAATTATTTGGAAAGTGCCTGGCAGGGAGCTAAGGCAAGGTAGGTGCTCAGCAAATGTGGGCTCTCTAGGGAGGTAGGAAAAGAGCCACCTTCCCTTGCTCCTGAGAGCTGAACTGCATTCTCTTTACCATCTATCTCCTACTGGAATATACTTTTTAGGGGTGCTAAATTGAACCTTACCATCATTTGGTGGTGGGTTGGGGGAGGGGCCCTTGGTCCGTGGAATAGAGACTCCCTTGGCTATTCCTTTGGGGGAAGCTTTCCACCTGACAATCCCCCGCCTGCCTCCTTACAGCCAGCGTCTCTCTGCAGACCCCTCCAAGGCTGGGCACTAAATTCAGTGTATTAGCCTTGGTTTTATCTGTGCCAAGCTGCAGGGGCCACTGAGTGCTCTGTGCAAAGGGACAAGGGATGAATGCAGTTTCTCCAAAGTGTCCACCTGTGTGAACCGTGCATCTTTGTTGCAAAGGTGGGTCCATTCCAACTGCACAGCAGGAACTAGTTGGGACCCACAGGGCAGGATCCCAGGGACAAACTGAGGTCTCAACCAGCCACAGGCAAAATAATGGGGGAGACCAGGAAGGAGAGGTTCCCTGAAGATGAGGGGCAGGGACAAGCCAGCACCCAGGGGCTCCTTCGCTGAAGTTCACAAATGCCAAGAGCCGTGATGTGAACTGTACCTGGAGGGGCCAGGCTGGGGTGGAGGAGCGCCCGTGGCAGCGCGCACCACTGTTCCAGTTGGCAGGAAGCCCTTCCCTGAAGACTGTAAGTTTAACCTTTAGCATTCAACTGTCGGGGCTTAAGTGTCGTTATGAGCAATTCTTCCTGCTGCAGCGTTCCCAGGCTGCGGAAAGAGGGGTCGGCTCAAATCTGCCCGCTTTCTTTTTTCTTCCCAGACAGAATGAGAGGGAGGGAGACGTGCAGCACCAAACACGCAGGCACAGGCACCCCTCCAGACGGCCCTTCGCTAACTCCACACACCCACTCCCGCCTCCTTGGCGGGCCCGGTTTCTGGTCTGCCTTGGAGGCGAGCAGGGCCCCGGGGGTTCTCCACTCCCAGCTCTTGCACCTGGGGCTGAGGGGTGCAGAGGCGCCTTCCCTCCCCAGGCCTTGGCTGGAAGGGGCTCCTGGGGACATAGGGGTCCAGCGTCCTCCTGCAGTTGGGTTCAGGGTCCCCATCTCAGTGCTCTCACCTCCGTATCCCGCGGGGCTGGGGGGAGGAGGGCGCATCTGTGGCCCTAAAGAGACTAGGCAGCCCGGCGAGAACGGCGGAAAGAGAAGGGAACCACCAGCAGTCCCGGGTGCGGAGTTAGGGTGACGGGGAGGCAGGCACGGGGCCTGGGCGGCGTGGGCCCTGGGCGCGAGGTGCGCCCCTCGCCGCGCCCTCTCCTTTCCAGACCACTGCTGGGGCGGTCCCCCGGGCCTCGTGGCTTTTCTGGGCATCCGCAGGGGCATAATGGGGTGATCGAATTGCTCCGCCCGGGCCTGTTTCCCCGCCCATCCGAGGGGCCGTTGGGCCATGCCCTACGTGCACCTGTGAGGGGCGCCTGGGTCCCAGTGCGGCGACTCTGCACTGGCCTAAGCGCCTCAGCCGGTGTCTCCGGGGAGCCGGAGGGCCCGAGGCTTCCTCCCGGGAGTCCAGAGCCCGCAGGAAAAAAAAGGGTCCCGAAATGGAGATGGGTGTGCCGGGCATTAGGGACGCGCACGCTGGCTCCGTGAACTGGGATCAGCATCTCGGGGCAACTGTCGAATTCTCAATGATAAGGTTTTGGGAACGAGAGGCGGGGAGGGAAGGGGCCTGCGCTATACAACATCCAGCGCAGAGGGACGGAAGAGCAGACACGAGAAGGGCGCGTCTCACGCCCGGGCCTGAGGAAACTGGCGTCGAATGTCCCTGCAGCCCGCTGAGCTCTGGAATTAAACAGGGAGGCGGCTGAGAGGGCGCGCCCCGAGTCCACAGGGGACCAGTGCCCTGCCCGCAGCCTTGACACAGGCTGGGCCCTAGGCCACCCCACGGGTAGCCCGGCTAGCCAGAGCCCCAGTCAGTGCGCTCCAGGCCCAGTGTGCGCCGGACTCCTGCCGGCCGTGGGGCCACGCCCTGCCCTGCACTCACCAGCCTTAACCAAGTACGGGCTCCAAATTTCGTGTCATGAGCGCACGGGAAGATCGGATTCGCATTTTTCTCTATTTCTGAGAATGGGAAACCAACGAATCGGAAATTTTTTGCCTTGGAAAAATATCTGTTCGATGTCGTTTGTTGCTTAAATTGTCTTTGGAATTTTTTTTCAACTTTATTTGAAAAAGAGAAAGTTGATGCGCTCCCCAAACCCTGTTTCTCTTTAAACCGTCCCTTTAGACGTGCAGCCGGTTATCGCAGATGTTTTCTGGGGCGAAGAGAGCAAAATGGAATGGGAGGGAGGACGAGGACTGGGAATCTCTCATTTTAAATCCCATTACTGGCTTTGGGGAGACACACACACGCACACACACACACACACACACACACACACACACACACACACCAGGAAAAGCTAGTTCGTCCCCCACTGATTTCCTTCATTTCAAAGATTTCCCTCGCCCCCTTAAATCACAAAATTATGGCGCTAGGTATTCCTCAAGAAAAAAAAAAACCCTCACGTTTATTCAGAATATGTACACGGCATAGGTTCCTTTTTACATTTCTCAGCAAAAAATAAAAGGGATGGGGGTGGTGGGTAAGAGGCACTCAATTCCCTGGCCATTAAATAAGCCATGCCTGCAAGAAATGCAAGCATGGGGTGGGGTGGGGGGATTGTTCAGCCGCGCATCCCTCCGTTATCGCACGCCTGCGTGTCTGCGTGTCAACAATGCACGTGCCACCGTGGGCACCGTCTCCCGGCGCTGGCCCAGGAGGGCTATGTGCAGATGGGAGCCAGGTCTCAGTTGCCCACTCACAGCCCTGCTCCCAAGCCCGCCGCCCGCCCATCGCAGGGTTTCCTTTTTTCCTGGCTCCGGCTGGCAAGCAAGAAGTCTCTACCATTCCCCCAAGTTATGCCCTTGGAAATCCCTAAAGCGAACACAGCCCGACCGAGGGTCTCTTGCCCTCAAGTTGTTCACTTTGTTGCGCTGTGATGAAGTTAGTTCTCTCTCTTCTTCACTCGCCCCAGGCTTTACATGTGGTGCAAACTTCTAGTACCTACCAGGTCACCAAAAGGGAAGTCAGGCGCTAGCCAGCGGTGCAGGCGGTGTGGAACCCGGGAGAGCCACCGGCTCCGCGCCTCCTGCCCCAAGGTTGGATTTCAGATTTCCATTGCAAAGAAGCTGAGGAAACTGGGAATCTGACTCAAACCCTGGAACTGACTAATTGCCCTGCATTTTCACAATGCGCCATGTATTCAAAATGAAGGGCAGGCTTTATCATTTGGAACTCTTTCAAGGATCCGGGCGCTCCAAGTTTGGGGCTCATTCTTTAAAGGTTTTACTTCTGAGAAACAGGAAAAAAGAAAGAATGAAACATACCCACAATCCATGTACTGGAGATGACACTCAAGAGTAGGTTGTGGTCTCTTTTGAATCGGGAGTTCAAAAGAAAAAAAAAAAAGGCTTGTTCCCTCCCCCTTGCCCCAGGGATGAAACCTCTCTAGATTTGAGCGGCCAATTTGGTTTGATTTCCGCGGTTTGGAGGCTCTGGCAGGGTTAGGGGCGGCAGGGCTCAGAAGACAGACCTCAGCTGCCTTCTAGACCAGCTGGTCTGCTCTTGGCCCTGGAAGCAGAAGCTAAAATCGGGGTGATTCACCCTCACCCTGGTAGCTGGAGTGAGAGTCAGGGGAGGGCGTCGCGGAACCTCCCTGGCCGCGCCCCACACTCCCTGTCCGTGTACTTCCCGGCTCATCTCCTTATCTTCTCACCGCACCCCCCACCTGCCTCCTGCCCCCCAGGGATCTAGTTCCCTTTTCTCTCTGTCATTTCGAGCCAGTTTTCTTTTCCCACCAAAAAACTCCTTTTTCTTGGAGTAACTTTCCGAAAGAGCTGTCGTCCTAAATGCCATCCTCGTGGAGTTGGATTTGGGAAGCTCGTTCTCAATTAAAGCGCCTTTTGTGGGCACGGTGCGCATCCCTACAGCCCCCAGAACGTCACCTGGGCGCGGGGACCCTCAACCTGGCGGGCCGGACACTGAACCATAACAAAAGGGGACTTCAGACCCTCTGCTCTTTTCCAGTGAAAAAACCCTAGAAACACATCTGAATTTGGTTTTTGGTTACCTTTCAGGTGTAAAAATTTATTTTGACCAAAGTATTCCCCAGTCCGCCTGAGTTGGGGGAAAGCAAGATCCTGAGAAAGAATACAGGCACAAAGCAAGAAGCTGCATGTAGTGGGCACCACTGTGTACATCCCCTCACGACTGTGGGGACTGTGACAGGAGTCTGAGGGTCTAGCACCAACATTCAAACGGCCTAGTCCTGCCAGGGGGACCCCTGGTTTTCGTAAACGGGGAGGGGGGGTGATTTTTACTCAGACTCAGCTACTCACTGTCTGGCGCATTGAGAGCAAACTTTTGAGATCTGGTGGTTGAGGCTCAGGGCACAGTGGCTTAACCTTAGGGCAGAGCCTTGGATGGAGCGATTCCGGACGCTCAGAAGAAGCGCACCCCGCATCTCTACCAGAAAAGGGAACTGTCCGATTTGTCTGGGGGTCAGGGAGTGGACCGGGGCGATGGGGGTGTCGGATGGATGGAGCCCACGTGCTGCGCCTGGCTGCCACTCTCTAGTTTCTCCCTCCCTATCTCATCTTCTGCCATTTCCAGAGGCAGGAGAAAGGTGATCTCGGACTTGACCCCTAAATCACAGCTGCCGGTGGCTGCACCTCGCTCCAGGATGAGAGCAGCCCCTTCCCCGGGCTCGGGCAGCTTAACCCTTTCCTCCCCGCGCGCGCAGAGGCCGCCGGTGGCGGCGCCTCTGACCCCGGCACTGCGAGCAGCCCGCCTCCTCCGCGCGGCACCTTGGATCCCGTGCAGAGACCACAAAAGGACGAGGCTGCCGGGCGCTGCAAGCCTGGGGCACGGGCCGGCTGGCCCGGAGCGCTGCCGAGGAGCCCGAAGAAGAGCCGGAGTTAGCGGAACGAAGAGGGATGTTTAGATCATGTTAACTACCCAGACAGATGCACTTCGGCATGTCTGCATTTATGGAATCCATATGTTGTGGCAAATGAAAGGACTGCAACACGTACATACAATAGACTTAGAATAACAATACACATTCGAAAAGGGACTCGCACATTCTTCACCCTCCAACCCCTTCCTTAGATCTAGCTCTGGAGTTGTACGGAGAGGCGTCCTTTCAACCTCTCCTGCCTCCACACGGGGTTTTCTTTTTTCTTCCTTTTTTTTTTTTGCTTCTGTGTCCCCAATCTCCCTGCAGAAGAAAACCCAGGGCCCAGAGCTAGGCTTTTTCCAAGTGAGATCTCCTAAGACCCCTTCATCCTCCTTGCCCCTTAAGATGGCCCATTGCCTCTTTAGCCTTTGGACCAAATAATAGCTGCTCACATTGCAACCCCATATTCTGATAATTGCAGGGAAGCAGATTCTTACTCAAATTCACCATTCACATCTTCATCATTAAATCAACCTTTTTATGTTATATTTGCAAAGAAGTGGCTTCAAACAGATCTGGAAACACAAGCCCCCAGTGAGCGAGCACTCACACAGCTCTGCCCAGTACCTGAATTTATGTACACCTTGTATATCTGTGTGCACAGATATATTCACATACTCACACAAATGCAAAGACATCTGAAGTCATTCAAATGTATATTTATGTACCCCTTTATGCATATATTTTTGTGTTTTTATATCTATATCCATTTGAGTGAGAGCTAGAGAAATGTACACAGCAATGCAATATTTAGCCTACATTCCACTTTCCCTCCTAATGTAAATGTCTTAAAAACAGGTTGGTCTAAAATTTTCTGCCCTCTTGCCAGCTAAATGAAAGATTTAGATTCTGAATTTCTTGTTTCCTTTTTTTTTTCTCATTTTGTACGTAAAATAATCCATATAGATGCTGGATTATCGTCTAAGCATTATTCAATCATACAAGCTTGGTACCTCTCCTCCTTATAACGAATTCACTCAGTAAAATTAGCATAAGTATTTACCAGATTAAGCTGACATTTTCCTATATTGTAACATGAAATACATTTATATCCAGAATTTCCTCCAAATAGCTTATACTAAAGGAAATACTGACTTCCTCCGCACCGTTTTATATAAGAAACAAGCTGCAAGTTCACTTCTAGTACTATTTACATTTTAAAAGAAAATAAATACATAGTATTTAAGTGATTTTTCAAGATCTACAAAGAGGAATTTAATTCTACCACATCTTTAAAAAAATAAACAGCTTTATGAAGATTCGTGAAGACAGATAAAAAGGAAGTGAATATATTCCTGAGGGTCTGAACAATTTTCCTTACCTGATGTATTATGGAAAAATTCAGAATTTACCAGTCTTCCTTCAGTCAGCTACATTTTACACTGACCTGCCCTTTGGACTGAAAGGGAAAAAAAAAAGATTAACTGTTGCCATTGAAAAATTTAAAATAATAATCAGAAACCGGACAAACTGAAGGTAAAAATATACAATGGCTACAATAAAGATAAATATTTATTTAATCACAGTAGAGGTTGTGTTTGGACTGTAGGAATGTTTCATCCTTCCCTTAAAAAAAAAAAAAAAAAAAGGCAAGAAAGAAAAAAGCTAGAATCTTTGCAGGCTCCTAGAGAGTTCCCCATTGTCCAGGGCTATCGAGAGCCCAGAATGGCATTAACCTCACAAAAGACACATTGTGCAGGGGACAAAAAAAAGCCCCTTCTTCTACAATAACTTTTAGCTTTTTTATTTTTAGAAAATGACAAAGGTTTTGCAAGCACTGACTGGTGAAACCTGTAGCAAGCCAGGCTGGACTTGGCTTTATTGATCAGCTGTCCTGCATGGAAAAGCAGCCAGAAAAAGTTTGAATGGCAACCCAGATTTGGCTCACAGAGAGGAAACCCCTGATTTTTCTAAATGTATTTTCTTCCCCCGCCCCCCGTAAATAAAATAGCATTATTCCCAGAGTGAATTCAGAAGGATTAGATGAGGTAACCCTGCAAAATCCTAAACCGGTTTTTTTCTCTCTAGTCTTGACTAAGAAGCTGCATGTTCTTAAGAGCATTGGAAAATCTCTCAAAATGAAGAATTACTTTCTAATCAAACAGATTTCCTGATTAATTCCCAAATTCCTTCTAAAATAAATAATCTGGTAGGCTAGGGCAACATTTTTTCCCAAGAAAAATAAGTTTTAGCAAGCTATCTGGTGTTACAGGGTTTACTAATAATGCCTTCAAAAACATAAATGTTGTTTTTACATTTGCAGATTACTTAAAGTGCTGATTGCATTTTATTTTATTCCAGACATTGTAATTTCAATGGTATTAGTTCATATTTAGAACTTACATAAATACAACTTGTCATTTTTAAAAAATCTATTGCAGTAGCAGTGACGCTGAGGCTAGGATTTGAAAGGGGGGGGAAGAGACAGAGAAGAGGGGGGAGAGAGAGAGAGAGAGACAGACAGACACTGACTCTTGTTCTTCCTGCGTTTGTTTGCTTGCTTTTTGGAGGTACCGTGCACCAGCCTAAGTGATGGCTTTGATGTACTGGGAATCGGTACAGTAGTAGGGTCCCTCGCTGCTGTCTTTGATTCCAGGGATCTCCTTTGGGCTCTAGTGGGATGTACCGCTCCTAGTCTTTATCTGAAATCCATCCTCTCATTTCAAGCCCTTTGGCTTCGTGACTGTGCTCCAAACTCTTGGAGGTAGCTGTAAGGCTTTTTTTTTTTTTTTTTTTGGCATTAGGGAAGGGGTATGTAATTTCCCCTTTCTACACCCTAGGCCTTTCCTCTATATTTAAATATATTGGCTTTCTCTCTTATGAATTCAGTCTGAAATTATTTTTCACTGCCTTTATTACATCCCTGCTTTTGATGGCAAAATAGCTTCCTGTGTTTTGAAAACATCTGCTTTCCAGGTTTCACACGAGAAAATTGATTTTACTTTTCTCTTAAGTCCAGAAAGGTAGAAAGTTGGACTTGTTTCCAAGTGCAACTTTTCCTTTTCTTGTCTTTCCTGAAGTTATCCCCTTTCAGTTCTGATTCACTTTCTCCCTTTTATTTCTTCTAATCACCCCTCCTCTCTTCCTCTCTCCTTCTAAAGAACCAGAGAAGACCGATTGCGTCTTATTTCAGAACACAAAATTAACATATATTTTTTGTCTAGTCTATGGTATGTGTTAAAGTTTTCTCCATATTTTCTTCATTCGTCCTCTGATTTGGGGGGAGGTAATTTTCCTTCAGTTAAAAAATCTCAGATTTGCAATTTAAAGTGGTCTCTATTCGAAGTCTCTGCTCTTTCACTTAAACCTTTACTCTAAGCTGTCCCCCTCCACTAATGCCCCCATTCTTTGGAGATGCTCTTTTCCTAGTTAATTTAAACATTGCTGCGTTTGCTTAGAGAGAGAGAGAGAGAGAGAGAGAGAGAGAGAGAGAGAAAGGGGAAAATAATAAGAAAGAAAAGAGAAGGGGGGGAAGAAGAAAGGAAAAAAAAAATCTTAAAAAGATTCTTAGCCAGGTTCCTATTGTTGCTCCTATGCATTCCACTTCTCGGTGTGTGTGTGCGTGTGTGTGTGTGTGTGTGTGTGTGCGCGCGCTCGTGTGTGTGTCGTGTGTGTGTGTGTGTGTGTTTTTAATACATGCATAAACTTTTGGAGCCTCTCTCCCTCTTCTAGGCTCTTCTCCCATCCTCTCTTCCTGCTCTCCTTGCCCTGCTCATCACTTTCCCCTGTTTTTTTTTTTTTTTCCTCCCTTCCTCCCCTCTGCCTCCCTCCACCTCCCCCTTTTCTTTTTTGCTGAATCTTATTGATCCAGAAGGTGGCTAATTAGCCCTTCCCGTCGTGCCTGGGTAATGAAGCACATGCGCACTGAATTAATCACAGCCATTTTTTGCAGGAAACTAATTAGCAGAATAAAGATCCAAAGACTTTTTTTTCTTTTCACTCATCAGCTCCCACTTCCAGCGCGTCCCCTCCGACCGCTGCAGCCGCCACCGCCGCCGCCTCCTCCTCCTCCTCCTCCCGGCCGCAGCCGCCGCCGCCGCCTGCTTTGCATCCCAATTACAGCCTAGAGCCGCTGCCGCCGCCGCCGCCGCTTCTCTTCCGTGGCCCCTGCCCGCTCCGGGGGCTGTAAACTCCCCGCCAACCATGCTGCTCGGCGGCAGCGGCGGCGGCGGCTCCGGCTCCCCGGCTGCGGCCGCCTCCCGCCCCGGGCTCCGCCGAGCGCGCTCCAGCTCCGCCGCCGCCGCCGCCGCCGCCGCCGCCGCCAGCAGCGCGTCCTCCGCCGCCGCCGACCCCCGCCAGCCGCCGCTGCTGCCTTGATGGGCTCCGCGGCCCGAGCGCCTCTTTTCGGGATTAAAAGCGCCGCCAGCTCCCGCCGCCGCCGCCGTCGCCAGCAGCGCCGCTGCAGCCGCCGCCGCCGGAGAAGCAACCGCGTAAGTGGCAACTTTTCCCTCTTTTTTTTTTCCCGCCGCCGCCGCCGCCTGCTCCTCCTCCTCCTCCCGCCGCCACCGCCCGGACGCGGGGCTCCTCGGGGCGCCCGGGCTGCTTTGCATGGGGCTCGTCCTGCCCCCTCCCGGCTCTCGCGCCCGGCCGCCGCCGCCCGCGCTCCCCGCGCCCGCGCCCTGCTCGCTCGCTGCGTCCCGCTCGCCTTCCCCCTACGCCAAACTTTCTCTTTCTCTTCTTCTTCCTCCTCCTCCCGCCGCTGCCGCCGCCGCCGCCGCCGAGCCCGGGCCGCCCCCTCCTCCCCGGCCCCGCGCCGCCGCCGCCGGCCGCCGGCGACCCCCGGGAGGGTGGAGGCGCCCGGGGCGAGGCCCGCGCGGCGAGTTTGGAGGCGCCGCCAGGCAGGGCCGGCCGGGGCGCGGGCCGAGGGCGGGAGGGCGGCCGGGGTACCAGCTCGGAGACAAAGGCGGCGGCCGGCGGTGGGGGGAGTATGGGGGGGTCCGCGGTGCCGAGTGCCCCCGCCCCCGCCGCTCCCGGCCCCCAACTTTGCCCCACCCCGAGAGGCGCCGGGGCCCCGGGCTGAGCAGCCGCGCGGGGCGCGCACCCGGCCCGGAGCAGTCGCCGCGGTCGCAGCCACTGCTGCTGCCGCGGCCGCCACCGCTGGCCGGGCGAGCGCCTTCCGCGCTGGGGCTCGACTTGCCGGCGACGCGGGAGCCCGTTCGGAGCCACGGGGTCCCGGAGGGGGCGAGGCGGCCGCGCGATCCTCTACCTGTGCGCTCTCCGCCCTGCCCCACTGGCAGCGCCGCGAGCGCCCAGAGGGGACTCTGCCCTGGACACTAGGGGCTCCCGGGGGCTCGGGGCTGCGCCGCTGGCCAGGGCCAGACCTCGCCCGGCCGGCCTTCTTCCGCCAGCTGAGCTCAGAGACATCCGAGGATGCCTTTTTTCTTTTTCTTTTCTTTCTTCTTCTTCTTCTTTTTTTTTTTTTTTGCTCTCGCGAATCTGGGATTGTTTACGTTGGGTTCCCCACTCTCACCCCTCGCCCGGCTCCACTCGATGCAAAAACCGTGTTCCTGAATTTTACATTATGCATTTTAATGTCCGTCTTTTTGCATATCTATTGGAGAGTAGATCTAAGTGTATTTCATGCAGTGTATATAATTAAGTTGTGTATGGACTCAGTACTCGGAGGGTTCTTGTATAACTATTGAATTAAAATATGTATATATCACTTTGCGAGTGAAGCTGTTGCTCAGAATCTGACTTTTGTTCAATGTTGTGCTATTCTTTGGACTGTGGCAAATTCTTTGATTACAAGCGCTTTCAAAAGGCACCCAGTCTTAACTTTTCCCCCTTGTTGCTTTCAAGTAGGGTAAATATGACAATTTTTATTGGTCTCAATTATTGAAACTTGATCTAAGCACTGTATGGACGGAGCATGCTGATTGCCTTTTTCTGGCCTCCAGTTCTAGTGACTTTTAAAAGGCAGTTTGTTAAGTACCTTTGAAGAATATGACAGACGGTGATCGCTTGGCTGTAATGCAAATTACAGAACATAAATTCACTTTGGAATTTAAAAAAGACTCGAGCCCTTTCAGTGGGGACAATTGAGGATTTATTATGTTTTTTAAAAAATTACTTTTTTTCCTCCCTACTTTGGGAGAATAGCTAGTTGCAGACCAACTTATTTGGAGGTCCTCCGAAAGAGGCTTGGGCAGTGGGCGAGGGGAGAAGATTGATCACAATCTGCATAATCAATAGGGCAGCGTGCTGCAATCGTGTACCTACATTTACTGTAAATTTCTACAATATCTGCAGCGTGGGTGCTCCAGCGCCTTGCTTGGCTTCTTAGAGAGGATTTAGAGGGAGAACAACCAGAATTTACTGCCCTGCCCTCCGGAACAATATAGGGAAGTCCACTCCATAGTAGCTCATTCTAAAACTCCATTTTGCTGAAGTTGTTTTTTTTTCCAAATCTGTTTACATGTGGGGGTTTCAGGAGCTGAACCCCCAAAGTGTAGACATCCTGTGGGTTGAGGGGAGTGGGGGGTATTCAGGAGACCTAGGGGTTGGGAGTTTGCTTCTTGAATGGGCACTTGGGGGGCCCTCTTCTTATCTTACAATGTTAGGTTTGTTGTTTTTTTTTTAACTAGTGCAGGTATATTAGAGATAGGAAAATAAAAGAGAATATACTAGAGATTGACGCAGTGTCAAAAGTATGAGTTGCTGTGTGTGTATGAGAAGAGAGATAGAATACAGACACAGTCAGTCTTGAAAGCTTGGTGGTAGGTGAATCCATATTTGGAGATGATTTTGAAATAGTCTAGCAAATGGTGTACGAAGAGGATTTCGTAAAAAGTGTACACGGAGTCAGTTTTGAAAAGACTGCGGTTTGGGAAGATGAGGTGTGGGCAGGAAAACCTACTCTAGGCCAGCAGCCTTCCTCTGTCTGTGTGTCTCCCTTCCCCCTCCTCGGGTTTTAGTTTTTAATTACTTAATGCTGAAACGCACAGGGCTTATATAAATATTTGCAAATGCTCTTTCCTATTGATTTCTCTGAATAAACTGCCCTGCTCCGGTCCAGAGAGGAGGCGATTCAGATCTGTGGACTTTTTAAACATACAAAGTCTCTGGAGGAGTGGTGTTCTCTGCGTGTGTGTGTGTGTGTGTGTGTGTGTAGAGTTGTAGGTATGAGGATTTGGGGGGCCCGCAAAGAGAGTTCAGGCTCTCAGTGGTGTGGGCCAAGAAAACTGGGGTGGAGCTGGTCCCATGGCCTGGCAGTCCTGACGTGTGTGTGTGTGTATGTGTGTGTGTGTGTGTGTGTGTGCGCGCGCGCGCGCGCGCGCGTACGTCTGCACCGTGTGGGTGTCTTCACTGGGGGAGTCTGGATGCATATGCACTTACTTCCCCCACCCCTATTAAATATGGAGCAGCTTTTCAGGACTCTGTGACTGCCTTCTCCTCAGGGTCACATTGAGTTTGAATCTGACCCAAGGTGCAGGAATCCTGCAATGGGGAAATAAAAGAATATACAGAACGGGGTCAGGTCAGCTGCTCAGAGGCCAAAACCCCTACAGCTGCTTTGATTTTATTTTTTGGTGTATATTTTAGGCTCCTCCTGCCATTGTACAAATTGTGCCTCCCCCTTTCAGGTGTTTGGTCTGTGGTTTAAAGGCACCAGAGCCTATGCCTGCATAGACATAGGCTCCCAGCAACAACAGAAAACCCACAATACCGAATCCAAAACAAAACCCGGGAGGAGGGGGAGAAAAAAACCCTATTGAGTTCAGGCAAATAAGGTTGGGTCTCTAGATCCGGTTACAAAGCAGCTTTGAATATGCAAGACAGTGCACAAGACCAGTTATTCCAGTTACAACAAACTATTAAAAAAAAAAAGAGAGAGAAAAGAAAAGGCATGTTTAGGTCGTAATTTGTTAGTACAAGGAAAAGAATCCCACATAAAGCTGCCTTTTTTTTTTTTCTCTCCCTTTGCTGGCTTCACACAGAATTCACTCACCCCTTTCCAATTCGTCTGCTGTATAGGTTCTTTTATTAAAATCTTTTGGGTTTAGGAAGATGGCTGCAAGCAACACATTTTCTGTATTTTTTTCCCCTTTATCTTAGAGAGAGAGAGTTGGCAGGGGTTCTGTGGTTTGCAGTTACACAATATGTTATCATGTTTTTAATCACTAAATCATTGCAGTGGTTATAGATTTACAGTCTTGGGGTATTACAGAGAGGAGCAACGGCGGCTATATATATGCCTTTAAATTACACCAATGTAAACTGAGTGCGGCAGCTGTGAATATGGTCGGCAGACATCTATTCCCTCCCCCACCAAGTTCTTTCTCCCTCTGTGATTTTTCTCCCAAATTTCTTGGTTTGCTTAAAATAAGCTACCCCTCTCTTCCCCTGTATTGTCTCTTCGCCACCTCTTCCAAAAAAATTAATTTTCATTTTAGACCTTTAACCCCAGAAAAGCTAGAATTCAAACTCTTGAGCTATAAACTTCGGATGAGAGTATAATAACAATAATAATGAAAAGTGTGGATTTCCTAAAAAAAAAAAAAAAAAAAAAAAAAATCCTCCTGGTTTCCATACCGACCTCCTGTATCGGGATGGAGGGTTGATTGCACGTCAGAAAGTAGGGGGGCGGGTGTGGGGGAGGGGAACCGGGCTGGTGGCGCTCGCCTGCCTGGAACCTCGAATGTCCTGTCCCCTGCGAGCCCACTTTCAGCTTCTGTTTTTCATATTATTATGTAACAGAATCCTTGGCAGCATTAAAAATTCAGTATTACAAGCTGATTGTAATGCTACCTCATTAGACAACACTGTCTGGCCTTGTATTAAGTGAAACGTGGAGCATGGCTTTTAGATTATAAACACCAATAAATATTAAGGATCAGCAGAGGGGGCAGTAGTAACTGGGTTTTGGGCTCCTTCTGGTTTTATCACTCCTCCCCCCAGCCCCCCAGATCATCTTCCCTTCAGCCCCTTTCCTCCCCCCTCCCTCCATGGTAACTGTCATGCGTTTTCTTGTGGGGCTGCTGATGTGTCGACCCTGGTGACATTTTAGGAAGGCTTTTTATAGAGTTTTCTTGTGTACACAAAAGGTTTGGAAGTTTGTTTTGTTTTGATCTGCAGTAAACAGGTCCTTCACTTTGCTGACGTCATTTCCGTTCATATTTGAGTTGTTGATTGTGCTTCTTTGCAGGGCCCTCTTATCCCTACCCCCGCCTTGCCTTTCAGCTCAGAGCCTGTGGCTGCCTGGGGAAGGGGGAGTGTGCTCCTAAGCTGCCAGGTCTGGGTTCAAAGGCTGAGGGTCGCGTGGCTGTGCCTCGTCCTAGGGTTTGCCCGCTGGGGAAGATGCTTCCAGCTTCAAATCTGGTTAAACACTCCGACATCCACTCGCCCTGGTATTTTCATGGCACGCAGTGATTCATCTCAGCTTCCTTTCTTTGTAACACCTCCCCCCACTTTGCCCCTGCCACACCTTGTCTGTGTCTTTAATACATCCTTATTGTCCACTTCTCCATGCCCCCACCCACCGAAAAACCTTGTAATGACGACTCGGAGACTTTGATTCAGTTGCAAATCTGAAGCTGGCATTAGTGGACCTCATGCTGTGAAAAAAAGAAAGTGTTTCAAGGCCTTGCCCCCGCAGCCTCCCCACCACCGCCTTCCATCCCTGTTGGGTTGTTTGTGCATGTGTGTTTCTCCCCGTTTCCTGCCTTTTCGTAGATATAAAGGCCGTTCTGGTGTCACTAAAAATGACTATAGTGTCCAGTGTCTCTTATTTCCATGTGATCTACAATTGGAACCCCCCTCCAAAAAAGAAAAGAAAAGCAGGATGAGGAAAGGAAAGAGGAAAATCTGACTGCATAGGCCCCAAAGGCTTTCCTCTAATAGAATGATGGGTTTTAGGTTAAAAAAAAAATTATTGTTTTGTTCTTTTAGGTTTAGAAATAATAGGGAGAGAGGGAAAAAGCAGTCATTAGGAAGTTCCCTGAGCCGCTTTCCAAGTAAGACGGGTGAAAAATGAACCAGCATTGACACTTGGCTCCATGTGAAAGCCCCTGTCACCTCTCCCCCCTTCCGTGGCCCTGGCCTTTTGTTTCTGGAGAACGGAGCTAAGGTACTTTTTCTCCCAGACCAAAGGCAGCAGGGAAGGAGTCCCCTTGTGTACGCATCGCCTTTAGATGGCCTTCTCATGGTTATTGTCAATGCAGACTTCCCCACACAATTGCTCCGGGGAGACAGAAAAGCAAAAACATTTGTCCTATTTTTTTAACCTCTTTGTTTTAGACTTCTTTTTTTCATCCATTCTTTAAATTTCACAGTTTCTATTTGTCTGCAGAGAGACAAACGAAACAGCATGAAGCACGTTTTTACCGTAGGCCTCACTGGCGATTGGAACAGCCTCAATAGAAATCCAAATTCTAAAACACTGGCTGACTTGGAGGATATGTGAATTTTTCAGCTCGGGGGCTCTGAAGTCAGATTAGCACAGATTTTTGAACCCAAATGCCCTAAAATGAAAAGATAGGAAAATAGGATTCTAGAATTATTTGGGGGAAAGCGTGAAAAAGGTCATCTTTTGTCTATCTTCCTGCCTTGTGCCCCATCCTTAGAAGCTTAATAGGGGAGAACTGCAAACCTCAATGAATTCTTCATTAAAAAAAAAAAATAAACTCCAACCCTGGTTGTTGTACTTTCGATATAGCATTTAATGGATCGTTTTAACTCACGTGTGAAAGTGCTTTTGGTACATACTATGGAATGGATACCGTGTTGGGATTTTTTTTTTTAAATCTACAATTTGTATAAACAGGCAGTATCCCATCGCCCATTTCTTTTCCTCTTCTGTTTCCCTTTTCCTTTCTTCTCCTTCCAACCTGCTTCCCCTCCAAGAATTCAGTGGTTAGCATCAGACCGACTGTAAAGGGATGTGTCAGACGGTGGGAATGGCCTATGAACAAAATAGGAGCCCACCTCTTTTTACTTGGCCCCAAACAAAGCGCCTCTCTCTCCTGTAATGTATGGACCCAGATTGCGATGCTGTCCTTAAGCATCTGTCCGCCTTTTCATTAAAATTCTCAATTTCAAGGTTTAGAAACACAAATGTAAGAATCCCCCTGTGTTTAAAAGTCTTGCATGGCAAATTCCCTTTGCCCTTTCAGAAATAATATTTTTGTTTAAAAAAGAAGGAGCGAGAAAGAGAGAGAGAGCTCTTTACCTAACATGTAAAGCTGTTTTAAGGCAACTTCTGTATTTTGGCTTTCTTAAAACTTGGGGCTTTGTAACTTAAAATTAATTTAGAAAAACTCTCCGAAATCACAGCTTTTAAAAAATGGTTACTCATTTGTATCTTTGTTGTGGGATATCATTGACAGATTTAGCACCTGAGCTGGGGAGGGTGGGTAAGGAAATTAGATAATGTTCCACCTACGATTTGGGGGTAAAAATTAATCTATGGAATTAGCACTGTAGGGATGGATGGAGGCCTTGAGGCTTCAGCAGAAAAATGTGAATCAAAACATCTGTGTGCAGGCCTTGGCACACCAGCTTCCAATGGTTATGAAGGCAAATGTGAGCTGTTCTGAGGAACTTCTGCATTCTGTTCCATACCCAGGAGGGCTCGGCCACCCAGCGGGTACCAGGCCCCTAAATATAACTGCCTCAAAATCATGGGGTGAACTCAGGCCAATTCAGCTCCAAATGGTTCCTTGTTTATTTCAGGAACGTTTGTTTTTGTTTCTTGCCCTCTTCTGGATTTTTCTTTGTTAAAGCCTCCGGGTTATTTAAGCACTAGTTTTAAAAATCAATGTATACGTATAATTTAATAAAAATAGAAGAACCCGGAAGGGTGCACAAATCTGTCTAAACCCGCTGTACTGTGAAAAGAGAGCCCAGGTTACGCTGGAAGTCAGAATGCTGACATCCACTGTATCTTAGAGATCATATTTACCTTTGCAAAAGTGGAAGGATACAGCATTAGTAAGTGTGTATGTGTAGAGAAAGAGAGAGACAAGCAGGTTTGGCTCGGTAGAATCATTGTAATTTACCAGCCAGCTCAGCGTTAGGGGGCAGGCCTCTGGCTTGGAGAGTGGGTAAGGGGAGGAGTAGGGAAGGGGTTAGCGCTCCCTGATTTATTTTTAAATATTTATCCTTTCGGCTGTTGCCAATTACGCTTTCCAGATGAGACGAGACTGGGTATGGAGAACTGCGAGGGAAGAATTGCCTTTTCTGAGAGTGGGTTTATTTGTCAGCAGTGTTCAGGATGGAGCGATGAGAATGTCAGGCTGTCACTGCTGGGTAGGCCATGGGTTTAACATCAGGCAGCTGCCCTCCGAAGAGCCAGGGCTTCCAGAGCTGGAGGATAGAATTTGCAAGGAGTATTTCAGAGGAACTCCTGATTTCATATGTAAGTGCAGAAGTTGCCAATTCCCTCTGAAGAGGTATTGTTTTTATGAATAAGGAAAATGAGTTTTAGTAGAGGTGACACCCAGCTTGTGTGTAGTCCCTCATTTCCATAATGTACAGAGGCCATAGATCACCTGCCTGTGGATTACCTGTTAAATTTTTGCCTGGAACAAAGGCAGGCTTGACTAGGCCTCATCATGTGTGTAGCTGGTGCCAGATAAAGAAAAGGAACTCAGGGTCACTCTCAGTTCTACTTGTCAGGCCTCTCAAGTGCAGGAGGCAGGTTGCAGGGTCTGCCTCTTGGGACAGTGGCAGTATTAGGGCAGATCCCGTCCGGGCCTTCTGCCCAGGCAGTGCTGCATCCTCCCAGGTTACTTTAATAGCTTGTTCTTTGGGCTTTCTAGCTTTTATTTTATTGAAGGTATTTGTCTGTGGGCCTACCAGGATCATGATGTCACCAGATTACGAGGTTGTCCCCTGTTAATAAAAATGAAGATAAAGCAGCAAAATTAGATTTTCTGAGAGTATCAACATTTTCTTGTTGTCTTTAATTTATCCAGCAGGCCTTACCTATCCCAGGTAAGGAATCTTCGTTTTTCCGGAGAGATTGCCAGAGGCATCTCTGCGTTGTGGGCCACGTTGCTTGCGGTCCTGCTAGCATACGTCATCTTCATGTCTTATTCATAGTCACTTTTTCAATTAAATTATTAATTGTTTTCTTTAAGGTGTTCTCAACTTATATGGCCAATATAAATAACAGTGTGTTTTGAAAACACCACCTGTTCTTGGGCCTGAAGTCAGGTGGTCTGGAAGCAGCTCTGCAGTGACCATAGTCTGGTTTGCAAACTCATCCTCCACCTTCCCTGTTGGCTCTTAACTCCCCCCACCCGGCCCCCGTGCTCTCACGTGTGACTGAATTGGGCTTGTGCCCTCCTTTGTCCCTAATCGGACATGATTCCCTGGAGGCAGTCTTTTCTCCCAGGGCCTTAGCTGAAATAAATAAATAAATAAATAAATTTCCCCAGAATCTATTCTGGACTAAAATGTAGAAAGGGGCTGTCTGTACCCAACAGGTTAGATACTTACATTAATCTGAACCCAACTTACATTGTGCAAAAAGCCTTCTATACGGGGATGTGATGGTTTTCACCAGCTAAGCATCCCTTTTTCTCCCGAGTCAGTGTGTGCCTCATGCTAATACAATTCCATACATACTGCTCTTCGCCTCATGAGCTGATTATATTTCTAACACTTGCATGGTTCATTATTGTGCCCGAGGAAAAGACTCTCCAGGCTGTAAGGCCAGCCTGGGTGGGTGGTTTTCAGAAAGGGTAAAAGCAGGTGCCTTTCTGTGCTGTGAGAATCGGGAGTAAATTCAGACTGAGGGTGGGATTCTGACAGGGAGGACAGAGGACTTCCGGTGAGATTTCTTTGGGGCTGGCTTTCAGATGAGAATGGAAAAAGGTGGACTTGGGGAGATAGAAGGCGCCCAGCAATCGCTTTGACCAACTGGAAAAGGTGAACTTGGGGAGATAGAAAGGCGCCCAGCAATCACTTTGACCAACTGGGGTGGCCGCTTTAAATCTTACCCTGGCGGTAGGAACTCCCTGGGAAAGGGCACGATCTTTGCTATCTCTGCGGTGATGTGGCTTTATAAGGTGAGGCTAAGGAGCCTGGAGGCTTACATGGTAGACTGCATCTCCTTTTCTTCCCACTTCTTTTCTTCCTATCTTTCTAGTGATCTCTCCTTTTCTCTTTCTCTGGCCTCAAAAACTATCCTTAAACTCTCAACGGAGAGCAGGGGGATGTTTTTATAAGTTTCTGCAACTGAAAAACAGAAGTGCTCTGTAAAGCAGTTAATAGGATGGGTGTGTGTTTCCAATAAATTCCTGTCCACATTGGCTCCTGTCCCCATGCTTGAGTGGCCTGGCTGTGACGTGGACGGGGCCCAGGGAGCGATGGCTCCGGTTCGGAGGCCTCAGGCTCCTTTTAGTGGCCGAGGGCGCGTCCCTTTCTTCTCGCCCGATTCTAGGCCGGCCCCTGACCTTTGATGAGCGAGGGGTCAGCGCCTCCGGGAGGGCCTGGGCTTTGTTCCCGCCGGGGCCGGTTCCCGGGGCGGCGCAGGCCGAGCGGCGAGGGTTCCTGGCCCCAGGCGGGTGCGCGGGACCCCCGGCCTGCCCCAAGGCCCGCGCCCCAAGCGGAGCGAGCGCAGCTGAGCGCCCGGGTCCCGCGCGTCCCTGTGCGTCCCCGGGTCCCTGCGGGCGGGCGGGCGCGGTCGCCGCCGAGCAACCCGGCCTGCGCCCGGCACGACTGTAGATGTCAGGCTTTGCCCGGGGAGCCGAGCGGCAGCGGGGCTGTGAGTTTCAAATTAACCTTCCGCTTTGTTGCTGTGTAATGTGGATCCCCGAAGGCCCCCCGCCCCGCCCGCCCCCCTTCCCCGGGCGGTGCGCGCTGCAAACTGCGAGTTGGGCTTCATTTACATAAAGCGATTCCGGGCGGGCGGCGGCAGAGGAGGAGGCGGCGGCGGCGGGCAGGCCGGGGACCCGGACGCCAGCGCCGCGCCCCGTGGGTGAATCCCCGCCGCGTCCCGGGGACCTCCCTCCGGGGACGGGCCGACCGCCAGCCCTGCCGCCACCATGAGCTCCCCTCCCCTGTCTCCGGGCCCCCTGCTCCTGACCAGAGCCACCTCCGAGTCCTGGGGCCAGCGGGAGGTGGGGAGCATGCCGCCTGGGGTGGGTGAGCTCGGGGCTCGGGTGCCACTGGAATTTCCCGTTGTTGCGCATGGCGGCGCGGCCCCCGGACCTGCAAGTGCCGCCTCCCTCCGGAGGTGCGCGGAGGCTTGGTGTGCCAGGTGAGTGCAGCCTCCCTCCGGGTCCGCGCAGCCGGCCTGGAGCCGCGGGCAGGTGCTGCGAGTCTTGGCTGAACTTCCCATTCTCTTGGGGCGTGTGGGGGAAGGGCAGGCTGGATGCACTTGAACTCCCAGACTCCAGTTGCCACCTACCTAGGGTGAGAGCGCCTAAATTCTGCTGGGCACACAGTAAAGCTCTTCCTTCCTCCTTCCTTCCCTTCCCTCTGTCCTCCCCTCCCTCCTCCTTTCCTGAGTCTGCTTTTGGATTAGTTCCTGCCTTCTGAATACTTGTGGTACTGGTGTCATTTAGAAGTTTGGGTGCCTCCGCCTAAAAATGCACCCTTTTCAGCCCTGGAGAAGTCGCTGGTCAGTTCGAAACAATGTGAAGAATGCGCTTGTGGAGTAA